>NC_000002.12:46553988-46857018 GCF_000001405.40 Homo sapiens
TTTTGATTTTTAAGATCCTACAAATAAGTGAGAATACGTGATGTTTGTCTTTCTGTTGCTGGCTTATTTTACTTAATCATCTCCAGTTCTATCCATGTTGTTGCAAATGACAGGATCTCATTGTGTGTGTGTGTTTTTTTTTTTTAATTTATAAATTTTTAAACCCCCAGCCCCACAAAACACACCCCCATATACCCTCATTTCTAGTTCTTTACACATGGTTGAGATTATCCGTAATTACTGGAATGAATTGAATGATTCAGCCATGGGTGCTCCCTATCCAGTTCACCTGGTGGAGAAGGGCCGCAGTGCTATCAGGAGAAAAAAAATGGAAGCAGAATTTTTTGTGGGGTGCCTTGGCTCCATTAGTGTGCTATGTGGCCTAGGGCTGTGCGCCCAGTAGGCTCTGCAGGTATTTCTTGATGCGGCCTAAACACCAAGCTATTTCTCTCCCGCATATTAAGGGGCTCGATAGACAGGACGCCTGGACAGGGCTCTGTTCATTGTGGCTGAGGTTAGCACTCCTCTGGGTGGTGACAGACCCTGTCCCTGAGAAGGATGGCAGCTTGGTTTGTGCTAAATTAGTTCCAAAGCATCAGATGGGCAATGACGTCCTTTCTGTGTTAACATTCCCCAGGCGGGTCACAAGGAGTGGCTGAAGGGAGAGGAAGGGCTGTGTTACTCAAACACCCATCTTGCCAGTAATTACTTCTTTCCTGGCTGACCTCTGCTTTCTGTGCAAGTGTTCTCCCCTCCCTTTATTCTCCTGCGCCTGCTCTTTTACATTTTTTTCTTTCTTTCTTTTTTTTTTTTTTTCAAATTTGTTCCAATCTAGAAAACCCATCCTCTTTCAAATGGCATAATGGTTGGGATTATAAATGAGTTGGCTCAAAGTGTGCCCCCTCTAGGAGCAGCCACTGAGAGAGCATTTAATTTTGAGCATCCAGTTCAATTAAAATTCCATTTAATCCAGCTTACTTTTCACAGAGTTGTCTTCCCCAGTGAGCTGATTACCTGGAGGTGTTTCCACCAGCCTCCTTGGCCCTGGAGGAATGGGGAAGGGACTGGACACGAGGAGGGACAGAGCAGGCAGATGGGGGCTCTGCTTCCTTCGGACAGGGACTTCGTCCAACAGGCGAGAGCTTTGGGTATTCATCCACTGCAGAAAGTGAGAAGTCCAACTGAGGCTGAGGCACCCCATGACCTCCTCACCTCTGACTCCGGCCCTCTAGTGGTCGAGTCCCTCCTTAGAATTTCCACTAAGTGAATTGTCTCCAGGCTGCACTCTAGCATTTGGTTTTATTCATGTGTAAATCTTTGCTCCCCATGCAGATTGTAAACTCTTCCCCTTGCCGTCCCTGCAGGACTGCACGTAGCACATAGCACTTTGCACAAGTGTTGGGGGCCCCAGTAGGAACTAGGTGTGTGTTAAATTTAGGGGAGTCTGGTGGTAAGATTATTATGGAAAGAACCTTTCCCATCACTTTATATCATATCCATATTGGCTTTCCTATCAGCTCATTTGAGAGGAAATTCTGACCTGTCTGGACATTATTGAGTGGCTTTAAAGCAGGTTATAGGTGGCGATTTGAATACATTGACCATTTAAGCAAAGTGGGACTCATTTCTGGACTCACAGAGCTCATTAAGCAGACAGGCTGCCAGGTCTGTTTGGATGAAATACTGGCTATGCGCATGTACTGTTCTCCAGCAAGTCTAGACCTGTAGGAGTCCTTCACTGGGCTTTATGTCAGGTGTGCTTCCAGAGTGGCCTGTGGCCCTCTGTGATAAGTCGGTAGGAGGGGGACATGGTGAGGATGCTGACCTGCTCACTTGTGTCTTGACTGGGAGACCGGAATGCCTCCTGTTGTCTGAACAAGCTAGTATGGAAGTAGCATCTAGGCAAGCTGGTGTTAAGACGCAAGTAATTACTCAGAGAAATTGCTGGTGTGTCAAACTGCTTGATATGTAAGTTTCCTCCTCTTTCCTTTGTTTTATTTTTTGAGGCATAATTCAGAGAACACTTTCATCACCCCAGAACGAAACCCCATACCCACCGACAGTCACTCCCCACCATTCCTCCTCCCCCGTCTCCTGGCAACCACTAATCTGTCTTTCTGTTTCTATGGATTTACCTATTCTGGACATTTCATATTAATGGAATCCTGCAATGTTTGCCCTTTGTGTCTGGCTTCTTTCACTTAGCATAACGTTTTCTAAGGTTCATCCATGTTGTAGAAGGTATCAACATTCCATTCCTTTTTATGGCTCTGTGATCTTTCTCTTTCCATTTTATTCCTGCCCCCGCTCTTTTTCAGTTGTTCTTCCATGGCCATTCTTTCCCGGGCTCTGGGGACTATTTTCAGGGTTTCAAGGTACAAAGTGAAGTTCTGCTAGTTGTGCACTTGTGGTGCTGCCTTCGCCCCTGGCTCAGGTAGAGGCGAGGGCTGATCTCTTCTCTACCCTTCTGATATTCTTTTTCTTAAAAAATTTTTTTAATTTTTTTTTTTTTGTTCCTTTTAATGCTTGGGTCTGGACCTTCCAGTGTTCTTGTTTTCTCTGTGCCTCTGTTCATATACTCTCCCACCCCAACCACACCCTAATAGCTTTATTTATCAAACATATAAATATCCATTAAACATAAGAGTGAGGTGAGGAACACAAAATTCCATCCGATCGGGTTCTTCCCCCGTAGGAGTTTACAGTCCAGTTGGAAGATGAATAGAGCTGGCCAGAATGCAAGTAGAAAATGGGATGTGCATATAAATCATGAAATGTGAGTGAGGAGTGTTAGAAAGGTGCCCAACTACCCGGCTGTTTGACCTGAGCTTCCCAGATAGGCAAGGTTTCTGTGGGGCCGTTTAGATTCAGAAACAATTTTATTGGGGCTTTCAAGGACCATCAGGTACATGGGTCTGATTTATGTTAACTCGTAAGAGATCAGCCTATAAATGAGGTTGCCAAAGAGTTAATCTACCATGTAGCCCCAGTGGAAAAATGGACAAGACATAAACCAATAGCTCACAAGAGAAGAAAAACAAATAGCCAATGAAAACACACTCTGTAAAGACATGTGAATAAAAACTTTGTTTTTCAACCTATCAAGTTGAAAAGGAGAAAGGAAAGTAAATACTCTCTGCCCCATTTTTGGGAATGAAAACTGAAACAACCAGTTTGGAGGTTAATTTGCCAAAGACTCTTTGGTTTGCAGTGATCTGATTTTATGAATTTATGCCTAGAAAACATTCAGTGTACCCAGAGATTTACATAAAATGATATTCTTCACAATGTTATTTATAATAGTGATAAATTATAAACACATTGATGCATAGTAAAAAGGGAGTTGCTAAATCACAGAATGATTTATATTAGAATAATCACAGCCATTAAAAACTGCCTTCAACAAATATTTAAAGAAATGTGAAAAGGCTAATGATGTGTTAAGTGTGAAAAAGCAGGAATCAAAACCATATATATATGTATAGTATGATTAAAACTTTAAAGAAAATGCACATGTATAATATGCAGAGGAAAAATCAGAACAAAATAGTCAAAATGTTAAAGTGGTTGGTTCTAGGTGGTGACCATGAATAATTTTAGAAATTTACTTCTTTATACTTTATTGTGTTCCCTAATTTTTTTAAAAAAACTCATTTTTATCAAACTTCTATATGCAGATGGTTTAAAGAGTCAGCAGTTCTGGAAGGAGTTATTATGAAGAAATAAAATATTCCTCTTTACTTCTCCTGCAGAAAAGACATTTCCCACTACCCTGAGACAACCACTTTCAACTCTGCTGTTTATTTTGATAACAAATATTCTCTGTTGAATTCACATGATGACTGATGAGGCCTGAGCTCCCTTTCACACATATCTTCCACTTCCTATCCACCTTTCTGTAGGAGCTATATTGTAATTTCAGTTTGACCACTGATCAGTGTTTATATTTTTATGACTATTCACAGCTGAGCCATGTAGTGTACTATGATTATATTTTTTTTCTTGTACCACTTTCTGTTTCTCAAGTGAACAATTATCTTGTTGCTTCTCTTACTTGGTTTTCACTGTATGTCTCAGCTATTTCATGCAAAATTCACCCTCCCATGCAGCAAGTCATATCAAGTATTCTGTCAGTTTCTTCTTTTGCAGCCATCCCTCCTGCACCTTCTAACCTGCTGTAGCTGGGCTGGTGCCTCTTGCCTGCTGCACAGCTGTTATCCTGGGATTTCCCTTCAGGTTTATTAGGATTCTCTTTGCCTCTATCTCTTGTATTAGATCCCTGTTTCCAGGATCTCAGGTCTTACTGGTTTATTTCCTCACTTTGGTGGAATGTATATTTTATTAGTTTCCTGAGAAAAGAGTCATTGTAGGCAACTTTTGGGATACCTAGTATGTTTGAAAATGTTTTTATTCCTTCATACCGGACTGATACTTTGAAAATAGATTATATTTTTTCTCCCTTTGGAATTTTTAAGGCATTGTCCCATTGTCTTTCAGCTTCTATTTAAGTTGTTTAGAAGTCCCCTGCCAACCTGATCCCTGATCCATTGTCAGGAACCCATTTTTCCTCTCTGAAACTTAGGATCTGCCATTTTAACCTCCTGAAATTTCACAATCATAGGCTTTGGGGTAGGGCCTGGCTGGGTACCCACAATCTGGAAACTCATATCTTCCAGTTCTAACAAATTTTCCTGGATTATTTCTTTGGTTTATTTAGTTTCAGTCAGTCTCTTTTGTTACCCTGGAACTTCCACTATTCAGATGCTGGAGTTGCTGGAATGATCCTCTAATTATCTTACATTTCCTTTCTGTCTTTTTTCTTTATTTTGGGGAGAAATAGAAACTTCCTCAAGTTTATCATCTACCCCTTCTATTCTGTTTTTGAAATGTGATTCTATTTTTAAAGTGCCTTTTCCTGTTGTCTGGATGTTCTTTTTTTCTTTAGCATCTTCTAAGCGGTTTAGGTTTTGTTTTGTTTTGTTTGAGACAGGCTCTCACTCTGTTGCCCAGGCTGGAGTGCAGTGGTGTGATCTAGGCTCACTGCAACCTCCACCTCCCAGGTTCAAGTGATCCTCCCACCTCAGCTTCCTGAGTAGTTGGGACTATAGCTGCATGCCACCACTTCTGGCTAGTTTTTTGTTTGTTTGTTTCTTTGGTTTCTTTTTGTTGTTGTTGTTGTTGTTGTTTGGTAGAGAGGAAGTTTTGCCATGTTGTCCAAGCTGGTCTTGAACTCCTGTGCTCAAGTGATCCACCTGCCTCGGCCTCTCAAAGTTTTGGAATTATAGGCATGAGCCACTGTACCTGTCTAGTTTGTTTTTTGATGGTATATCATCTCTGATTTCTCTGAGGATATTAATGATAGTGTTTCAAATTTTTTGTCTCTCTGTGTAATCTCTAATTTTGATCTCTTTCAGGTAGTTCCTCAAATGTCTATCTGTGTTTACAAGAGTGGCATTGAGCACATGAGAAAGCATGTATGGGCAGGGCTGGTTGACTCTGAGCTTCCCTGTTGGTCAGGGTTTCTCAGCTTCAGTACTGTTGACATTGAAGGCTGGATTGTTTGTTGTGGGGGGGCTGTCTTGTGCACTGTAGGTTGTTTAGCAGCATCCCCAGCCTTTTCCCCCTAGATGCCAGCAGCATCCCTCCTCCATTGATGGCAAACAGAAATGTCTCCAGATATTGCCAGATGTTCTCCTGGGGCAACACCAGTCCTCACTTACCCCACCCCCAGTTGAGAACCACTGTTGTAGGGTGATCTGTTGGGGTCTTTTTATTGGGGAACCTGTAGGGTTAGTAGGTATTGGTCTTCCCCCTTGGGCTAGTCATATAAACCAGGAAAGAATCTTCTACTCTTCTGCCCGAGGGATTCATCCTGGGAGGCGAGTGAAAGAAGCAGAGTGTTGGAGGGGGGTCTCAATTTTCTTTGTACCGTGGCCTTGTGTGCTTCGACTGGGCCTGGTGTCTCCCATTCGGGAAGCCTAGTTCTGCCCTTACCAGAGAATAAGTATCATCTGCCTTTCACCAGGATTGGGGAGCATTTATCATGATAGGGAAGGGGAAAAGGTATTAAAAAGCAAACTCGTTCCACCCTCTTGCTTGTGGCTCCGCGTTCAGTCCAGCTGCAGAAGCAGGCGCTCTTCTGGTTCCCATAGCTTCAGACCCTCAGGGAGGTCTGCTGTGCAGTCCGGTGTTTAACTGGCACCTCATTGCTCGCTCCGAATTTGGCTCCGTGGGCCTGTTAAGTAAGTTCCACTTGTTTTTTTGCCTTTTAGCTTCTAAATTTTGTTATTGTTATTTCTTTTCCTATTTCTTTTGTCCTTGTGGCTTTATGTTTTTTAAAACAATTACTGTACATGTTAGAGGATTTTGGAGAGGTCAAAGATAAATGCATACGTTCAGTTGGCTGGGACTTAACTGAAGTCTTCTCTTTTTTTATAGTTAGAAACATAAATATGAAGAACAAAGTTATAGTGGTGGATATTCTGTTCAGGGCCAGGCTCCTGATGAATTAATAAAGAAGTTGCTTGGCATACAGGCTTTGCAGCAAAGCGAGTTGGATTTCTGGGAGGAGATTTCTGTTTCATCTGGATCCTGGGGTCACGTGATCACGTTTTCCTTCCATACGAGAGCATGGGTTTCCAGTGGCCAGGATCTGTTGTGTCCACTAGCTCCAGCATCCGCTGTCTTACTGTTGGACAGAGGTAGATAGTCACTAATATTCTCATTATGCAATTTCTACTTTGCTAGACTTTGCGTAGAGTCTGTATAGACCATGACTTTTCAGTTAACATATTTTTCAGATAGGCCAAAACATACTCCATTAGGTTATAGCTTTCTTTAGTTACATTGCAGTCACCTTGATTAGATTTGGGTGTTTTGAAGTGTCTCAGTCATCTGAATATAAACCGTATTACAGATGACTAATAACAATTACAAATTGATTTTCATTAACTTAATTTTCAAAATGTAGCCCTATCTCAAATGCATAGAGTGTCCTACTATAGACCCCATAAACACACACACACACACACACACACACACACACACACACACAAAACCTGTATATAGACATATATCTCTCTAATATATTAGTATATATATGTATATACAGGTATGTGTGTGTGCGCACGTTTATATGTCTGTGTGTGTGTGTATATATATATACACCTTTGATATATATGTGTGTGTATATATATATGTGTATATATGTACATATGTATATATACCTTTGATACAGGTATCAAAGACATTGGCCAGGCAGGAAGAGTACGGTGAGGGGAGGGTCTGGACAGTTTTCCTAAGTGAGTAGCTGGTATGTGTGTATGGTTTGGGGTGGCAAGGGGGCCCAGGCAAGACAGAGTATTCCAGGCCAAGAAAAGAGCACAGAAAGAGTCATGTGGGAGAAGCTGGGGTGGATGGGGAGGTGTGGGAGCAGCCTATGTTCATTTTGGCTACAGAGTAGTCGTTCATCGGAGAAGCCATTAAATCTAAGGTGGGAAGAGGAGTTTGATGACTGCATGGCCAACCTTGAACTCTGAGCTACATAGTTTGGACTTCTAAAGGGCACGGTCTTCTGAAGATGGGTGCCTTGATGGAGAGATTAACAGAGAACATCCAGTAATACCTATTTTTCCATGTAGCCTTTTCTGTTTGTCAAGGGCAGATGTATTCTCTCCACTCTGAATCCCTGTGGCACTTAGCATCAATGGCTCTTGGCTCTTGTATTCATCTGTGCCTACATTTGAGGCTTCCTTGGACCCGTTTATCCCATTTAGCCCTAACAATGACATTAAGAGGTAGGTCATACTGTCTACCCCTCCCTCTGCACCGCATTTTTTTAGTGGATGAGGAAATAGGGTCAGAGATAGGGAAATGACTTGAACAAGATTACATACATGGCCAGTGAGAGGCCACCCTGGACCTCGGGCCAGGCCCTCTGACTCCAGATCTGCATTCCACTGTTCTCATGACATCCCCTTGCTGCCAGTGTCTCACTGGTTGCTTAACTAAGCCAGTGGCTCTTTGAAGGGAGACTCACACGATTTGATTTTCCAGGCAGCACATAACACAGGCCCAAACGATGGAGCACAGGCTCTGACAAGACTCACTTATCGGCAGCACAGGGTGGGGATGAGAACAGGGACCTAGCCGGTTCCTATGCAATTTCACCAGACTGTAGGGTCTATACCTCTAAGTTTGAAACTCCCTCATCCCCACTGCTGCCAGCCCAACTGCTCCAGTGATAGTTTTCCACCACTTCACCGAGAGCCTGGGCTCAGCTGCTGCCCTCACTGCCCTGGAGAAAGAGAGGAATGACACCACCTGTCCCGTTGCTGACTCTAAGGCTTTTATGAGAATACACAAAAGAGAATAGATACTTGAAACCACTGGAATGACAGTTTATCTGGTGATTTTCTTATAAAGTTCTATTGTTACTAGTTTCCTCCTCTATCTGTACTGTTGCTTCTCTTTGATTTTGTCTCACTGGCTCTTGCTTTGCTTCAGAAATGGCACTCCTCCCTAGCCAGGTCCTTTAGAGTAGGAAATCAAGAAGTTGAGCTGCTAGATTGTCTGAACTTCTTGGAACACAGAGGATGCTAGTGTAGACATGTGTGCATTATTGTACAGGGAGCCACTGAAACCTGCCTGCTGTGTGCAAAGTGGGCCGAGAGGACTCCGTGGCCACATCAAAGCCCATGTGCATTTGACTCTTTTCCCTTCCCAGCCTTTGATTTTTTTTGAAAAACGTATTTGAGATATATCAGTTTAGCTATTTTCTCAGTATTTTAATAAAATACCTGACTTTAGTCCTTGCCTGCCATGTAAACCTACACACTTATTTAAACCAGCAAAATTTCTCAGTGCGTTTGTGCTGAAGTTAATTTCACATTCAGTTCTCATTTTCTGCCTATTTATTACTCTGCCCCAAATCTGCTGAAACTGAATGGAAAAGGAACACTATTCGGTGGACATGGTTATAAATTAGCAGCCAGCACATGTGTTAAGTGCCTTTCATACCTTAGCTCATTTCTTTTCCCAGTGTTTAAGAGGAGGCTCCATTAGTAGTCCATTTTATAAATAAAAGAAACAGAAAAGGTAAGTAACTTGTGCCCAGGGCCACACAGCTAGGAAGCCTGACTCAGAGACTCAGGAGGTCTGTGTCTGAAACCCCATGATAGACTACCTGGTTGAAACAAAGAGGGGTTGTGTGGGAGAGGGTCCTACACTCGTGGTTAGGAGAATTGCATTCCTGCTTCACTCCTACCCACCTCTCCGTGTGACTCTGGACAGGTGGTGAGCTTCTTTGATCCTATTTCCTCATCAGTGAGGTGGCAGCTGACCTATCTCCTAGGCTGATGGTGAAGAGTCAGTGGGTAGCCTGGGTTGCTGTGAAGGCATGAGCAGGCACTCTTCTGGGCTGTAAAGTTACATAGGCTGTAGTAATGTCATGAGGCTATTTGTTTTGTGATAGGCCGGGAAGAGCCCCCACGGGGAACCGTCTGTAGTATAAAAGGGCCAGAGCTGGTGGGAAGAAGATAAAGGGAAGTAATACAGAATAGGCAGGGGAGGGGAGGGCATCAAACCCGTGCAAGGAGGATAAGCTGTGCTCAGTGGTGATGGATGCATATTGTGAAGAATTGATGTCAACACATCAACTCTTGGCCTCCAGGGACTTCTTGCAGGGTAATTCTGCAAGAATTTTCTGAATTTTCAAAGAAATCTAGGTGAGTGTGCATGTGTGCATACACACGCATGTGTGTCTGGGTACCTGTAAGGCAAGATCATACCTTTGCACACTTGTGGACCTGTGTGTATTTCTTTCCTCTTTTTTTCTCTTTTTCTTAATGGAGACAGGGTCTCCCTATGTTGCCCAGGCTGGTCTCAAACTGGGCTCAAGGGATCCTCCTGCCTTGGCTTCCCAAAGTGCTAGGATTATAGGCGTGGGCCACCACGCCCAGCCCCTGTGTGTATTTTTTTTAAATTGAGGTGAAATTTACACGACATAAATTTAACCATTTTTAAGTATATAATCAGGCTGGATGCAGTAGCTCATGCCTATAATCCTAGCACTTTGGGAGGCCAAGGCAGGAGGATTGCTTGAGCTCAGGAGTTCAAGACCAGCCTAGGCAACACAGTGAGACCCCCATCTCTACAAAAAATAAAAAATTGGCCAGATGTGGTAGCACGTACCTGTAGTCCCAGCTACTTGGAAGACTGAGGCAGGAAGATTGCTTAAGCCCAGGAGTTTGACTCTGTATTGAGCCACGATCGCACCACTGCACACCAGCCTGGGTGACAGAATGAGATCCTGTCTCCTGTCTCTAAAAGAAAAATTAAAAAATAAAGTATACAATCCAGTGGCATTTAGTACATTCACTGTGTTGTACAACCACCAGCTCTGCCAGTTCCAAAACATTTTCATCTCCTCCTCAGAAATTGTGTGTGTTTTTGAAAGGGCCTGTTCTGTGCAAGCATGTCTGTGAGGGCATCCTGATTTCGCCTGCCGGGAAGCCATCCTCGTCCTCAGATGGCAGATTGCACTGTATGCGTTTATTTGGCCAGCAGAGTGGGGCTCAAGTATTCACATTCCACATGGGTTTGTTGGTCATGGCTTAACTCCTCTGTGCACTCTGGCTGCCTCATCTGGACATAGAGGAAGGCAGCACTGCAGCCTTCATCTGAGTGTAGTTACCAGGGTCTTCTCTTTGCTGCTTGGCTGCGTGTTGCCTTTGTCTATTAAAAGGATGTGTGTAAGTATGTATGTCAACTGGGGACTTCAGCCTCTGTAGGCCAAGTGTTGAAAAGGGTGAGAGGGCTGCTCTGGTAGAAGTGTCAGAGCTGGGATGTCTGTACACCTCCCTCTCCATAGCTAGTCCTGGAGATAAGTAAGAGCAGATTCTGGGACTGAGCTGTCGCATACACCCTGGTGGTGATAACAGCAAACACAGCAATGGGCTATGTAGAGGGAGCCCTGAATAATCTCCATGAGCTGCAGAGATAGGGCCAGTGAGTGGCAAATCCTTTTATAGTGTGGAGGAGAGGAGGTGGGGAGCAGCTGCAGGAGAAGGTGGGGAGCAGCTGCAGAAGGAGAAGGTGGAGCAGGAGCTACGTTGGACAAGCCAGTGAATACTTTGCTCTGATTGGACAACCCAGATCATGTGCCCACCAAAAACCAGCGACTTAGTGGGAGGGGCAGGAGTGGGGAATGAAACTCAATGATTGGCTTAATCCAACCAGGGACTCTCTATATAGCTAAGTATGGGGCCAGGGTCCCCAGGGGCATGTGTCTGAGTGTAGAAGGGGTGGTGGGTCCTGCACTGAATCAGAGTTTTCGAAAGAAGGAGGAAGTAGGAGAAGAATGCTGGATAGACAGTCAACTGTATTCTCCATACCTAGATAAGACAAATGTCAAGACAATGCAGAAAAAGTTGTGGTGAAAAGCAGCAGGAACTAAAATGCTTAAAGCATCACTCAGTCTGAGGCTCTCCTATTAAGAGCTCACATTCAGGGAGGTGGGTTGGACCCATTGGTGTGCCACAGAAAAATGGCCCTGCTCACAGGAGGCAATTTGACATCTGGCCGAAAGTGACATCAGCAGCCTGAGAAATTAACCTGTTACTGGAGAGAATTCAGGTATTTGATCCACTTTCTCAAGCTTTGTAGCTGGTGAAGGAGGTGCAGCTAGCACTGTGCAAGCTACCTGCACAATGACTGCAGCTGACTTTTCTCACTTCACCTTCCCATGAGCTACCGTCATTGATTCAGCGGGAATGTAATAAGCTGCGACCATGAGCCAGGCCTTGAGCAATAGTCCCCTGCCCTCAGGGAGTCCTGATGCAGAAGGGGAAGATGCAGATCAGAAGAGGCAATCGTATTACAGTATAAACAAACAGGATGACAGGAGAAGCTTGTGGTGCCACAGAAGTGTGGAGCATGGCAATGCTTAAGCTGAACTGGGGGTTCAGAGAAGATCTGCTGGATGAAGTGATTTCCAGACTCAAGCCTGGAAGATGAGTAGGAGCTCCCAGGTGAAGAAATACGGAGAGAGAGAAGAAACAGGGAAACTCACTGGGCAGGTGACTGCTTTAGTGTGTGTATTTGTGTTAGGGGTTGATCCTGAGAACTTTCAGGTTTCTGGCTTGTGCACCCTGATTGAGTGGTGATATCTTCTAGTGAGATGGTGAATACAGGAGGAGTTGCAGTTTTGATTGGGAAGAAATGAATTTAGTTCAGAAATGTTGAATTTGAGATGCTTCTGGTTCAGCTAAAAGGAGGTACATAGTAATAAGCTAGTTCTGGAACTCAGAGGCAGAGACCTCCTCTGACCACCTGCTTGACATCTCAAGCTTAACACGTCCCAAACTGTCCTCTTGAGTTCTCTCCCTATGGTGCTTCTCTACCCTACCCTCAGTTTTCTTCATCCCTCTAAAAGATGCCATATCATCTAGATATATCCAGAATATATCTAGAATCCACCATTTCTCTAGCTGTCAACTGCTGTCCCTTAGTCTAAGCTTCCATCTTCTCTCAGCTGAATTACTATAATAACCTCTCCCCTTATAAGCCTGACTGCCTAATTCATTCTTCTCAAAGTAGCCTGGATTATCGTTTTCAAATTTTGTGACTTTTTTGCGGGGGTCGGGGGCTCACCTTTTAATGACTTTCCATTGCAGGTGGGCCCTGCAGAGGGGTCCAAGCTGACTCCCTCTCCAGCCCCACCTGTCACCTGGCCTTTCCCTGTGGTCTTCAGTATGTCAGGGCTTTTCTGCCTTGGGACGTTTGCATACATTGTCTTGTTGTCTGTCTCCTTAAGCGGTCCCTCAGGTCTCAGGTTGAACATCACCCCTGCAGAGAGGTCTTTCTTGCCTGCGCAGACTGAAACTCATCTTCCTGGTTATTCTCTCTCCCAGAACCTGGCTCTTTTCCTTCATAGCACCTGTCCCAATTTGCATTTATAGTCATTTTTGTCCCAATTTGTTCAATGCCTGATTTGATACCTCAATTTTATCAGACCCATCTCCCATTTTTATAACAAATACTTCCTTTTTACTTATCCTCAAATGAAATCTATAGATAATATAACCTCCCTATACATGTAATTTTAAATCAGTATAACATCCTGGCAGTGATATAAAGGAGAAATAAAAAGGAAAGTAATTCATCATAAAACTATTTATTTCAGTGTTAAATTCCTAAACTCCCAAGGCTGACTACTCCAGAAATCATAATGAAGTAATCAGGCCTGCACCTATTAGGTAAAATGACCACGAATGCAACAGTTACAAATATTGGCTAACATAGTTATTTTTTATTAGTGACTCAGATACTAACAGCAATGTAGCCAGTGGCATGTGGTTTTCTGTGATGGTAAGTAAATCCTGTGATGTTTGTTTTTTCTTTTTCTTCTTTTTTTTTTTTCTTTGAGACAGGGTGTCGTTCTGTCACCCAGGCTGGAGTGCAGTGGCATGATCTCAGCTCACTGCAGCCTCAATCTCCCAGGCTCAAGTGATCTTCCCACCTCAGCCTGCCAAGTAGCTGGGACTATAGGCACACACCATCACACCTGGCTCATTTTTTATTTTTGTAGAGATCGTGTTTTGCCATGTTGCCCACACTGGTCTTGAACTCCTGGACTCAAGCAATCCACCTGTCTCAGCCTCGCAGAGTGCTGTGATTACAGGCATAAGCCACTGCACCCAGCCTCCTGTGATGTTTCAAACAAAATAAAGTTCAATCTTTCTCCTTCAATGTGGACTGAAATTACCTTCCTAGAAAATTCATTAAAGTCTGAGGGCCGTGGCTCATGCCTATAATCCCAACATTTTAGGGGGCTGAGGCAGGATAATTGCTTGAGCCCAGGAGTTCGATACTAGCCCAGGCAACAGAGCAAGACCCCTGTCTCTACAAAAAAAAAATAAAATAAAAAAATTTCTGACTAGCTGGGCATGGTGGCATATGCCCGTAGTATCAACTACTCGGGAGGCTGAGGTGGAGGCTAGAGCCCAGGAGGTCAAGGCTGTAGCAATCTGTGATCATGCTACTGCACTCCAGCCTGGGTGACGGAGTAAAACCCTGCTCAAAAAAGAAAAAGTTTAAAATATGCACTAAAGTTATGCCAAAAAACTTTATTTTTTTATATATGCAGCAGGATCAGGTCCTAGATTCATGCGATTATAAAAGGTGTTCCATGGTGAGCAGGTCTATGCAAACCTACCTTCAAAGGCCAAGGGAGCTGAGAGGCTGAAGAAAGAGACTGACAAATCCAGTTTCTCAGAAAGAAATATTTAATAGAGACTTAGAAACAGAAACGATGTCTAGGTAGGCCAAGAGATGGTGGATTCTCACAACCAACCTCCAGAAAGTATCCTTTATATAGCAAGCTTTTAGGGTAAAGACACAGGAAGCTCATCATCCCTGACTTCCTTTAGAAACTCATGACCACGGGGAGGTTGTGAGGGCTTATCTGTGCTACTGGACCACCTTGAATTGTAGGCGTCAAACATTGGTCATCATGGCAGTTTTACTTCAAGATGGATCACTCTTGCTATGCAACAGGCTGTTTTCCCACAAAAGAGTTTTTCATGTTTATGAATGTCTAGCAGTACACTCACTAGTCATGCGGGCCTGGAGCTGGTTTTCCTCATACAGGTCATTGTGGCACCACGGCTCCCACCCTTAAATGCTAGCAGAGTTTCCCCATTCATTTTGGCAATTGACAGCACCTCCCAAATGTCCGAAATGCCCCCCAGACATAGGGTGGTACTGCCCTAGCTGAGAGCCCTGTGCCTACTCCTCTGCTGTCCTCTACACAGAATGAGGGCAGGGTCTGTGTTGTGTTCACTCGTCTATACACAGCACTCAGCACCTACTTGCCAGATATTTGTGGAGTGAATGAATGTTCTATCAACATGAAATTTGTGCCAAAAAGTTAGGAAAGGAGTATACCACATGGAAATGTGACCAGACATTTACCTTCTTTCAGCATGCTTTAGGCCAGCTGACCTCTGTTTTAGTGCAAGAGACTTGTAATTATAGCTCCAGACAATATGGAATTTCAGCTCTAAATCCTTTACAACTGGGGAAGTCACCTCACCATGCACAGAAGAAATAGCACTGGCTCCGAAGTTGTGGTTTGTCTTTTTTTGGAAAGTCAGGCTTGTCTGCCAAAGAGCTCGAAACACTTGACCAGCTCTCTCATTTATCTTAACATGTGTATTTATTCTCCCTTCACAGATGGGGAAGTGAAGCTTGCCTGAGGGCTGTATTTAGCTAAGTCTTGATCCTCTGCCTTGTGGTGGTCAGCTTAGATAAAATGGAATCCTAAAACTTGATTTTTATCCCGTAGTGTGAACCTCCTCCCACATTAAATCTGCTAGTAGGGCTGCTCACAAGGGTAAGAAGTGTTAGTTTGAGTGTTTTTCATCATGTGACGTGGCGGTCTTCTAGTTCAGGGCCCTGCTTTTAGAGATGAGGAAGTGCCAGTTCGTCACAACACAGTTAGATAATGACAAGGCCAGTCCTCTAGCTGGTTTCTTTATGCTCCACCAGATGTAAATTTTCTCTCCGTTTCCTCCAGCCAACCTAAACAGGAGTTACAATCAGTCAGGTGGCCAAAAGGAAAGCACAATGGAAAAGAAGCCCAAGATCTAGTTCTCTAGCTCCTAAATAATTGGTATATTAATTAGGAGGCTGACTTATTATAAATCAAAACATATGAAGATGACAGTAGCTAAAAGTAAGAAGCTAAACCTTTAATTTCAAGAATTCTTTTACTAAGCGCTAATCAGGCCAGTGACATATAAATACCATTTCACAACTGAACTGAAAATTAAAAAAGAAAAGAAAACACCAGATGTTTGCAAAGTTTTTGAAAAACAGTGACCTCTTAAGAATTTATAGCACCTAAAAAAACCTTTCTCTTCCCCAAAATTTTCTTTAGTCCAAGAGTGCTGGGAGGTAGTAGGAAGTGGTAGGCAAATTCAGTAAACTCATCACTGGTGAGTTTTGAACCAAACTTACCAAAGTGTTTTCAAAAAGGACCCAACCCAGCTTCCTTGAAAAACAGAGTTATTTTTAAAGAGGTAAAAACTGATATTTTCATTTCACAAAGTTAAATATAAAATGAACTCAAAAGTGTCAAAATGACTGCACAATAGAAATGAGGTTTCAGGCCAGGCGTGGTGGCTCATGCCTGTAATCCCAGCACTTTGGGAGGCCAAGGGAGGCGGATCACAGGGTCAAGAGATTGAGACCCTCCTGGCTAACACGGTGAACACCCGTTTCTACTAAAAATACAAAAAATTAGCCAGCCATGGTGGCAGGCACCTGTAATCCCAGCTACTCAGGAGGCAGAGGCATGAGAATTGCTTGAATCCGGGAGGCAGAGGTGGCAGTGAGCCGAGATTGTGCTATTGCACTCTAGTCTGGGCTATAAGAGTGAGACTTCATCTCAAAAAATAAAAAAAAAAAAAGAAATGAGGTTTCATAGGCTACTCTGACCAAGCATTACCATAGACATGTTGTGATATATAAGTTAGATGTAGGAGAAAACAGTTGCATTCTCAGAAGCTGGCTTCATGACATGTGTCCTCTGGACTTCTGTGTAGCACCCTTTGAAGGGTGGAGGGTTTCAAGAGCTCGATGCCTGTTTTGGACTTCTCGCTAGAAACAGATGTTGTAGATGAAGATTACTACTGTGTGCCTTGGAAGTGACACAGAGAATTGCTACTGCACAGACCACAAAGCCACCACTTTTCAGGGATATTCTTACTTAGTTGTCATATGTTTTATGTCTCTCTTCACGTAGTCAGAAGCTGCTTTAGATTTGGGAAGGCTGGGGCTTATCTGTTACCCCTTGTTCTAGGTTGTTTCTCATTCTAGGTTGTTACAGAGGAAAACTCTAGTAGGTTTTGATAAATGACTATTTCTTACATCAAAGTACTATCCTGCATTATTTGGGATTGTAATACATTCCTATAGTACTTTATGGTCTTCAAAGCATTTGTCACTGATAAGTCTCCCGTTTTTCAGACAGAGAAACTAAGGCCCTAAGGAATAAGGGACTGGACTAAAGTCGCATTCCTAGCATGTTGGATACGTTCAAGTTCTCTCCATTCTGTAAGGACCAACTCAAGTGCCTCTTCCAAGAGGTCTTTTCTTAGTGTCCCCTCATTACTACTTTTTATATTTACCACATTCTAACTTGTAATATCATGTTCACATACATCTTATCTACCTTACCATGAACTTCCTAAGATCGAAAGCTGTTATGCATTTGTGTGTATCTCCTCACCTATCAGAATTGTTCTTCTTGGGTGCTAACCTGATGCACGTTCCCACACCAGCCTGCAGTTTCCTCTTCTAGGCTGTGGCTTGGAGGTCTGCAAGGCGCTGGAGTGGTGTCCAGGCACATTGTGGGCACTGCTGCACATTCAAGTGCATTGCCTTATTTTTAACATATAGATACTTAATGAGAGAGCTTTGTAAATGTTTATAAGGTGTTTTACAAATAGATGTTATTTGAATCTCATCCTTCCCTCCTTTATTTATTGCAGTTAGCACTGTTCTGGGCACATAGTAGGTGCTTAGTAATGTTTGTTAAGCATTTCTATATTCACTTGCTCCAGCTTACACTTTTATTCCCTCCTATTGTTGTATATGACTGTCTTTTTATATGTTTATATCTTGAATTCCCAACTAAACTGCAAGCTCCAGAGGGCTATAGTCTCAATAAATCTTTGCTGATTGCTTTTAAATAATACATGATAGCATACCAGCTAACAAAGCATGGCACAAGGTAAATCGTCCAATGTGAGTGTTTTTATTTAAGAAATGTTTTGGATATGTATTTTAAAATAGACATACACATCCCAAAAACATATATTTTAAACAGAGATCACTAAGGTAGGAGGGAACACCCAGGTCCACATGAAGGGGACAAAGAATAGTGCAGAAGTAAGGCTCATGGGCACTGCTGGCTGAGCTGCACACAGAAAGGGGTCTCCAGCTGATGGCCATTGGCTACATTTCTCTGTGGCATTGGAAGAGCTTTTGTTTCCTCTCAGAGCGCATTTCTTTAGTTTTTTGTTTGCAGATTCTTATCAGGTGGTAAGTGTGTGTTTTTTTTTTTTTTTTTTTTTTTTTTTGAGACAGGGTCTCACTCTGTCACCCAGGCATGTTCATGGCTCACTGCAGGCCCAACCTCTTGAGCTCAACTGATCCACCCACCTGAGCCTCCTGAGTAGCTGGGACTGCAGGCATGTGCCACCATGCCCAGCTAATTTTTGTATTTTTAGTAGAGACAGGATTTCACCACATTGGGAAGACTGGTCTTGAACTCCTGGACTCAAGCAATCTCCCCACCTCGGCCTCCCAAAGTGCTGGGATTACAGGTGTGAGCCACCGCACCTGGCCATGTGTGATATTTTTAAAGTAAGGTTGTCATTATCACATATCGAGGACTCTTCAACAAGGGACAGCCTGAACACTAAGCTGCCAGAACACACTTAAAAACTTGATACTTCTGGTACTTAGCCAATTGGTAAGAAGCTAAAGAGTCTGCCATGCAGTCCAACAGCCATGCTGACTAAACTCACCAGTTCTTTCATTGTTTTGATGTTGAACAGCTGTCTTTAATACACTTTTCTGTACTCCTGAGAATGTTCTAGTTACCATGCTGAAATGTTTAAATACCTACATTTTAAAATTAGAACTAAAATATAATGGGTTTGTTAATTAGGAGGACACTGGAGAGTTGGCTGTGAGAAGTTGTGACTTTGATAAGTCGATCTTTTAAAAGTAAGGGCAGTTGCTCTACATTTGACTTCTTTGTGTTCTCAAATTTAAAATATATGGCTGAAGATGAAAGATTCTGCACACCTCCACTTATTCATTCCCAAATCCCACATTTCATATTAAATTCACACAGGATACTATGTGATGCATATGAACCATTTTATATGATGCAGGGTACAGTATGCACAGGGGATAATTTATTTTCTAAATTTGCTATTATTAGACTTCTAATTACTCAGCTGGATAGAAGCAGAAAGGTCTCATTCTTGTACTAACTGCCGATTTTTTTTTTTTTTTTGAGACGGAGTTTAGCTCTGTTGCCCAGGCTGTAGTGCAGTGGTACAATCTCTGCTCACTGCAGCCTCCACCTCCTGGGTTCAAGTGATTCTCCTGCCTCAGCCTTCCGAATAGCTGGGATTACAGGTGTGCACCACCACGGCCAGATAATTTTTGTATTTTTAGTAGAGATGGTGTTTCACCACATTGGCCAGGCTGATCTTGGACTCCTGACCTCAAGAGTCCCACCTCGGCCTCCCAAAGTGCTGGGATTACAGGTGTGGGCCATCATGCCCGGCCACTAACTGCCAATTATTTAGCCAGAGATGACAGGCAGAAGGAATTCATTTTAGATTGTTCAGACTTAAGAAGTAACATTTCTTTCCAAGGAGGTCTAAACATATGTGTGTTTTATTTTTTAATAGCCCCAGTTCTTCACATTTTAATTAATCAAACAAAACCTGCAATTTAAGAAATATCTAGAAATGATTGGTCCAATTGTCCTCCTTTGTGCTCACGTCTCTCATGGAGGAAAGTCAGGATTCACTGTGGTTATGAAAGGAATCTGTACAATATATTTACCTTCTGTAAAATACTTGGATTAATATTGTTAAGCATCTCTAGGGAACATGGCATTCAATTAGTTTTTATTTCTTGTCATCTCTCACTAGAGAAAGAGCGCACACTTCTGTTTCCCTGAGGAGGTAAACTTGCTTGAAAAGTAAAATTTCCATTAAAATCTCTAATTTGGCTTTCTTAAATATAAATCTATTTTTGTTACATTTTAAATAGTCTTAAGGCTAAGTGACTAATGAGTACAGTAATAATATATCATTCTCTTTTATTCATCTGAAAATTATACTGTCTCGAGAGACCTGAGTTTTGTGTGTTTTGATTTTATTTCTTACTAAAAGACTTCTCTGTGATTGGAGGGAGCTGCAAAGCTGAGGCAAGTGTGGGACTCAGGGGACCCTGCGTGGATTTGCAGAGGAATAAGAGACTTGGTTTCCCATGGGATAGAGAATTTATGTTTAAGCATTGAAAGAGTTCTTCGATGTGCGAGGTGTTATGCGGAGTGCTTTAGTTGCACTATTTCATTTATTCCTCATAATCCTAAGGGATAGTATCCCCATTCCTATTTCTGTGAAAATTGGAAATCTAAATATGGATGAGGAGTGCTTTTTAATGAGAACACCCCATTTCCCGGCCATGACAACTGCATGTTTGCTCAGAAGTGTGGAGTTGCTGGGTGGGATGCTAAGATGACATACTGTTTCTTTTTTTTTTTTTTCTTTTATGGACTTGCAGTTTGAAACAGGCAGTAGAGCCCAGAAAGTACATATAAGGCACTCAATTGTACTGTTTAACACAAGCTGATTTTTAAAAAGTTAAATTTTCAAGAAGTCTTCCTCTAGTAACTGTCTGGGGGTATAACGTGTTTCATACCCACCCTATTTGATCTCTTCATTGTGAATTTCTTAACACCAGGGCACTGCTTTAATCAAAACCATTTAGAGGCGTTCACTTTAAAAAATAAAAGTTGCAGAAGATTGGGGGTGGCATTTCCCCTGTCGTCATGTGATAGCGAACACCTGAGAAATCTTTTAATGCCCACAGCTCTAGATTATAGGTGTGCCCTTCAAAAGCATCACAGAAAAACAAAAGGGTTACCCACCAGTCAAGGGTTTGGGACATTAACATGCTTTAGTTGAAAGTTATATTATGAAAAATGTCAGAAAAATGCATGAAAGGAAAATTGTTCCATGAGGGAAATACTACTGCTGAAACTCCAAGTGGAAGATGATGTTTTTAATATTCCCTTAGTTCCACATTTGTGTAGTTCTGTAGTGAAACGAGTCATTTAAGAGGGGAGGTGGCCCAGGCTAAAAATAAAGTTTCTTTGAAACCAGATGAGAGTCTAGCTATGCCAAAAATGGAATCCGGACTCTGTTCACTCTCGAGAATGTAAATAAGTAGAATTTTGTGTCACATAAAATAGTCTATGCAAAAAAGGATATTCACTGCCTTTTGTGATAGAGACTAAAATAACCATCAGGAGTATAGCTGTTCTGGGGACTCTGAAGCAACAGTGTAAAATGATATGGTAGTCTAACGTATTCTGATTTAGAAAGATGTCCAAGACAAAGAAAGTGCAGAACAACAAGTACTGCATGATTTCATTTTATGTACAGATGTATGAATATGTGCAGTTACTGGTATATTCATGCATAGAAAAAGAACTGGAAGAATAAACATGAAAATATTAAGTAGAGGGAATGAAAGTTGGAGAGTAAAGGAGGATTTTGGTGGGTTTACTGTGTATGTTTCTCTTTAAATCTTCACACACACACACACACACACACACACACACACACACACACACAATTAATAAAACTATAGAAACAAGGAAAGCAAAGCTTGAAGGTCTCAGTGAAGCTGTATAGTGGTTAAGAGTATAGACTCTGGAGTAAAAACTGCCAGGATTTGAATCTCAGCTCCTTGACTTACTGGCTACACATCCTTACGCAAGTAATTTAACTTCTGTGCTTCAGTTTACTCAAATGAAAGTCAGGATTAAGGGTACTTGTGTCATATTGTTGTTACAAGGATTAAATAAGTAATCCATGAGAGAGCATATAGACTAGTGCCTGACACATAGTAAATATTTAGCATGTATTAATTATTATAAATTATAATACTTAGGCAATGTCTAGCTATATTCAATTCTTTGTGCAAACTTTTTAGTTAAAAATGTTTTTAGTGACAGCGTTAGTGATCATAATGTATTTTTCCAAAGTTTTCATTGTCATTGTTAATGATATTGTCATTTTTTTTTACCTCATGGGTGTTCAGAACTTCACAAAGAAGAATAACAAAAACAGAGTTATCTGATTTTACTTAGAGTGCCATACATTCCACTAGTGGAGTACTCCTGAATTTGCATCTTTGACCATGTAATCTAATGTACATATTACTAGTAAACAATAGAAATGTAAATACATAATGAGGCTTTTCTTTGTTCCTCAGGAAGACTATGACCGTCTGAGGCCTTTATCTTACCCAATGACCGATGTCTTCCTTATATGCTTCTCGGTGGTAAATCCAGCCTCATTTCAAAATGTGAAAGAGGAGTGGGTACCGGAACTTAAGGAATACGCACCAAATGTACCCTTTTTATTAATAGGAACTCAGGTATGTCTGGTTTGATTTTCTGCATTTTAGAATAAGCTCTTTGGTCTGTCGTAGAGGCTGCTCTCAGACAAACAGTCCCAAAGCTGAGCAAATGATGTAAGTGTTTAATCTCAGCTGCAAGTTAATGAGTTCTATCATATTTTT
The DNA here is from genome assembly GCF_000001405.40 of Homo sapiens. Classification (NCBI taxonomy): domain Eukaryota; kingdom Metazoa; phylum Chordata; class Mammalia; order Primates; family Hominidae; genus Homo; species Homo sapiens. The sequence continues at coordinate 46,576,396 of NC_000002.12, forward strand.
GGAAAAAATTGTGCCAAAAGAAAGCAATTATTTTCCTGGTTTTTAAAAATTAAGTTCTTTTGTTTAATCTTTTTTTGGTATGTGGGAATTAAGTGGGATTACATGCTTTGATTTTTCTTTAAAGATTTGTAATATTATGGGACATTATTGACCTTTCTTAATTAGATTGATCTCCGAGATGACCCCAAAACTTTAGCAAGACTGAATGATATGAAAGAAAAACCTATATGTGTGGAACAAGGACAGAAACTAGCAAAAGAGGTAATGGAACACTCACAGAATTTAAGCATGAATGTAAAAGATGCTAAGATAACAATAGAAGCTAATTTTATTGTGTATTTACTGTGTGCCAGGTGGAGTGCTTTACATGCATTATCTCATTTAATCCTTGCATGAACTCAGTGAGGTAGGTCTGTTTCCCCTGTTACACAGAAGAGACAGTGGAGGCTGGGAGATGTCAGATAATTCGCCCAAGATCCTGCAGGTAATAAATGGCAGAGTTGGGTTTCAGTCCAAAGCCTGACTCCTGGGCCGAGACTCTTACACCTTTGCTACATTGCCAGTGATATTTTCCTAAAAAGTCACATATGGAAAAAAGCATCGGAAACACGTGTCACTACTTTCAACCCTTCTTCATTACTTAAACAGTTGCACTGTGCCAAATCAGCTCTGTCTTAAGACTCATTGAGTTAGACAGTGGAGCCACCTAGGATGACAGTTTAAATTTGTGGTTAAAACCAAAAAATGATGACTAGGTTTGAAAAGAAATGTGTTGAAATTTCTCCAATCTTTTTATGAAAAGAGGATAGAAAATACAAAAATTCTAAAAATATATGTAACAGTGATGCATGCAATACCTTGTAGCTTATCTTCCTTCGTGCCCCAAAGATAGGTTTACTTTTTCCCCTTTTTTCCCATTTGGCCTTAACATTATTGGATTCTATTTTTTAAATGTTGTGATTTCAATAGGACTTTTGTGGAAACAGAATCCATATATGGTCTTTTTTTTTTTTTTTTTTTTTGAGACGGAGTCCCACTCTGTGGCCCAGGTTGGAGTGCAGTGACGGGATCTCAGCTCACTGCAAGCTCTGCCTCCCGTGTTCATGCCATTCTCCTGCCTCAGCCTCCCAAGTAGCTGGGACTACAGGTGCCTGCCACCACACCCGGCTATTTTTTTTTTTTTTTTTTTTTTTTCATTTTTAGTGGAGATGGGGTTTTACCATGTTAGCCAGGATGGTCTCGACCTCCTGGCCTCATGATCTGCCCACCTCATCCTCCCAAAGTGCTAGGATTACAGGCATGAGCCACCGCGCCCGGCCCATATATAGTCTTTTAAAATGTAGTATCAGGAGGCAAAAGAAAGCAAGAAAACTTTCTGGAGGACAGTTTTTCCTAAAGCAAAAAATAAATGGCTTTACTAACAAATCACTTCAGAAATTCCATGTATTCAGTTTTGTAATCTTGGGGAGAGAAGGAATTTCTAAATGTCATAAAGATAAAAGCCATAAATGAAAATATTAATGATTTCACTGCATAAAAACTTAATACCACATCAAATGCCAGAAATAAAATGAAAAGTCATATAACCTGAGATGGATGGCAGAAAAATGGGTTAACATCCTTAGTATACAGGAACCTCTTGCATATGAGTTAATCAGAAGCAGCCACAGATACCAATAGAAAAATGGGCTAACAATGAAAAATTCACCCCCCAAAATGCAGATTGCCATTGAAGATAGGAAATATGTTCAAACTTATTAGTAGTCAAATGTAAGCTCAATTTGCACCTATAGAATTGGCAAAAAATGAGAAATTAATTATAATACCCGTGTAGTAAAATGGACACTCTGTTGTACTATTGGTCATTGAATCAAAGCAGTCTTGACAGTATGCAAAATCCTTAAAATCATGGACACTTTTGATCAAGCAATTCCATATGTAAGAGTTTATCCTAAGCAAATCATTAGGATGTTGGTCAAAGTGTACAGTGTTAGGAGGAATACATTTTTTGAGATAACACTGCACAACATGGTAACTACAGTTAATAATGGTGGTGCTGGGCACGGTGGCTCACACCTGTAATCCCCGCACCTTGGAAGGCTGAGGTGGGTGGATCGTTTGAGCCCAGGAATTCGAGACCAGCCTGGGCAACATGGTGAAACCCCATCTCTACCAAAAAAAAAAAAAAAAAAAAAAAAAAAAAAAAAAAAATTAGCTGAGCATGATGGTGCATACCTGTAGTCCCAGCTACTTGGGGGGCTGAGGAAGGAGGATCACTTGAGCCCAGGAGGTGGAGGTTGCAGTGAGCCGAGATAGTGCCATTGCACTCCAGCCTGGATGACAGAGTGAGACCCTGTCTCAAAATAAATGAATAAATAAATAATGGTGGACTGCGTATTTCCAAATTGCTAAAAGAGTAAATTTTAAATGTTCTCACCACACAAAATGATAAGTATTTAAGGTGATAGATGTTAATTATGTTGATTTAATCATTTCACTCGTGTGTGTGTGTGTATATGTATATATAGAGAGAAAATATTGCTTTGTACCTTATATAAAATTATAATTTGTCCATTTATAATATTTAATAATAAAAGTAAATTATTAGGGACGTACTTAGAGCTACAAAGATGCTGAATTGTTTATAATGGCAAAAATTCCCTGCATCTATTAAAACTTCATACTATCTGTTAAGATTTCATATTTATTATGTAGCTAAAGGGAAAAAAGTAGTTGCAAAACAGTATGATCTCATTTCTAGACTCATCAGCATTTGGCACAGTTGCGTCCTTCCTGAAACTTTCTTCAGTTGGACTCTCTTGGTTTTTCTCCCCTCTCATTGGACTCTGCTCCATCTCTTTACCTCCTTGGTCCCTGGTTGGAGGGCCCCAGTGATGAGCACTCAGCTTTGTGGATGTCTTCTTCTATAGCTACACTCCCTAGGCCTAAATGAGCTTCTGTCAGTCTTGTAGCTTGCACAGTCTACAACCAAAGATTCCTGGATTTCCATCTCCAGCCTGGACCTCTTTCCTAAATTCTCAATTTGGTTATCCAGCTGTTTACTCAACAAGTCCATCTACATGGCTGAGTATCTCAAAATTAACATGTCTAAGATATGATTCTTCTTTTACCCTCCAAGCCTGTCCTCCCAGTTACTCAGGTCAGAAGCCCTCAGCTGGGTGCAGTGGCTCACACCTGTAATCCCAGCACTTTGGGAGCCCGAGGCGGGCAGAATTACCTGAGGTTGGGAGTTGGAGACCACCCTGACCAACATGGAGAAACCCCATCTCTACTAATACAAAATTAGCTGGGTGTGGTGGCACATGCCTGTAATCCCAGCTAGTCAGGAATCTGAGGCAGAACCGCTTGAACCCAGAAGGCAGAGGTTGTGATGAGCCAAGATCGAACCATAGTACTCCAGCCTGGGCAACAAGAGTGAAACTGTCTCAAAAAAAAAAAAAAGCCCTGAAGTCGTACTTGACCTTGCTCTTTCTCCCATACCACACATCTAGCCTTCGGCACAACATACCTTCAGAACATATCCAGAATCCAGACACTTTTTTCTAACTCTTCCCTCTATCACCTGGTTCAGACCTCCTCCATCTCTGGCCTGCTTTACTGGAATAGCTTCCAACTCACCTTTCTGCTTCTGTCTATGCCCCATGGTCATCTGTTCTCAACACAGCAGCCAGAGTAAGTCTTAAAAATGTAAGCGCAATCATGTCACTGCTCTGCTCAGAATCCTCCAGTGGGTCCCCAGCTCAGACTAAACGCCAAAGTCCGCACAGTGGCCTACAAGCCTCTGTTCCCTCTCTGCCTTACTCATTGTTCCCCAGGCCTCCTGGTCTCCTTTGTTGTTCCCTCAAAGTTCTACCTGAGAACCTTTGTACTTTTGTTGTTCCCTCTGCCTGGAATGTTCTTCCCTATGGACATGATTCATTCTTTCACTCTTTTCAGGTCTCTGCTCAAATACCACATCCTCAGTGTGATCTTGTTCCTTGACTGCTCCAGGCATGCTCCTGCATCAGGATCTATCTGCCTGGAGCTCTTCCCCTAGGTATCCCTCACTGCTCAAACTTCCCCATTGAGAAGCCTCCCCGGACCCCCACTACCATTGTCCTCAGCACTCCCCGCCTCCCTCACTCTGCTTTTTCCCCACAGCATTTGCAACCATCTGCTCTGTATTCCCTCCCCTGTGCCTCTTACCCAGCAGATGTCAGCACATGTGGACGCCACACAGCAGGGACTCTGCTCTTTCGTTCAGTTCACTGACATATCCCCAGGACCTAAACAGTGCTTGACATATAGTAGATACCCAGTAAATATGTGGTGAGTGAAATAATTTTTCATAGAAAGTCTGGAAGGACATATACTAGTATTTTAAAATCCCCTCTGGGGTTATGAACATGGATGATGAATGTATTCTTTTTGCATAGCTGTATTTTATAATTTTCTTTATAATGATGTGTTTATGTCATGCCAATTGTATAAACATGATCTTATATATTTGTGATTTTTTTTCTCCCTCCCAGATAGGAGCATGCTGCTATGTGGAATGTTCAGCTTTAACCCAGAAGGGATTGAAGACTGTTTTTGATGAGGCTATCATAGCCATTTTAACTCCAAAGAAACACACTGTAAAAAAAAGAATAGGATCAAGATGTATAAACTGTTGTTTAATTACGTGAGAAACATCTTCAGTGGCCAAGGAAACTGTCCATTTCTCTCAGAAAGCAAATGAAATGCTACAGCTATACCCAGACCTTTTATAGGTAATGAAGCAGTTCAAAACTTGAAAGAAAACAAAACCTGTCCTCAGAATTCTATAAAGTGTATTAAGAATGTTCCTTAAAGGTTTAAGAAGCAGTAAGCAGCATCTGAAGCCACAATCTATTATAAATACTTTATTTCAACTAGAAGGTACAATCTCTCAGGGGTTTCATAGTTTAAAAAGCTACAATCACATCATGTTGTAACTACGTAAAAAACAGAGCTGTAAATGGAACTGCTTGGCTTTGACCATACACATTTCTGCCCAGCCCTTACAGAATCTGCACAAAGAAATATCTCCCTTTGCTCCAGTTAATTGTTCTTGTATGTAAGTTGCTTTCTATTCCAGTATATCCAGAGTGGTGAAATAACAAGGCCAGCCACGTAGCCAAAGGTCGCTCCAAGCGTACAGGAGATGGGCCATACCTGAGGAGAGAATGTATGAGATCAAAAAAGAACAAATGTTTTATTATTACTTGAGCACAAGTGTAACCTAAATATTTCTATATTAAAGCTTAATGTGCTTTCTTAAAGAATGCCAAAAGTGTAATAAGGTCATAACTGCATTTATCATGAACACTAAAAATGTACACATTTTAGTTAATGTGCATTAAACTGTAACAAGGCTTCTGGCAATTGTAGATTTAGTTTGACGCTCCCCAAAGTGCATGAGACACATGCTAAAATTACAAATTAAAATTTTGGGTCAGACTTTGCCATAATGATAGACTCAATTTAGCTCTCTGAACTAGTTGGTAATTTTTTTTTTTTAATTCCCACTTTGGCTGTGTACATCAAATGAAATGAGAAGTGTGTATGCTGACCAAACCACAAGAAACTTTCTTTAAGTTGTGTTAAAGAGGAAAGACCTAGAATCCAAGCGTGTTACATGAAAATTGTAACAGAGCAGCTGCTTCCACCTTTCAGATATAGATGTTGGAACCACAGCAGAAGTTATAGAGCGACAACTTATATACACACCTAGAATGTAAGTTAAACAAAATACCGGCTTCCAGAGACCCCTTTTCTCCAGCCATATTACATCAGGCTAGAAGTAATTAATGTTGATTTATTTCATCTACAAGCAGTTGGTCCCTAAGTGAAAGGCTCTGCTTGAAAAAAAAAAGAAAAAAAAGTTGGAGGAAAATTTTCATGTTCTTCTGTGAAGCTTATTTGGTACACTGGAGCCATTTCTAATCTTTCTCTGGGGGGAACAGGCCACAGAACTGTGTTAGAGGTGAACCATCTTAATTACTAGTTCTATTACCTAATTCAGCTTCCTTGTTTGGTCTGCTGTGGATCTGCCTTATTGCATATGCCATGCATCAGATAATGGATGCATCAGATAATGGTGTTAGACAAAGCTTCATTGTGAACAACCTAATGCATTTTAGAGAAACAATCTCATCACATTTTTTCTAGCCTTTCCTACATTTAAACTTGCTGTTGCCCAAATTATAATTTTTTAAATGTCTTTGGTGGGCTTCTGTTAATTCACATGACTTGAGCTTATAGCTATGTCTACTGCACAGATTGGGTAATGGAACACTAAACTTTTATACTTGAAAATGACAGCCTTAAATGCTCATATCAGTCACAAATCTAGGATGTACTGTCTTGTTGTATGTGAGCTTTGTAGAGATTTTTAAAAATATAAGCATCACCTTCCCATTGAAGAGTGGAGAGAGTCTACTGGATGACTGGCCAGGAACTTTCTCTCTGAATCGGACATTTGGATGTCTTCTTTCTTCCAAGAAATGGTGGTTCACATTAAAGTATCATGGCCTTATGTATGCTCAAATGGAATCTTATGTAACTTTCTTATTTAATTTTGGTCTGCTTATTTTTAGATAAAATTGAAAGGAATTGTATAAATCAATTAACATATTAGCTGAGTTGTCCAACACATGGTATAAACGAATTACAACAGTAAACTATTACACATTTCCAACTTGCCTTTGGGGATTTATGAGGATTTTTTTTGGTGGGGGGAGGGGGCTCCAATTCATATCTCTGAAACCCTTCACACTTGGTTTACTAATTCAAAGTTAGAAGTCTAGAATTTGCCCTGCCCTAACAGAAACAGATTAGGAATTTGTCTACACAAACTGGTGTCACCTGTTTCTTGACTGGGATTTGGTTTCCTCATTATAAATATGGGAGGTAGAACAGAGATCTCCAACGTCTCTCCCATTTATCACAGTAATTTTCTTATTCACAGTAATCATTGTTGGATGTTACCTTTTCAGCTTCACATTCTCAAGATGGTAAAAATCATGTATATAGATTATCAGAACTCTAAGCAAAGATGACTGTCACATCTGAAGCTGAGGTGCCTTAGGTACTCTACTGACCTTGATGGGTTTGGAGTTCCCCATTGCTTATCAAGAGCTTTTTAATTGCTTTGGTTCTTTAGTTTTTCTTTTTGCAAAAATCCTTCCTGTCACTTTAACTAAAAACCAAAGATTTGTTTTCTATTGATAAGCAGACTAGAGAAAAACTGCCTTATTTTCAGAAGCATGTCTTCATTCAAAGCTTAGGCTTCAATAGAAATTCAGACTAATCACTGAAATGACTATTTCAAACTAGTGAAATATCTGGGAAATAAACTGCTTCAAAAATATTTTACTGACATGAATTTTGCTAGTGAATACAAATACACTGCCTCAAATAAGGCCATGTATGAATGAACTTACAAGATATTTGAGTTAATCAGTGTTTGCATATAGAGAATTAGTTCTAAAGTTCTTAAAAATAAATTTAGGGGCTCCCTGAAATTTTATTTAATACTTTGCTAACTTACACTCTTGTTTTATCTCCACAGGTACATTTTAGGTTAGCTCATGGTGAATTCTATTTACAATAAGTGGAGCTTGGATTAATGGGTTTTGTTATGAATTATCTTAGTGACTTTAGACACTGTTTCCATTTGATTTTTAACTATTTAAAATACCAAATTAAATACCAGTTTGTTGGTTGTTACTTTTAAATGATTGTTACTTTAACAGTGTCCCTTCTTAACACATGGGGTTACAAATAAAATACTATGCATAGTTTACTATCTACGTAAAGCACTGAACTTTTTACCTTAGTAGTTTTTATTTATTACCCTATGTAAACATTTAGGATAATACTCTTTCCTCTATTTATGCTGAGAGTCTACTAATCATTGGCAAAGTATGAGTCCCTATACTCTGTTAAAAAAAGCTCACTGTTAAAGTATAGGGAGAATAGTAATCCCTCATGAATCCCAGCTAGATTCCAATTTGGGTTACTAAATTGTATTTTAATCATTTTGTAATTTCAGTATGGCTCTTTGTTCTCAAACACATACATACCACCACGCACATTCTTTTAAACAGCTGCCACACCTCACCTCCAACAGAATGCCAAAAATGAAATGTTAAAAAATTTTGTCTAATGAAGGGTTACGGCTTGGAACACTTGGTTATTCATGTTATGTAAATCAAGAAGTGCATGCCATCAGCAAATTAAAATGTGGACTGGCTTTGAAGACTGTTAATGATGGGTCAGGCTTTGTACTTACAAGAGTACCTCCTTGGCTTTCCTGAAATAAGCATTTCTTAATCGTAACCCTGTCATTTTTTTAAAAGAGAATTTCTTTAAGGGCCGTTTTCATGATTTTTGAAGATCAAAATAGATTATCAAAATAGGGAACAGCAAAAGGAGGGAGGCTGCCCACTAAGAACTATTCCTCAAGCAAGTTTCCTACTGATTTTCTTATAATTATTCTAAAAATTTTTAAACTACACTATGGCAACAGAATTCATTTGTAAATCCTAGCTTAATCAGGTATTTTCATAATTAGATCCTAAGGTTTTCCTTTAAAACTATTTCCTTATCTCACATACAGACATGTTTCTATTCAACGTTCTTCATGCCACAAATAGGATTTTTTAAAAAAGTGATATCTATTAAATACATAATTCAGCTGCACTGCTATAAAGATTTCTCCAAATTATGGTAATCTGAGATGGCTTTATATAATTATTTTGTTTAAAGAAAATAGGAAACTTAGAACAAAGACATTCATGTAAAGGAAGTCATTCACAAGTGTTTGCCACCAAAATGACAAGGGCCCAAGCACTGGAGGCCAGCCTGGGCAAGATAGTGAGAGTTTTTTATAAATTTACATTTTTTTAGCCAGTAAATAGAAGAAACAACCTATGGTGTATAATCAAATATATTACAACTCAAGTGGGTAAAATTATTAAAATTACCAGGAAGAAGAAAAATCTAATTAAAAAATAAGTGGTACATCAGATGTTAAGTGACCTTAGCCAGCTCATTTTAACATCTGAGCCTCAGTTTCCCCTACAGAACAGGGACAGAAGTACCTACTATACTTAAAATGCAGGGCTGAAGTAATCTCTTAAAATTTGTCATGAAAGCTATAAAGTACCACGTACCAGTATTCTGTATATTACATGTTTTAACTTGAAAAAATTAAACTTACACAAACAGTATTTCTTTGGTCACTGACACTACTATGTAATAAGTAGAACCGGCAGTTTAGAACGAATAGTTCATGAGTAATATACTGTGTGGTAGGAAGTGGTAGGAACTATTCTTTACCCTTGCAAAGCAATCATCTTTTTTTTTTTTGAGACGGACTCTCGCTCTGTCGCCCAGGCTGGAGTGCAGTGGCACAATCTCGGCTCACTGCAAGCTCCGCCTCCCAGGTTCACGCTATTCTCCTGCCTCAGCCTCCCGAGTAGCTGGGACTACAGGTGCCTGCCACCACGTCCAGCTAATTTTTTTGTATTTTTAGTAGAGACAGGGTTTCAATGTGTTAGCCAGGATGGTCTCGATCTCCTGACCTCGTGATCCGTCTGCCTCAGCCTCCCAAAGTGCTGGGATTACAGGCGTGAGCCACCGCGCCCAGCCATAAAGCAATCATCTTTAATACATGCTGTTCTTCATGTGAAATGTCTGTTACAAGAGCAAATTCAGGAGCTGTACAACATACTGGCATTACGTTAACCATCTGTATCCTTACCTCAGAAGGTTACCCTGCTGCTAGCTGTCATTTTTCATAAATTCGAAGAAACAAAATTTTAAGTACAGATAGTGGTTTTAAACTAATCATTGGTAGGCATTTGTGTTAATTTTTAAAGGCTCATATGAATGACTCCATTCATTCGAAACTATTTGTGGAGCCCCTACCTTAACCCAGCAGTTAAAGGTGTAAACTAAGATTAAATTATTTAATTTTGGATACATTTTAGTATAAATTCTTAAAAATGTGTTCCAATATAATAAATATTACTTATAATTTTGGGGGAGATTTACACTGTCACAGATAACATGGAGAAACTGACCTATCTGCAAATCAGAACACCTACAGACATTTAGAACAACTCACAACCATTAGGATTACTGTCTCTCTCGAGATAAAAAGGAAGATAAAATCCAGTTCTCAATCTCTCATGAGCTACTTTTCAATATGTTTGTTTTGTTAATTGTGCTTATCACAAATTTGCATTTGCATGACTGAGAGAGTTCATCTTTCAAAGCCTGCTGACCTACTGGTTATAAATAATCATTTATATTCTCCTCCAAAATTGGTCTTGAACAGTATGTTTTTCCAGATATTCCTAAAGTAAATGTTATTGTCTGATACAGGAATACATGCACAAATGAATCTACTCATTGGGATACATTTCTCTAGTTAAAAATCTACACTCATCCATGTATACACTCTCCTGTGACTAAGAATACTACTTTAGGAAGAGTTATTTGCGAAGGGGTGTGTAGTTCCTGGTCTGGAATTCTTGTCAAAATGACACTAAAAGGTTCTGGTCACAACTCGTGCAAACGAGTTAACTTGGCCAGCATTATTCTCTCTAACATGAAAGTCCTGTTAGCAGAGCATTATCAACATGATTACCCTACGATGAACACGCCTTTTCAATCCAAAACCATTTCATGCCAGTTCAATGTTAACACATTTTTCTCATGCTTGAAACATACAAACCATATTCATATAAATGAGTATTTTATTTTGGTCTAAAACACAGTATCATCCCTTTGGTAATGGAAATACCAATTAACGTAAAAACCTGCAGCTCTTCAATCAATCAAATCCATAATCTTAGTTTTAATCTCCCTCCAGCATTTTGCAGTAATTCATGTAGTTATAATCCTATGATTCCTAGTTTCAACTTATGAAAGAATTATCTGTGGCATCTGTGACTTTAGGAAATGAATATACATATTTCACAAATACTAGATTTCTAACGTGGTAAAACTGAAAAAAAAAAACCCAAAAAATTTTTAAATACAACAATGCCTCATTTATCTGGTGTCTGTTGAGAATAAGTACAAATATTTTAAAACAACTTTAAATTGTTTCAAAGACGATCTCAGGTGTCTAAAATTCAAAATCTCCAAATTCAGTTATTTAAAATACTTTATATCAATTTTCCTTTTTACCTTCGTAAGAAATAAGCATCCTAGCCGAGACTTGATTATTTGGTTCAAATATTTTTAAAGATTGTAGCACTGAAGTCCATAGTTTAAAGGCATGTGTGGATTTGTTAGGGACAAAATCATTGCATATTAGCTTTAAATATTCTCCTACAAATAAATTACGGCCTAAAATACAGACACCACCACAACGGTCAAGGCATGTAATGAAAACAATGTGGGGAAAGAAATGAAATATAATAAGTAATTTAGCTATTCCAAAGAGACCTAAGCTATGACCATTTTTTAAAAAGAAAAGCTATGTTTTAGTTTCCAGCAATGAAAAGAATCATGGTGTAGTGGGGCTCTCATGTGAATCTTAAGTCTCCCTCTTCCCACCTGAGTAATGCTAAGCAAGATGTGTACTCCTCCCCTCTCACACTTGGACTTTCTAGTGTATAAAATGGGAGTAAAACCTACCTTGCACTACGGTTGTCAGGATTAAGTTACTCATTTCACAGTACCAAGCCCCCTGCAGGGTACATGGAGAGATCTATAAGTGCTACGTTTTCTTTCTACTGTCATCTGAAATGTCAGACAGGATTGAAAATTATGTGAAATCCAAATACCCTAAATTGGCATAACTAAATACCAGAGAAATAGATAAATTAACAGTCCACTCTACCAACTGAAAGACTGCTGGGCAGAAAAAATAAAACAACAAACTGAGACAATTAACATATTCTCTAATATATGAGAACTCAAATAAATCATGGAATTTGCATTTTTTGAAGGCTAAAAATATAGTCATTAAACTATGTCTTTTCTAGGTCACAAATGCCTGTAACATTAATTAAGTAATAACCATGTGTCAGGTGCTGAGCTAGGTATTTTAGAGGGATTTTATTATTTCATCCTCACTAGCAAGTGACAAAGCCAGGATTTCAACCCAGTAATCTGATGCCAGAACTCCTAATCATCATGTTACCTGCCTACCCATTAATAAAACGTGAGTTTAAAAACCTCATGGTCAATTTCCTGTGCTCAGAATAACCAACAATATTTCTTAACCTTCCACTAATTTTTTATAACATGAAATACTAGCCATGTTTTGACAAGACATTTTCCAGATGAAAAACCTCATAGCTACATATTCTATGAAATAGTTACAGCATATTAAATCTAAATCACAGTTCAAATCTAAATTATTAAATAATTAAATTCCAGTCCTGGGTGTATTTAAGTATCTGTTGTACTTACTTACACAGAACATATGCTATGCATACAGTAATAACAACAAATACTTATTGATTAGCTATTTAGTTACAGCAGATAAAGAATCAAATTATAAAATACAAAGGTTTTCTGTAGTCCAAATATTTATTTTGTCAGCAACTATAAGCTTTCTCTAGAAGTTGAAAAAGCCTATCTGGATTATGGGAAATTCAAATATTTGTTTTCTTGCTGAGATTTTAAGGCAAATAAGGTAGAGGCAAGAAGATGACTTTAAAGTATTAAAACAACAACAAAGATGACCAACAGTATAATGGGTAGCTACCCTACCATATTCTCTTTAACCATATCCCCTTGCTGCCTTCTACAAAAGAAAGGCTTCCTCCAACTATAAAGATGCCTAATCTTTCATCACTTGCCATTATTTAAAATCACTTAAGATTTATATTAAGTTAAAAAACTTTTACATTGAGATCACATATTTTCAGTGGGCCTTTCCAGTCATTTAATGAAGAAATTATTTTAAACATAAAAATATGCTTGAAACAGCTCATTACAGAATCCACATCACTATAATCTTATGCTTGGCCTCAGGAATGTTATACAATGGTTTGAGTTCAAAGTAAAGAAAACTGAATTAAAACATGTAGTAGATTTTGTGGGGTTTTGTGTGTGTGTGTGCATGTGTGTGTTTTTAAAGGTACAATTGCTTAACCAGATATTCCTGTTTCTCTGACTGGAATATAAATAAAACCAGAACACAATCCAGAAAAGCTTGCTTTACCACAAGCAGATCAAATCGGTATTGGGCTACAAGGAACACAGAACAAGAATCTCTTAATACATGTTCTATTTTAGATAATAAAGTGTATACTGTATTGTCTTCTCATGAAATTTTGCTCTAACAACATCTCCACTTTTAGAAAATGCCATATTCCCTTATCTGATTTATTGCTTCTCTGGGAGATGCTGTTCTGTGGAGTTAGAATTATTAAAAAATAACAATAACAAAAAAACAAACAACCTTGTTTGCTGGAAATAAAAAGTGAAAAAAAAACCTCATTTCTTTAGTTTATTAGTAAATAACTGCTAAAAGGGCAAGGAGCAGATGAGTGCTATATGAATAAAAGATTTTTAATTATACATCAATTCTATCATTCCCTCAACAATACATTTCATAATTTAAAAGGTTTACAGTGAATACGTGGGTCATTAACTTGGAATATTCTAAAAACAACCCAATAGTAAAGATAATTACATGGCCAGTAATATTCCAGCTGAATGAAACACTCTTAATGGAAACCAACACTTGTTATGTATTTAAATTAGATTTAAAATTAAATTAATTTCCAGCTACCTAGAAAATCTTTTTAAAAAGTCAGTAATTCAAATGGAAACTTTACATTAATTTAAAAAGTAATACCATCAATTTGGATCTAGTTCATCCTTATTGTTAACAAGCACTGAGGGAGAAAAATGGGTCATCAGCTAAAAGCCTGAACAATCCCAAAATGGGTGACTGAACTGTAAATAATTAAGATATATATTTTCTAAGCAAACCTAAACACATATTTTATAAAGCACATATATTCATTCCTCTTAGTTCAGTTTCTACTACTGCACTGTCTTGTAAACAGAAAAGACTTAAATTATGTGTAATATATCAAACCTTTACACTCTAATGTATTGCATCATATACAAAATGATTATTATATCTTACCAACTCATTAAAGCTAATGTCCCATAGTACTTTATTTATCAATACTTTCTATTTAGATTTAATTGCATTACTTGATAGCAATGAATCTACACAGTTTCAATTTTCTGTGTATACTTTTCAATGATTTTGATTGTCCTCCAATTTAGAAATCACTGACACTCTGTTGAATGACATCAAGTATGGATGACTTCTATAAGATGTCAACTTAAGAAACCTTTACTAGCACCAAAAACTTGAGATGGGAATCTGTGACGATACACACACCAAACCTCCAAGGATTTCTCTAATATAGTGATGAAGAGTTAAAACAGGGAAGGGCAAACCTATCAGACCTATTAAACATGAAACAACAATTTGACTTTCGGGGAGACACGACATCTAACTGAAAGCACAAAGAATAGAGCTAAATGTAGGCAGTTATGTGCAAGGCACACAATCTGGATCCCACATTTGGCAAATGAGGTATGTATCAAAGATTTAATTCATCAATTCATTAGGTAGGACTCTACCCTACAGAGAAAATTGGACAAATATGCAAAGATGTATAAGTATGATAATGACCATATTTGATAATAAAATAATAATAGTAAAATAGGAAATGACCTAAATGTTCTTTAATAAAAAACTGGTACAATATTTTACACAAATAATCGAATATTACATATATGTAAGTTTTCATTGACATAGAATGAGCTCCATAATATACTGCTGAGGGGAAAAAGCAGATTAAAAACAACATGAATATTATAGTTACAGGCATGGAGAGAGACAGCTGCAAAAATTATCACCAAAAGCAAATGGAGGTTTCCTCTGGGTGGTTGGGGAGGAAAGTAATTTTTACTTTCTTCCTTAGAATTACTAATATTGCTTTAATTTTCTAAATAAATATACATTATCTTCGTGATCAGAAAAAAATTATCTTCATGTTGGAAAAAGAAAGCACATTTATTTTTTAATACCATAATTCTTTTTGGGAGTAATTACTCTGTGAACCTAATTAGAAAAATTCAAGAAGCTATAGATTCAAAGATTTTATCACAGCAGTGTTTATTATCACAAAATACTGGCAATAATCTAAATGATCAATAGTGAATTTGTTAAATAAGTTATAAAGTATATAATGGCATACTACAAAGTCATTAATATTAAGATAAAGATACAGTCATCACTGTAAGTTCAGTGACCTTGGGAATGTTACATACCCTCTAGGTGTCAGTTTCCTCATCTGTAAAATGGGTATAAAAAGAGCACTTACCTCACAGTGCTTTACCTAGCATATCAGCTTTATCTTATTGTGATACAAGACGAAAAATCTGATGTTTGTGAGCTTTCTTGATAACACAGGCCGCTGCTGCAAAAATTACCTTGCTATCTGCTTCTAAAAATTTCAAGAGGAACATTCAATTTGGCCATCAATCAAGTTCAGAAAATATGAATATAAGACCACAAGGGCAATAAATATCAAAGTTGAAAATAGGAAATTTCTGCAGCTATTAACCTAGTTTTTAAAAATTCCTATACTGGCTGGGCTCGGTGGCACACACCTGTAGTCCCAGCCACTTGGGAGGCTGAAGCAGGAAGATCGTTTAGGCCCAAGCATTAGAGGACAGCCTGGGCAAGAGAGTGAGAACCTGTCTTTTTTAAAAACAATAAACAAACCGCCTATATACAATCACAAAATAAGCTTGTTTATTCATCTACACATGTGCAAAAAATAGTGCTAGAAGATAAAACCAGGGCTACCTAGACACCTGTGGCACTGGACAGTCCCCATTAAGAAGCTGCCCAGATTACAGTGACTGATAGAAGTGGTATCCCTACTTAATTGAACAACAAAACAATTTACATATACACACTAGTTTGCTTCATCTGTTTTACTATCATTGTACAAACATTTATTTTGTTGCTTTAAGTAACTGAAACCAACCTGCCATGGTCTTTCCCAATCCAGTGGAATAGGAAGTGCTCCAAGCCATGCTCCTACAAAGCTAGAAATTGTAGTGATCTGGAGACTATTCTCCCATATGGATGTAACTCTGTGAAACACAAATTGGTACATCGTTGGTGGTATATACATGAGCTGCTGGAGAATCCAACAAGCACTAGCACACATTATCAGTATACATATATTTCCTGCTAATTTAAAATGAAAATCTCAAAATGACATATACATATTTACCATGAACTATTAATAGTTAATTGGTAAGAAGATGTAAATGTTTTCCATTGGAAAGGTAATATACAGACGCACTAGGAGTCAAACCATGTTAAAGAGCATTTGTAGAAACAGCTAAGTCTTCCACCCCTATCATCAACTCCTGGTTCCTTTCCCCACAGGCAACTGCTATTATGCTAAATTATTACATATTCTTCCAGAAATATTTTATACAGGCACAAATACACACATAATTTTGTTTTGAAGGATATATGTACATTTGCATAAATACACATGTACATATGTATATTTCTTCAAAACAAAACTCAGATGCATCATGTTATAAACCAAGTTTTGCTTGTTTTTCCTTGTTAACAGCTGTAACAGTATTCCATTGTATGGATGGTGCATCATTTATTCAACCAGTCTTTCTTTTTTTTTTTTTTTTTCAGACGGAGTCTCACTCTGTGTCCAGGCTGGAGTGCAATGGAGCGATCTCGGCTCACTGCAACCTCAGCCTCCCGGGTTCAAGCGATTCTCCTGCCTCAGACTCCTGAGTAGCTGGGATTACAGGTGTGTGCCACCATGCCCAGCTAATTTTTGTACTTTTAGTAGAGATGGGGTTTCACTGTGTTGGCCAGGCTGGTCTCGAACTCCTAACCTTGTGATCCACCCACCTTGGCCTCCCAAAGTGTTGGGATTATAGGCATGAGCCACTGCACCCGGCCTCAACTAGTCTTTCTTACAGCACACTTCATTTATATAAACCAATTCAATTTACTTGGCAAGAAACAGGCAGAGAACAAGAACAAAGTATTTCAAAAGATCTGGTGATTCTGCCTACCGTTCCTATTTACTAAGTGCACATCTGAGAGTGTAAAGGTGGAAAGACTTAATTCTGCCATTCTCTTAGTAGGTGTTAGTTTCAGCCTGGCCCTCATAGGGTGAACACTTCATCATGTAGAACAGGAGTCTGGTTACAGTCAGGTAAAAGCCCACTGCAATGCACTAAGTGGGGTCCAAATATTCAATTGTTTAAATTGCAAGGTGAAGTTATTGAAAAGTAGCCTCTTCTAGATAGTATGGGGGAAAACATTTGTTTTGTTAGATGATTTATTTAACTAGAAACAGGCCAATTATTACACGCAAAATGTACACTGAATTTTAAAAGTCCCAAATGATGACAAGTCAGTTCACAAACCAATCCCTCTATCATCCTCCATCTCATACTCCCCAACTACACAAGATAAGAGCCTTAGCTTGTTTCCATTGAGAAGCAGGGCTAAGAACGGGCTGGAGCCAATCACATATATCCAAATTTGTACTATTTGTAGGGCTTTATTATTCTTTTTTATTTCATGTAACACCTATAAATATAAGTCAGCTTTTTCAACTAGCATTCAATAGAACAGAGATGTGTTCCAATGTTGGAAGGAAAAACTGGCCAAGTTCAATGTAAAGGGAATTGTACTATTTTAGCAATTTAAAGGATTTCCTAGGCCAATTTTTGACTACATGTGGCTGACAATGATGACTAAGCTTCAACTTAACACACACCTCCTCTATACTGTAATACATAAAGTGATGTGCCTGGAAACATAAGGTGTGGTAGAGGTTGAGAGCAGAGATTACTTTCTGTTGGGAAGAATTCACTTTTTCTATTTTATGGAACAGGAGGAAGTTCAGCTGGATTGGAAAGAATAGGTAGCATCAGGTCTTAAACTGGAGGACTGGAGAAAAGAGCTGCACTGCAGACAAGAGAACACAAGTCAGATTGCTAGAGGCCACGTGGAAGAACGAGAAATAAGGCTGGAAAAGTAGGGCAGAGTTAGGATTTTTTTTTTTTTTTTGAGACGGAGTTTCGCTGTTGTTGCCCAGGCTGGAGTGTAATAGAGTGATCTCGGATCACTGCAACCTCCACCTCCCGGGTTCAAGCCATTCTTCTGTCTCAGACTCCTGAGTAGCTGGGATTACAGGTGTGTGCCATCACACCAGGCTAATTTTTGTATTTTTAGTAGAGATGGGGTTTCACCATGTTGGCCAGGCTGGTCTCGAACTCCTGACCTTGTGATCCGCCGGCCTCAGCCTCCCAAAGTGCTGGGATTACAGGTGTGAGCCACTGCGCCCGGCCCTCACCGTTTTTTTTTTTGTTTGTTTTTGTTTTTGAGATGGAGTTTCGCTCTTGTTGCCTAGGCTGGAATGCAATGGCGCAACCTGGGCTCACTGCAACGTCCGCCTCCCGGATTCAAGGGATTCTCCTGCCTCAGCCTCCCGAATAGCTGGGATTATAGGTGGCTAATTTTTTGTATTTTTTTTTAGTAGAGATGGGGTTTCACCATTTTGGTCAGGCTGGTCTCCACAGTTAGGATTTTTAAAAATAGCTTTATTGAGTAGAGTCAAAAATTATCCTAGAAAATCCTTTCTAGCCATACAATTCACTAATTTCAAGTATACAAATCAATGGTTTTTAGTATATTCACAGAGTCGTGCAGCCATCACCACTGTAAGTTTTAGAACATTTTCATCATCCCCAGACTCTTTAACCATTACCAATCACTCTCCATTTCTCCTTCCTCCCAGCCCTAGGCAACCACTAAGCTACTTTCTGTCTCTCTGGATTTGCCTATTCTGGACATTTCATATAAATGGAATCATAAAGCATGTATGACTGGCTTCTTTTTCCTAGCATAATGTTTTCAAGGTTCATCCATGTTGCAGCATGTATCAATATTTCATTCCTTTTTATGGCTCAATCATATTCCCTTCAAGGGATATTCCACATTTTATCTATTCAACAGCTGATGGATATTTGGGTTGCTTCTACTTTTTGGTTATTATGAATAATGTTGCTATGAACATTTATGCACAAGTTTCTGTGTGAGCATATGTTTTCATCTCTCTTGGGATTACACCTAGGAGTGGAATTGTTAGGTCCTATGGAAACTCTTATATTTAATCACTTGAGGAACTAACTACCAGACTCTTCCAAAATGGCTGAACCATTTTATATTCCCACCAGCAGTGTATGAGGATTCCAATTTTTCCACACCCTCCTGACACTTGTCATTATCTTTTTTTTATTACAGTCATCGTAATTGGTGTGAAATGGTATCATGGTGATAGATTTAGGGTTAGGATTTTAGAAAATTCTTAAATATCAAACTAAGGAACCATGAAGGTTTTCAATCAACGCAACTTTACGATCAGAGATGTTTCAATAAGATTTATGTGGCTGGGTGCGGTGGCTCTCGCCTGAAATCCCAACACTTCAGGACGCAGAGGCGGGCGGATCACAAGGTCAGGAGTTCGAGACCAGCCTGGCCAACATGATGAAACCCCATCTCTACTAAAAATACAAAAAATTAGCTGGGCGCAGCGTCAGGCACCTGTAATCCCAGCTACTCGGGAGGCTGAGAACGGAGAATCGCTTGAACCCGGGAGGCGGAGGTTGTCGTGAGCCGAGACGATGCCATTATACTCCAGCCTGGCGACAGAGCGAGACCCCATCTCAAAAAAAAAAAAAAAAAGATTGATGTATGTATCTTTCTAACCTCTAAGTTCTAAGTTCCTTGGGCTAAGAGGCAAAATCCATGCCTTCACATTTTTCACGGTTCCAGCACACTTGTGGCCATCTTATGTTTATTAAAATAAAAAATATGATCATCCAAGAGGTTGCCCTCTATTTTGTGGTAGCCAAGTGTTTATGATCCTACATATAATAAATGTAGAAAAAATGGAACTGAGACCTATTTTTAAAAATAGAAAAACTCTGTAGCTTGTTTTTAAAGTAAAAATTTCATATTTATCAAAATAATATATGTGACATCTTTAAAGTAAAGGAGTACAATTAAACTAATAATAAAAATAGTAGTCTCCTCTTCCATCCCTCCCCACTCCTGATGTCTGCTCCAAGACAGATATTTTCAACTCTTTTTGCTGCTTCTTCTATTTACCTCAAATTAAAAAAAAAAACATAAATTAAGTATAGATTTTTCAAGATTAACTTACTTTCTGCCTTCTTCTAAGGGAGAAGATTTAGCACCTTTTATCTACAAGCTGCCTACCTCCACATACACATTTCTCCCTGACTCACGCCCCTTCTACAATGGTAACATCTCCTCCTTTCAACCGAATCAATAGTAATGTCTACGTTATGATGATTATAAAACTGCTAATCACAGTGAACCACACAGTAAACCACAATTATACATTTCTTTTCTCATAGTAAATATAATCTTTAATTGTCCATGGATGTTAAGAACTGCCTCTTTTTCCCTGCTCTGTTTGCTTACGTACCTGTCATTAAGTAATTTTCACATATTCCAAAGAAGCTAAGTAGTACCTCTAAATGCTTGATTTCTTCTCCCCGCTCCTTCCATCTTTTTGGAGCCACCTAGGACTGCTGCAAAACTGCTGTGCTGTGGGGTCCCTGCACGAGCATCTTGTGAATTCCCTTTGCCTCTCTCAGTTCTTTTGGATCTGCTCTTTCCTAAATTCCAAGACTTCCTCCATCTATCTTCCTTTTTCTTTTCTTTTTAAGCACCTCTTTCAATAGATTCCTGAGAAAGGAATTTTCTTTTTCAGCACCTCCTTCCATAGATTCCTGAGAAAGGGTACATGGAAAATAGATGCTTAGAGATGTTTTAAGTCTGAAAATGATTTTACTGTAATTTTTGGGAATCATTCTGCCTCAGAATTTGTGGGGGGTTTTTTGTTGTTTTTTTTTTTGAGGTGAAGTCTCACTTTGTCATCCAGGCTGGAGTGCAGTGGCACGATCTTGGCTTACTGCAACGTCTGCCTCCTGGGCTCAAGCGATTCTCCTGCCTCAGCCTGCCGAGTAGCTGGGATTACAGGCGCCTGCCACCATGCCCAGCTATTTTTGTATTTTTAGTAGAGATGGGGTTTCACCTTGTTGGCCAGGCTGGTCTCGAACTCCTGACCTCAAATGATCTGCCCACCTCGGCCTCCCAAAGTGCTGGGATTATAGGCGTGAGCCACAGCGCCTGGCCCTGCCTCAGAATTTGGAAGGCACTGCTCCAATGTTTTCTGATTCCCACTTGAGAAGTTCAGTGCCATTCTGGTTTCCCGTCCTCTGTAGGTATCATGTTTCTCTCATTCTCTAAAAACTTTTAGAATGATCTCTTTATTGCTGGTTATCAAAAATTTCACAAAAATGTTTTTTAAAGTGTTTTTTCATCCACTATGCTGAAAATATATGGGCCTTCTTAATCTAAAATCTCAGGTATTCTGGTTCTTAAAATTGTCTTCTACTTAAAGACCTTGTTTGATCAGATCACTTAAGAATTTTTCCCTTACTCTTGCTAGGTATACTATTATTTTGAACTAATTTCTGCTTTTATCTTTTAATTCATTTTGCAATCTTTACCTTTTTGTTTGACTAGGGAATCTTTTCAAGTTTTGTCTCTACTTCCGTTGAGTATTTTTATTCCCCAAAAGTTTTCTTGTTCTCTGAATATGCATTTTGACTGCCTCCTGTTCACCTTTTATGGTAAACTTTAAAAAAAAAAAGTAAGTTTTTAAGTTATCTTCTGTCTTTATATACTGCCTCTATTTCCCCTGAGTTTCTTTTTTGTTGTTTTCATTTCTGGATTTTATTTGACGTATTCCTCAAATATCTGGTGATTCTTTACTTCTCATTCTACTTAAAACACCATGTATGTAATGTCCAGACTAGGCAAATCTACAGAGATAGAAAATATATTAGTGTAAGCTTCTCTAACCCACGGCCCATAGGCCACATGTGGCCCAGGATGGCTTTGAATGTGGCCCAACACAAATTCATAAACTTTCTTAAAACATTATGAGATTTTTTTTTTTTTTTTTTTTTTTTAGCTCATCAGCTATCGTGAGTGTTAATGTATTGCATGTGTGGCTCAAGACAATTCTTTCCTTCCAATGCGGCCCAGAGAAGCCCAAAGATTGGACACTCCTGTAGTGGTTGCCTGGGCCATGGAGAGAAGAGTGGGAATAGGGTATGACTGCTAATAGTTATAGCTTCTTTTTGATGTGGTGAAATGTCCCAAAATTAGATTGTGGCAATGGCTGTACAACTGTGCCTATACTAAAAACCACTGAATTATACACTTTGAGTGAATTCTATGGTATACAGTTATATCTCAATAACACTATTTTTAAACAACAGCAACAACAAAATGAAACATTAAAACAGCTGACTGGATGCTTATAATTCAAGCACGGGGATGCACAGAACTAGGGACGGGGTAGGAACCTGACTTTCCTTTAGAGAATCCCAAAATGTCAGTACCATTTTCCCTCGAAAGAAATATTTCAATATTCTGCCTAGATGGTATAAGCCTGGCTCCCAGTACTTTGGGCCAACCAGGGGAAAGGGGCTAGGTGTAAGGTGGGAACTCATGGTTTGAGATGTAGGATTTCGTTTAAAACTTATTCCCCAAAGAGATTGTACCCAACAGGCTCAGTATCTGGGGACAGCTAGAATAGCTGGGATATGAAGGGTACAATTATATTTTCTTCACTTCTCCTCCCTGCACTGTTCAACTTCCATTGCTTGTATTAGTTTTTATTTACATTGTTCTACAACTCCAATTCATTCAATTATTTTCTTGATATAGTGAGTCCCTTTGATGTACAAACTGGAGAATCCCTTCATTTGTGAAAACTGTCTTCTATCACATCTTTGAATCATTTTTTGTTGGGTATTTTAGAGGCACTAACTAGTCTTGTTTGCATCCCTTTCATTTCTCCTCTATATTTATCACATCTTCTCTAAATGCTTTATTCTTCCCAACCCCCTCCCTACCCCGCATTCATTTTGATTAGCTCAAACCTTTCTTCCATGCTAAAACCTGACTTTCTAATTTGTCTGTTTCTTGATATTTTTAATTTATGTCCTGTAATAGTGACCTTTGCATTCTCAATTTATTTCACTAATTCTGCAATCTTCTTCTCCACGTCATTTTGTTTCATGATCTCATCTTTGCTCTTAATTTATTCAATTCATATCCTTAGTACTATTTTTCATGGTAAACTGTGTGGAGGTTTTTTTGTTTATTTTTGCTTCTAGGGTAGCACTTTCTTTCAGGCCAGATTCTTCATCTTCTGCACACCCCTTTTCCTTCTTCTATAGTGCATTTTTAGGGTTGTCATGCCGTTTCTTTTCTCTTGCTCACACTTCACATGGGCACACATCCTATCTTAACTAGCCCCAATTTTCCCTGTCTTGAAGCTGCCTTTTGAGGACTGGATGTTATTTTCTAATAAGTTTTCTGTAACATGAGGCAGGAAAGAGAATGGAGGTAGGGAGGCTGGGTAAGATAAATGCTATCTCTGTGATTCAGTTAGTAATATTCCACTGAAATTTAATAAATGGTGGTTCTATAATTGAGACTTAAAAATTCATGGCCAAGGCTTACGCCTCCTCTTAGAAATCAGATGAAGCTACTATAGTGCACAGTCTGCCCCCTTAGCAGATCCCTGTAGGTAGCAGCCCTGGTAGATTGATAAGAGGTAAAGAGGCCTGATGGGGAGTCAGGGAAACCTACACTCTATTGGTAGGAATATGTATGGGGGTATATACATATTCTTCAAATTATAACTTTAGTTTGACAGTGTCTGTTAACTTCCTTTGATCTAGGAATGTTACTCAAGTAATCTAGTCTACAAAAACCTTTGCACAAGTATACAAAATTATATGGAACAAAGATATACCTAACAACATTATTTATTATCATGAAAATTTGATATTAAACCTTAATAGGAAATTAGTTAAATAAATCATGGTACATGGAATACTTGTAATGATGATTAATTGCTCAACATTCATCTCAACCCTGATGATGAGACTAATTAATTAACTATTGATGATCCCATTCTGTTTCTCAATGATTAGGAAAACTCAAGGAAGAGAAACTGCTGCCATCCCACTACCAGCCTGAGGATAATAACAAGGAGAATCAGTAAGAAGCACAACCATACCATGACTATCTGTGTCTAGAACCATCCAATTTCCGTTATGTGACATAATCAGTTTCCTTATTATTCAAACCAATATAAGCTGAAGTTTTATGTTACTTATAGAGATACAGTAGCTAAGAATACTATGTAAGAAGAGGTAGATTATACACACACACAGATAACGATGTTCATAACACATTAGTGGGAAAAAAGTTATAAAGCCATGACTAGTTTAACTATTTTGTTTTAAAATTATATATATATAATTAATACAAAATTCGAAGAACATATAAAATCTGCTAGTTGTTCATTGCTTCCATGATAGCATTACTAGGATCTTTAACTTTCTATATTTTTCTGTTTGAATTTTTACTACAAACATTTATATACATTATTTTGTAATAAATAAGATAAAAAGAATAAAATAGGTAAATTCCTTTCTATTAACTAATTTCTAGCATCACTGACATTGATGTACTCTCATTTTGTAAGTTTCCATAATAAAGCTATTTGAATTCTACGGTTATTGGCTAATTTTTTCAAAGTTAAGGAATATATGCACAGTCAATAGGGCTCAGAATAAATAAATGGCTCCCCTGTGAACAAACTTAAAAAGTGACTACAGCAATGTTACAGGCCAGCCTTCATGACACTGTGCTCCAACTATTTGTCCAAATTATTTGACTCCACTGGAATTCATTACATCAAATATTAATTGAAGTAAACAGGCCATTTTGAGTGCCTACTACGTGCCAGACACTGTATCAGACACCTGAGGGTAGTTCATAGTAAACACTCATGGTTTAAATACACTGTCATCAAAATAGTGTTTGTTTAAATAGATTTAATTTTTTGAACTGCTAGTCTCTTCATCTAAAAAAGAGACACTGTACAACTCCTCCTAGTGGCTAAAGGTATTTTACAAAATTCTAATATAAATGTTTTCCTTCCCCACTGAATATTAAAACAAATGCCTCTTTGCCACTAAATTTTTTGCCCACATTTATACTAAATTATCTACTTTTTATATGAGTAAATCTTTGGTCACTCACTATATTTTCACTCTTAGTGTCCACAGTGGTTGCTTCAATATAAAATCTATTTCAATACAAAGATGACAAAAAGAGGCCTATTATCTTTGTCTACACAAATAGGTCTTATTGAATGTTTTCACCTCGGCTAGATCACTACTCTTGGCAAGATTTTTGTTTAGTACTATTCAGGAATCTATTTAGTTCACCAAAAGTGATCAACTTCTAACTTAAACATTCAAATAACAGCATAAAAGAACTGATATGTCAAAAAACAAGTTTCAATGAACTATATGGGTGTATAGTAGTCAGATTATTACTTTCCTTTATAAGAAAGTCTGCAAATGAAAAAAAAAATAATTTTAATGCCAATGCAATAACTGAATTAAATTAGTACAAACTGAGTATATTATTTAATAAGTATACCAATAAGAAGCTGGCAGAATATTTTAAGAAACCAAATGACCTTGTCTACTTCCAAGTTTCTTTATAATAGTATTCTTTTGTTTTGTTTTCCTGGAGTAACTTAACATTTACTGTAAGGAGAAATCCTGTTAAAATAGTGTCTTTTAGTTATGTATAAAATCCCAATAGTATCAGAATTGATCCTTAACTTGTAGGATGTAGTTCCTATACAGTTCACAAGCTCAAAGCTTTGTTGTTCTCTGTCGTCACATGACTATCATGTGTTCAACATAAGTTTTCTACAAACATGCAAATAAATACATTAAAAACTAGTATATAAACTTATTTCACTTAAAAATATTATACAACATTTATATTGATTCAACACTAATTGAGATATCATGCCAATTCAAAATTAGCCTGTTCACACTGAACATCTGAATTATTCACATTTTAATAATACTAAAAGGGCTGTCTTTAAGTTAAAAAAAATACACACAAAACTCTACTGTGTTTTACATATTAAAATACAGGATGAATGATAAAAATATTTAAAGCTCTAAAATCTTCAGTTGACACTTCAAGGTATTTTAAATACTTTTTATTAATTAGAACTACAGCATAAGAACTTCAAATTGAAATTTTAATTTCTGTTCTAAATTATTATTGAGTAGGAAAAAGCATGTACTATTCATGTATTTTGTACAATCTCCTTGAATAATAATAGAATTCTTTGAAATTAAAGTTGTGACTCAGGAAGTCCTAGCTAGAGCAATCAGATGAGAGAAAAAAATAAAGGGCATCCAAATTGGAAAGAAAGAAGTCAAATTATCCTTGTTTGCAGATGATATAATCGTGTATTTGGAAAAACCTAAAGACTACCAAAAACTATTAGAACTGATAAACAAATTGAATAAAGTTGCAGGATACAAAATCAACATACAAAAATCAGTAGCATTTCTATATGCCAACAGCAAATAATCTGAAAAAGAAATAAAAAAGTAATCCCATTTATAACAGCTACAAATAAAATTAAATATCTATGAATTAACTTCACCAAAGAAGTGAAATATATCTACAATGAAAACTATAAAACACTGATGAAAGAAATTGAAGAGGACACAAAAAATGGAAAGATATTTCATGTTTGTGAACTGGAAGAATCAATATTGTTAAAATGTCCATACTACCCAAAGCAATCCACAGATTCAATGCAATCCCTATCAAAATACCAACACTATTCTTCACATAAATAGAAGAAACAATCCTAAAATTTATATGGAACCACAAAGACCCAGAATAGCCAAAGCTATCCTGAGCAAAAAGAACAGAACTGGAAGAATCACATTACTTGACTCAAATTATACTACAGAGCTACTGTAACCAAAACAGCAAGGTACTGGCATAAAAACAGGCACATAGACCAATAGAACAAATAGAGAACCCAGAAGTAAATCCATACATCTACAGTGAGCTCATTTCATCAAAGATGCCAAGAACATACACCGGGGAAAGAGCAGTCTCTTCCATAAGTGGTGGCAGGAAAACTGGATATCCATACGCAGAAGAATGAAACTAGACCCCTAACTCTCGCCATATACAAAAATCAAACCAAGATGGATTAAAGACTTAAATTTAAGACCACAAACTATGAAACTACTAAAAGGAAACATTGGGGAAACTTTCCAGGACACTGGATTGGGCTAAGATTTCTTGAATAATACCCCACAAGCACAGGCAACCAAAGCATAAATGGACAAATGGAATCACATCAAGTTAAAAAGCTTCTGTACAGCAAAAGAAACAATCAAGAAAGTGAAGAGACAACCCACAGAATGGAAGAAAATATTTCCAATCTATCTATCTAACAAAGGGTTAATAACCAGACTATATAGAGAGCTCAAACAACTCTACAGGGAAAAAAAACCCCTAATAATCCAATTTACAAATGGGCAAAAGATCTGAATAGACATTTCTCAAAAAAAGACATACAAGTGGTAAACAGGTATATGAAAAGGTGCTCAATATCACTGGTCGTCAGAGAAATGCAAATCAATACTACAATGAGATTATCATCTCACCCCAGTTAAAATGGCTTTTATCCAAAAGGCAGGCAATAACAAATGCTGGCGAGGATGTGGAGAAAGGGAACTCTCACATACTGTTGGTGGGAATGTAAATCAGTACAACCATTATGGAGATCAGTTCTCAAAAAAACAAAAACAGATCTACCATATGATCCAGCAATCACATTGCTAGGTATATACCCAAAAGAAAGGAAATCAGTATATTGAAGAGATAGCTGGACTCCCATGTTTATTGCATCACTAATCACAATAGCCAAGATTTGGAAGCAACCTAAGTGTCTATCAACAGACTAATGGATTAAAAAAAAAAAGTGATACATACATGCAGTGGAGTACCACTTGGCCATTAAAAAAAGAATGAGTTCCTGCCATTTGCAACAATGTGGACAGAACTGGAGGTCATTATGTTAAATGAAATAAGCCAGGAACAGAAAGGCAAACTTCGCATGTTCTCACTTATTTGTGGTAGTTAAAAAAACAATTGAACTCATGGAGATAGAGAGTAGAAGGATGGTTACCACAGGCTGGGAAGGGTAGTAGTGGGGGTGGGGGGTGCAGAGAATGTGATTAATGGGCATGAAAAAGATAGAATGAGTAAGATCTAGTATTTGATAGCAAAACAGGGTGACTATAGTCAATAATAATTTAACTGTACATTTAAAAATAACTAAGAGTATAATTGGATTGCTTGTACAACCATACATACAAAAGATAAATGCTTGATGTGAATACCCTGATGTGATTATTATGCATTGTGTGTCTGTATCAAAATATCTCATGTACTCCAGAAATGTATATATCTACTATGTAGACACAAAAAAATAAAAATTAAAAAATAAAGTTGTGATTCAATATGAATAATGCTAACTACATATTGGAGCAATTTCAATATAACTAGTAATTCTTTGTGAATATTTATATTATCACTGCAAAACCATAGATCTTTGAGTTTTTAAATATTTTTGCTTAAAAGTGAACATTTAAGAAGGCAAACTCTAATGTTCAACGAGTTAATCTAATTATTTCCTAGCTTATTCAAAATTTGACATGCTTTCTATAGTAAAATTTGGAAGTATAATAAAAGTACTAAGAAGAAGTGAACTAACTCTAGTGTATGGTGGAAACATAAAGACTTAGATTCTTCTCTTACGTCAAAGTTCAAATTAACTTCACATTAAATTAAATGAAAAAACCAGCCCTCCTCCATAGTTATCTATGCACTGTGCTCCTTGGTCTGTCACCTAAACTAGGAAGAAATACTGAGACAAATTGCAGTAAGGACTGAAAGTATGATATATAAAATGCTCCCTGACATTTTTTAATCCATTCAACAAACATTTCTTAAGAACCTATTATTTGATTTCATTCATTTCACTCAGTTCTGACACAGCCCTGCAAAGTACATATTAGTTTTATTCTAATCATATTACATATGTGAAGTTAAGTAGCTTGTCTAAGATCACTTGGCCGCTAAGTAGTAAAAACAGGGCAAGAACCTGTTTTCTGATCCTCAATTACTGGAGTCGTCTAACTTCTACACCATCTAATGATCTAGATTCCAATCCCAGCTCTACTACTTCCTGGCTACAGAACTGGGGCAAATCACTTAACCTGTCAGCTTTCTAAGTTCTTCATCTAGAAAATGGTGAAAGTGAGTATCTCACTAGATTGCTCTGAGAAACTCTATAATGAAAATGCTTTAAAAGTTATTAAAATATTTTTGCATTGCTATTTCATGTCATGTGCTATGTGATATTATATAAAATGTTTCACATTATAAATTGATAATTTTTAGCCATAGTCCTCTGGAGACTAGGCTGTTCTCCAGTATGTTGGAAATTTTAGGACAACTTTTGCAGTCTACTGAAGTTTAGGTGACATCAGAGAAATCTAGCAATTTCCTGACATAAGCCTACTTTCCATAAGCAAGAAGAAAGTTAAGTACTGGCAAACTCTAACTCATTATAACTTTTATTTTGACTAGGTAGTACACTAATGTGGTTCAAATTTCAAAAGATAGCAAAGGATATTCAGTGGAAAGTCTCCTTACTTTGTCCTCTAGCTTCTCAGATCCCCTCGCAAGAGACAACAGGTTTTATCAGTTTCTCACATATCCTTCCAGAAATATACGTGTATCTGTGCCCTCTGACAACTTTTGACATAAATGGTAGCATCCTGTACACATTTTTTCACCTTGCTTTTTTCCACTAACTTATCGGTAAATAAAGAGTTTTGTTTTGGGGTTTTTTTCTGTTTTTATGTGTTTAGTTTTTACAAATGCATAGTACTTCACAGTGTGGGTTAAATTTATCCTAACCCTATCCCTTATTAAAGGATATTTAGGTAATTTTCAATGCTGAAATGAGTAATCTTATATATTCAACATTTTGTAAGTGTGCAAGTATACCTACTGGTTAAAATCCAAGAAGTAGAATTGCTGGGTCGAAGAAGTATATTTGTAATTTTTACAGATAGTACCAAACTGCACTTTACAGAGTTTGAACACTGGAGCTTGCTTCTCAAACCCTTAACACTACCATGTGACCCAGCAATCCCGCTCCAAGGCATACCCAAGATAAATAAACACATATGTCCATAAAAAAACCTATACACAAATGTTTGATGCAGCTTATTCACAACAACCAAAATGCAAAATGTGGAAAGAACCTAGATGTCCATCAACTGATAAATGGGTAAACAAAATTTGATATATATCCATACAATGGAATATTATTCAGCCACAAAAAGGAATGAAGTACTGAAGCATGCTACAACATAGATAAACCTTGAAAACATTATGCTAAGTAAAAAAAGGCAGTCACAAAAGATCACATAAGACCCAATTTATAACAAATTTCCAGGATAGGCAAATCTATAGAGACAGTAAGTAGATTGGTGGTTGCAAAAAGTCATTGAATTGTATATTTTAAATAGATGATGTGTACGGTGTGTGAATTATATCTCAATACTGTTTTAAAAAATAACCACCTCCCAGCTACCTCAGTTTACTACGTGTCATGAGCCACACATACGCACATCTGGTGTTAATTTTCCCTCAGATTTCCAACAACCATCTCATCACTTCGCAATAACTCACAATAGGCAACCCTTCTCATGTCTATTTCCAGAAGCAAACCTTTACCAAGGAAACCTTTTCCAAGGAAAAGTGCTATGTTTATTGTAATATTTGGGTGCAGGCATACCTTTTAGATACTGCAGATTTGGTTCCAGACCACCAGAATAAAGCAAATTGTACAATAAAGTGAGTCATATGTATTTTCTGGTTTCCCAGTGCATATAAAAGTTATATTTCTACTGTATCATAGTCTATTAAGTGGGCAATAGCATTAGTTTTTTAAATGCACATGATTTAAAAATACTTTATTACTAAGAAATGTTAATAATTATCTGAGCCTTCAGCAAGTTGTAATCTTTTTGCTGGTGGAAGATGTGGCCTTGATGTTGACGGCTGCTGACTGATCAGGGTGGTGGTTGGGGAGGCTGTGGAAATTTCTTTTCTTTTTTTTTTTTAAGACTGAGTCTCGCTCTATCGCCCAGGCTGGAGTGCAGTGGCACAATCTCGGCTCGCTGCAACCTCTGCCTCCTGGGTTCAAGTGATTCTTGTGCCTCAGCCTCCCAAGTAGCTGGGATTACAGGGGCCTACCAGCACGCCCAGCTAATTTTTCTTGTATTTTTAGTAGAGACAGAGTTTCACCATGTTGGCCAGGCTGGTCTCAAACTCCTGACCTCAAGTGATCTGCCTGTCTCAGCCTCCCAAAGTGCTGGGATTACAGGCACGACCCACTGCGCCCAGCCGGCAATTTCTTAAAGTGAAATTTTAACCATGAAGTTGGTTGCATCAATTGACTCTTCCTTCCAGAAAAGATTGATCTGTAGCGTGCCATGCTGTTTGACAGCCTTTTACCCAGAGTAGACCTTCTTTCAAAATTGGAGTCAACCCTCTCAAACCCTGCCATTGCTTTGCTTTATTAACTAAGTTTATGCAATATCCTAAATCCTTTGTTGTCATTTCAACAATATTCATGGCATCTTCACCAGTAGATTCCATCTCAGGAGACCATTTTCTTTCTCATCCAGAAGTAATTCCTCATCTGTTCCAGTTTTATCATAATGTTGCAGCAATTCAGTCACATCTTCAGGCTCCTGTTCTAATTCTAGTTCTCTGGCTATTTCCACCACATCTGCAGTGGTTTCCTCCACTGAAGTCCTGAACCTCTCAACATCATTCATGAGGAATGGAATCAGCTTCTCGTCAATGTTGATATTTTTATCTCCTCCCTTGAATCACAAATGTCCTCAATGGCATCCATCTAGAATGGTCCTTTCCAGAAGGTTTTCAATTTACTTTTTCCAAATCCATCAGAGGAATCACTATCTATGGCAGCTATAGCCTTACAAAATGTGTTTCTTAAGTAATAAGACTTGAAAATCAAAATTACTCCTTGATCCGTGGGCTACAGAATGGATCTTGTGTTGTAGGCATGAAAAAAACATTAATATTCTTGTACATCTCCAACAGAGCTCTTGGGTGACTAGGCACATTGTCAATGAGCAGCAATATTTTGAAAGGATTTTTTTTTTCTGAGCAGTAGGTCTCAAAAGTGAGCTTAAAATATTCAGTAAACCATGTTATAAACAGATGTGCTGTCATCCAGACTTCGTTGTTCCATTGACAGTATATAGGCAAAGTAGATTTAGCATAATTCTTAAGGGCCCTAGGATTTGCAAAATGGTAAATTAGCATTGACTTCAACTAAAGTCTCTGGCTGCACTGGCCCCTAACAAGAGAGTCAGCCTGTCAAGCATTGAAGGTGGCCACTGACTTCTCCTCTCTAACTTTAAAAGTCCTAGATGGCATCTTCTTTCAATAGAAGGCTGTTTTGTCTACATTAAAAATCTGTTATTTAGCCACCTTCACCAACAATCTTAGCTAGATCTTCTGGATAACTTGCTCCAGCTTCTACATCAGCACTTGTTGCTTCACCTTGCACTTTTATGTGATGGCGATGGCCTCTTTCCTTAAGCCTCATGAATCAACCACTGCTAGTTTCAAACTTTTCTTCTGTAACTTTCTCACCTCTCTCAGCCTTCACAGAAATGAAGAGAGTGAGAGGCTTACTCTGGATTAGGATTTGGCTTAGAATGTTGTACCTGGTTTGATCTTTCATCCAGACCATAAAACTTTCTCCCCATCAGCAGTAAGGCTGTTCCACTTTCTTGTCACTCATGTGTTTACTAGAGTAGACTAAATTTCCTTTAAGAACTTTTCCTTTGCATTCACAACTTGGCTATTTGGCACAAGGGGCTTCACTTTTAGTCTGTCTCAGTTCTTGACAACTTAACTTTTTCATTAAGCTTAATCACTTCTAGCTTTTGATTTAAAGTGAGAGACAAGTAAAATTTTCCTTTCACTTGAACACTTAAGAGACCATAGTATGGTTATTAACTGGCCTAAATTTGATATTTTTGTATCTCAGGGAACAGGGACGGGAGAGAGAGGGAGGGTGGGGAAGGGAGAGAGACAGAGAGAACACGTTGGTAGGTGAAGCAGTCAGAAGATGTACAACATTTATTAAGATCGTCATCTTATATGGGTATGAGCCATGGTGCCCCAAAACAATTACAAAAAG
Organism: Homo sapiens; assembly: GCF_000001405.40. NCBI lineage: Eukaryota > Metazoa > Chordata > Mammalia > Primates > Hominidae > Homo > Homo sapiens. The sequence continues at coordinate 46,609,833 of NC_000002.12, forward strand.
TAACAGCAAAGACCACAGATCACCATAATAGATATAATAATAATGAAAAAGCTTGAAATATTGTGAGAGTTTCCAATGAAGAGAACACATGCTGTTGGAAAAACGGCGCTGATACATTTGCTTGATGCAGGGTTGCCACAAACCTTCAATTTATAAAAAACAGTATCTGATCTGAGCAATATCTGAGAAGTACAATAAAGTGAGGAACAATAAAATGAGGTATGCCTGTATTTTGTAACCATTTTAAACGTGTAAAACTGTGCTACCATTTTTATTAAGTTCCCATCTTCTCTCTACATGTCACTGATGAATTGTTTTAGTGTTATGACCTAACCCCATCTTTCCCATAAGCTCTGTGGTTTTTACTGCCCATTTTGTACAGCGTAGTGATTTTTAGGAACACACAGGCCACATTATAGCAGAACTAATTGTAAAATCACATGACAGTATTTCCCCCAAATACACCCATTATTAGACATAGACTTGAAAACTGGAGAAATCACTAATCCAAAGTAATAAGATTTCAATCCAATTTCACTATTTAAAAATTTCAAACTAAAAGGCTAAAAGCAATTAATACCATTTGGGATATTATGGTAATAATGTAGAAAATGCTTTCAGTTGTTACACTTCTGTTTTCTAGAGACTTTATGAATATTAGAAGACGGTTCCAAGGGAAAACAGTACTGATTCCTTTTTTTTTTTTTTTTTTTTTGAGACAGATTCTCACTATGTTGCCCAGGCTGGAGTCCAGTGGTGCGATCTCGGCTCACTGCAACCTCCGCCTCCTGGGTTCAAGCAATTCTCCTGCCTCAGCTTCCCAAGTAGCTGGGACTACAGGCACCCGCCACCACACCCAGCTAATTTTTGTATTTTTAGTAGAGATGGGGTTTCACCATGTTGGCCAGGCTGGTCTTGAACTCCTGACCTCAGGTGATCCACCCGCCTTGGCCTCCCAAAGTGCTGAGATTACAGGCGTGAGCCACCACACTCGTCCCAAACAGTACTGATTTCAAAGGGAATAAGTCGGTAATTTATGAAGCCAAGCTACTCAGCATGCATCTTTTGCTCTCATTGGGCTGTTACCTTTCAAATCACACAAAAATACCCTGTTCATTTCAGTTTCAATGCTTTTATCCATTCTCCTTGCACGAGGTGCCTTTCTCTTCCTTCTTGGTCTCACCAAATCATATACTCTTGACTTAAGTCCATCATAGATCATTCCCATCTCCCCCTCCATTCTTTACTGATGCTCTGTCCCTTTGAGTTCCTACACCACTTATTGCTGGATTTACACATTTGTAATCTGATGTTATTTGCTCATTTTTGTCCCTTGAACAGATAAGCTCCTCAGCAAAAGAATCCTCCTAATAAGGCCGGGTGTGGTGGCTCATACCTGTAATCCCAGCACTTTGGGAGGCGAGGCGGGCGGATCATGAGGTCGAGATCAAGACCATCCTGGCCAGTGTGGTGAAACCCTGTCTCTACTAAAAATAGAAAAATTAGCTGGGCATGGTGGCATGCACCTGTAGTCCCAGCTACTTGGGAGGCTGAGGCAGGAGAATCACTTGAACCTGGGAGATGGAGGTTGCAGTGAGCCGAAATCATGCCACTGCACTCCAGCCTGGCGACAGAGCGAGGTTCCATCTCAAAAAAAAAAAAAAAGATTCCTCCTAATACTTCAGAAACCACACACAGCTTAGCATAACACAATAACACAGAGCACAGACTAAGTGCTCAAGAAGTTCTTGCTGCTGGGTGATAAATAGGAAAGAATCAAATAACCTTCTGGCTTTCTTAGCTAGATCTCCACTATTTCTGGTGCATATCATTTAAATGACTTTCAAGAAGCTAAAATTTTAACTTAGCCATGCTGAAAATATATACGGCCACCAAGGAAATGAAATCTCATAAAACTTGAGCTCTGGTATCTTATCACAAAAAAGGCTAAACAAGAAATTATCATTGTTACACAACACATTTTTAGATTGTGGACCCCACTTCTACCTTATAAAATGTATGTAAGCAATTTTATTTACAGCAGTCTTATCACAGTGCCAAATTATCCCAGAACCATGGTTTTCAAGGCTTTCTTTTAATAGTAGAATTTTTTTTTATTTCTTCTTCTTCTTTTTTTTTTTAAACAAACAAAAGGCTAGGTGGAATTCTACCATACAGAAAAAAGGAGAGCTGATCTTGCTAACGTGGAGGGAGGGGCTTGTAGTTCTGCCTGCCCTGTCCCCAGTCCCTAATTGCAGTGACCCCTTAAGGCATCTCTGAGCACCATCAGCAATGAGAAGCACTCAGAATAATCAGCAAACTGCCATGAATAGAAAAATACTTCATTAATTATTTTTTAATTTCAATATCATTATAATATAAAATTAAAACTTACCCATTTCTACTGAACACTCTTAGCCATGCTTTGAGGTTTGGTCCTAACAAACATAAGCAAGGCACAGTAGTAAAAGTAGACAAAATAACTGCAAATAAAAATGTTTCCAATGCCAACCTAGAAAAAAAAAAAGATTACTTTTTAAAAAAGTGTTAAAGGTAAACATACACATACATAATCTTTATTATATAAATAAAATGTGAAATATCTTCCTATGCTTTACTTTGAAAGGTAACATGAATGCCACCAAAATGATGACTATAAATAATTTTACCACCAACATGTAGCTTTAAAAAACAATCTAGCAAGTATTTCGCTTTAATGATAGATTTCAGAAGTGTTAAAGACCCTAGGATCCATGCTGAGACTTTCACTGCAAACACAAACAAACAAACAAAATCCATTTCTAGATAGTTAGCTTTCTGCTCAATAGTCTCTCTGGAACTTTCTCTACAACTAGTGGTTCAATACACTATTGAACCACTATTGAACCACTATTGAATACTAGTTGTAGTGGTTCTCTACAACTAGTGGTTAACATATATTGGAAACACCTGGAGAGCTGGATAAACTAAAGATTGGTGGGGGCTCTACCCCTAGAGTTTCTGACTGAAGCTTGAGTATTTGCATTTTGATAAAATGCTGATGCTGCTGGTTTGAAAACCACATTTTGAGAACCACTGTGCCAGACACATTCATTCTGCTTTAAAATGGATTAGACAGGAACCACCATTTTCCATTACAAAGGTCTTGTTCTCTCCCATCTAGAAAAGAATAACCTGTCAGTTTAGTGTGTGTACGTAAAACTATGTATAAATATATATATATATATAAAATGGTATACTTAGCAACACAAATATATGTGTGTGTATATGTATATGTATCTCATCACTCATTTCACCATGATCATTAATCACTGCTAAACTGAAGCTTCTCAAACTATGATAAACATTATGTAAGAAACATTCATGAATTTTGTTTCTAAGAATTTGAAATTTGTCAGTTCAGAAAAAGTGTTAAATTTTACCTTTAAACTATAAACACCAGCTTATTCAGTATTTGAATACAGGAATCTATTGACTTTTGTTAAGAAAAACTCCATTCAAGTACTTTAGAATCACATTTATAAGAACTGATATGCTAATTATAACTTACACATATAATCATAGTAAGTTCTTTCAGAGGTTCTAAGGGCCAAATACTTATTGGTATAGTATAGTTTCTCTACTCTCCCTTCTCTCAACATGCAATTGGATACTAGAAGGCTAGGTAACAAGAGTATTTAATAAATTAAGTTATTCTGCTGTTTTTTTTAAAAAAGAATAACACTGCTAATGATGTTGGTGTCCTTACTTGATCTATTAATGATGCACATCATGGTTTTTCTCTAGTTGCTAAGAATTAGCACACAGTTTGGTAAATGAATGTTTTAAAATATAAATTTAGGGTAAAAATTTCAAACTTACTCTATCAGTGGTGCTCCATACAGAACAAAAATTACATGAAAGGAGAAACAAGACATAAGAAAGTAGATACAGCATTTCAAAAATCCAGTTACCTAAAAGAGAAATGAATAACCTGAAGATTCAAGATAATGCTTAAAGGACAATAAATTCTTCCATTTCATCTACAAACACAACTTGTTCCCATAATGTGTAAAACAGTTCAAATGTTCTTGGGTATACTCAAATCAGATCACATGTCCTGTACCGTCACATACACAGCCTTCGATACAGACTAAAAAAGCCTAAAAGGCAAATACCACCTTCCGCCCATATTCTACCCATCCGACCTACATGAGTCGAAAAGAGGTTCTGTTTCCATGGTAATATAGAGCTATGTCATTAATCAATATTTATCAAATACTGATTGACATCAGAGAGCTAGGATACAAAAAATACAGTATTATGCGATGATAGAGGAAATATCTGCAGAAAATAACAATTTTTTTCATTTTAAAACAAAATTCCTGGGAAAACTGCACTGAAAAAGCAAAATACTAAATAATTCTTGAAATCACACTCATATTACACAACCCGTATGAAAAAAGACCTGAACATCTACAAAGAAACATGAGATCTTCTTGATTTGGAGCTTAAGAATATATAAACATAACACATACATTCAGCTTTTCCAATCATAGGCAGTAAATGACCTAACAGAGCTTATACATGGTAGAAAATAATGTTAAGTGTGGACATTATTAGTAATAGCCAAGTGAATATCTACTGCAGTGAATATTCTGGAAAATTGATTCTAATATCTGAAAATTGTTTAGTCAAGGAAGGCCATGTTGGAAACAAGCATTACCACAGGCTTATATTGCAATTTCTGAAAATCCCACTAAGTGGCTTTCAGAAATGCAAAAATAATAAAAATAAACTGCAATGTCTTATTGAGTAAGGTTTAAAGATAGACTGTCACACGTATTTATTTTCAATGGTGACATAAAACAATGACTATATAGGCTCACAATATTATAATATGCTCTGAAGAAGTCATAATTCCATAATTAATGCAAGGCAAGGATCAATCAAACATTGTGGGCAGCCTTCCACCAAGTAACAGCCTACCAATTTGGGGGGAAAAATATCAGGTTCCCTTTGCTCACTATAAATAAGCTAATAAAGACTTGATGAATACTTTATTCTTCCATTAAAAGAAACACTAGCTCCATCCAAAAATCAGTTATTGAGACATAAGCCTTACCTTGTGTGATAATGAACTTCTTTTAGAGGATGTATTTGGTTTCACTACTAAATATAGTACTAGATTGACAGCAGTTACAAAACCAGAACAGATGCACAACCATGTCAAGTGTGTTTCCAATATTGAGAAGTTCTCCAAGAAGAGTGATGGAATGAAGACACTTAGGATAATTGAAAATATGCATAAAAGATGGGTATACAGTAGTCTCTTGATATCGTTATCTTTCATGGTGTTTTCTTGGATGGCTAGCTAACAAAAAACAAGAAAAGAAGAGCATATGCAATAACGACTTTTTCCATTGTCTTAAATGTTTTGACCCCTAAAAATAGGTCATAAAGTCAATTTTCTATGAGCAATGTATTTGTTTCAAAACACAAAAGATGCAGACGTGTAGATGCACATACAGACTTAGCTTTCTATTCTACCTTTGATTTTCTTAATATGGTACAAACATCTCTCAGAGCCTAAAAAGAACAAATTTACTAATTTCTTAAATATTGTGACTGGTTTCTGCAAAAGGGTCATGTCCTAGGACCAATAAAGCAATTCATTTAAACTTTTTTGGCCAATATCAAAGAGATGAAATCAACTGTGTGGATTAAATTATCTACTGCCTGTTGCAATTATAACCAAAGTTTATTTATGCGGTTTCTAGAATGCATAGGTTATAATTCCAACAACTCCACAAATATACTTAGGCTGAATTGTTGGTATTTTTTTTTACTCTTGTCTAACATTACAGTAGTTCACATCTTCTAGCAAATGCCAAATGACACCAAGTGCACATTCCAATACTCAAATGGTGGCCAGTGGAATCAAGAGTTCAAAGAGCACCACACTAAACCAAGGGATCCCAATGCTTCAGAAATACCAAGATGACAACGTCTGTTACAGGTGTTAAATTCCAACCAAAAGTAGAGCACGAACGGAAGGAGGAAAAAAAAATTACCGTCTCTAAAATACACGTATTTAAATTACCTGAGAGCTGACTAATTGTACTGCTAAACAAGGACTTTATTAATTTAAAGTAACAGTCAATATGTTACATTATGGAGAATATTCCAGAAAATAGAAATATCTCAGAAAAAAAAATACTATACACACACACGCACACGCGCGCGCGCGCGTGGGCGGAGGGGCGCCCACTAGTGAGAAAAGCAGAAAGGCGAACCTGGGCCTTATCCTAATAGCTCTCATTTAATTCACCCAATGCTTTTCAAAGGCAGATATTTTACTGATAAGGAAACACGGCAAACAGGTGAGGTGGTCCAAGGTCCCATGCGCTACAGCCATCTCTCTGGTATAAGGAAATACACTAGGCATGAAAAGCAAACGGATGGCAAGAAGGGACAAAGGGAAAGTTTCCCATAGATTCTATCTTAAGCTGATTGAGGGAGGGCAAGGGGATCAGGAATCCATTCTCTCAACAGATAGCCCTTCAGCGATTTTTCTGAGCCACCCTCGGAATCGCAGCTGCCAGCAGCAGATGTGGATGTAATACAGTGAGCAGGACCCAAACTCAAATGTTTGCTGAATGAATGAAGGAACCAGAGTAAGCAAAGAGGGAACCAGCACCGGTTAGGCCCTGGCGTGCCCCCAGGACGCCTGCAGAAGTGCCACGGGCATGACCCGGCCCACCTCGCTACGCACCGCAGCGGAGAGAAGGCTCTTCCGAGCGGCACCCAGAGGAGCCTTCGCGGGCATCGCCGCACCTTCACCGGCAGCCCCACCCCAACCCGGGTCCCTCGGGATTCTGCCCGAGCCTACGCCGGCGCAAGCGTGGGCAGCGAGGAACCAGCTGAGAGGCAGGATCAAAGAGCATGGGAGTTGAAGACAAGGGAAAACTGGGGGACAGAGGCGAAAACTCGGATCCGAAAGGGGGTCTGTCCATCAGGGCACGCCGGAAGAGTGGCGCTGAGCTGACGGCGAGCGCCGGCGGGTCGGGGCGCCAAGGCTCAGGGCTGCTTCGGCAATTCGCGGGGGTAGCTTGCACCTCGTGAGGCGAGACGCCGAGGGCGTCCAGCGGGGCTTACCTAACTCTCCCTCCCGCGGAAGGGAAGCGGGGAACTACTGCCTCCTACCATCAGGTACGACGGGCGGCCCAGGCCCACGCGCAGGCGCAGGGCTGTGGGGCGGAGACCCACGCCTAACAGCCAGTCGCAGAAAGGGAGGGGCGGGCAAAAGGGGCAGCGGCTTTCCAGGTTTGGGGTAGGCGGGAGTATGGGCTTAGAAGCCGGAAGTGGGTTGACGTAGCCCGGAAGGGGAATACTTCCAAGTTGTAGTGTTGTTGTTTTCAGCCTGCTGCTGCTGCTGCTGTTGCGGCTAGGGGAACCGTCGTGGGGAAGGATGGTGTGCGAAAAATGTGAGTTAAGGGGCCGCTTCTGCGGGAGGAGGAGGCTGGGAGAACCTAACTGAGCTCTCCCGGGAACTTTGCTTTCTCGTTGTTTTTTCTTCGCCCACAGGTCTCAGATTCTATCCGCTGTCTTTCTACCCTACCCTTTGACCATTTTTGCACCTCCCAACGACCATACAGTCCTATATATTTTGTACTCAGAATGGTCTCAGTTCTGCACCTCCTTGTCTATTTCTGTTGCCTTCCCCCAGCCCCAGATCTCATCAGCTCTCCTCCCATATAAAAATGTGCAGTTAAACCCCAACGACACCTTTCTGTCTTGGCAATTCTTGATCTTTCCTTTCTATTCATGTAAGAAGTATTGTTCTCCTGCCAAATGCTAGACACTAGAACCAAAGACTAAGGACTTTGCCTTATTCATTCTCATTAGTCATTATGCCAGGATATGGCTTAGAGTAAGCCCAGAAGATGCTTGAATTGAAAATCAACGTAAGTGCAAATTATTATTTCCCTAACTTAAAACCTTTAATAAATTCTCAGTGTGCAGAGAATAATTTGGGGATTCTATATTTGGAACCTGGCGTTCAGGACCCTCCACACTAAGGCCCCAACTTATTTTTCCAGCTTCATCTTCACTGAGGCTTATCCTCTTCACATTTTGACCAAACAAAATACTCTTTGTGCCCATGTGTACTCTAAGCTTTCTATGCCTTTCCTCAGAATGTGTCCTTTATCTAGTTTGCCTTCATCCTCTTTACTCCTTTTTGTTCACAGTCCTATTGCCACATATCCAAATCCTCTGTCTTGCCTTCTCCCCAAACTTTCTTTTCTTGGATTTCCTTAGCTAGGGTTATTTCTTCCTGCATGGAATTTCTTCTAGTACTTTAGCTGTCGATTATTATACTTTTTATTTTTTAAGCTTACATTTTGGTTGAATGGTTCTTTTTGGGGGGAAGGTCTCTGATCCCTCTGATAATCTGATGAAAACTATAGACTCTTGCCAGGAAAAAAAAATGAATATATAAAAGGTTTGTGTACAACTCCACCTTGTTCGCATATCTCTTAAGATCCACCTGTGGAACCCAGGTTACAGATTGCTGTTAAAGAAATTAGTGTACTGTAATCCCTTTAAAATTGTGTCTGATTCATCACTTCATTTTTCTCAGCACTTTGTATAGTTTATACATGATAGATGCTTAGTATATATTTATGGAACAAATAGACTTACCAGATTTGTTTAAAATATAAACCAACAGTGAAAGCTTATTATAAGTCATCTTATTATCCTACGCATTTTACTGAGGGTCAGTCATTCATTGGCCACAGTTAATATGAGTCTCAGTTGATTGGCTGCTCTCCCAGCATTAACAGGCTCCTACGGTAATACCATTGATAGTCGATACCATTGTGAACCTTAGGCACAATGTAATGCACTTATTAAATAATAAAGTTTAATTTTCCTTTTACTATCTTGTTCTAACAGGTGAAAAGAAACTTGGTACTGTTATCACTCCAGATACATGGAAAGATGGTGCTAGGAATACCACAGGTATTTCTTCTTTTAGAAAATAGGAATTTAACCGAATACTTACTGTGAATAATACCTTAGTTTTTACATTATTTGTACAATGAAATGTTATGTGTTCAAAGTATTTTATCTATTAAACATTAAAGAATACTGGGTCCTCAAGTGATTTAATATCTTCTATTTAGTTCTCAGTTACTTGTACGGGTTCCTAATATCAGGAGATAGCAAAATTATTAAATGATTGTCAAGTGATGGCAATATCACAGTATTTGATTATCAGAGTATTTGATTTGATTCAGCTTATTTAGAGTCTGTATTTAATTTCTGCACTCTTCTGAGGAGAAATTTTTTTAATCTTCTGATTTTTATATTCTTGAATAAATGCTTTAACCCATTTTACCTTCATTATCATTAATTACTTATGATGAAGTATTTACCTTCATTATTATTAAATACATATAGTAAAGTATGTTTTCAATGGGTAGAAAAATAAACATTTTCATTATATTCAAGGTCTATGACACTGATATAGTGGCTTCTAGATTTTATGCTATATAGAGTAAATATAGACCCATTCCTAAAGTACTCCCTTGAGTCTGAGAAATAAAATGATTGTATTTTATACAAATTTTTACTGTTTCCCTAATAAATATTTTCTTTTTAAGCAGTATCTTAATAACCTATTAAATGAGGATTTAAAAATTAGATATAGACTACTATTTTGGTAGAAAGTCAAGGAATGAACTTCTTAATATTATATGTTAAATGTATAGAAATAACCCACTAAAATATCTTTTATTCTGATACAGAAAGTGGTGGAAGAAAGCTGAATGAAAATAAAGCTTTGACTTCAAAAAAAGCAAGGTGGGTAAGAGGATCCATCGATGGGTCACATAAATTTCCTTCTTTTAGTATTAAGTCTGCTGGAGTGAATTTGATGTGCATCATTCCATTTGCAATAAAACAGAGTTAGGTGGTTCCTAGCACTCAGAACCAAGCTATCTGTTATAATCCTGCTGGTTTTACCTTATTCCTCCTCACTGTATCAATATATGAAGATATTAGTGTTATTCTCTTACAGTTTCACCAGAAAACATGACTTTTATTTTATCTCCTTCTTAATTATCTTATGAATCAGAGACAGCAGGCAAATGTGGAAAGATCATAAGCTTTGGAGTCAGACCTAAATTTGAATCTAGACTCACTGTCTAGCCTTATGACCTTAAGCAAGTTAAGCATGTTTCGTGACCTTTCTAAACTTTACTTTTTCCTGAGAATTGCGTAAAAAGTGTCCCATCTTAAAAACAAGTGTTTGATACCACACTTTATTATATCCAGCTTAAAAATTCGGCTGGGTAAGGTGACTCACACCTGTAATCCTAGCACTTTGGGAAGCCAAGGCAGACAGATTATCTGAGCCCAGGAGTTTGAGAGCAGCCTGGGCAACATGTGAAACCCTGTCCTACAAAGGACAGAAAAATTAACTGGGTGTGGCAGCACGCGCCTGTAGTCCCAGCTACTCAGGAGGCAGACGTGGGAGGATCACTTGATCCCAGGGAGGTCAAGGCTGCAGTGAGCCAGGATCGCACTACTGATCTCCAGCCTGGGTTGACAGAGTGAGAGTCTCTTTCAGAAAAAAAATTTCGTGAACCCTTTCATCTGCCATCTGATTTCTTTGCTCCCCTTCACATCAGAAGTTTTCCAAAGTCTTACCTAGACACTTTTTCAGTGTCCTTAAGTTCCTTTCCCTCCTTCAGCCACTCTAGTCATGTGTTATCCCCACAACAGCCCTGAAACTGTTCTTGTCGAGATCACAAGTGACCTTTTAGAGTGACTTCAATCTACTGGCTTTAAATTCAAGCTATATGTTATATATATATATATGTAATAATATTATTATATATATATTATAATATTATTATATATATATAACTCCCAAATTTATACCTCTGGCCTGACTTCTCTGAGCTCTAAACGTATATCTAGCAGTTTATCTGACATACCTCATTTAATGTCTAACAGGCCACTTCTTTTTCCTTCCGTCTTCTCATCATAGTAGCACCACTCTCTAATCCACTTGTTCAAGCCTAAAAGCTAGAATTCCTCACTGAGTCCTCCCTTTCCCCTACTTCCCCTATCCATCAGCAAGTTCTTTGGATCTACCTCCAAAACGTAAAATGTAACCTGAAACCACCTGCTTCTGTACATCTCACTGCTATTACCCTTTTCCAAACCACTGTTATTTCTTACTTGGAACTGTAATAACTATTGAACTATCTTCCTGCTTCTCTAGTTTCCCGCAGTTGTCTCATAGTAACGAGAGTGATCCTTTACAAAGTTCCTTTGCTTAAAATCCGCCACTGGTTTTCTTTTTCACATAGAATAAAATTTAAGCCCCCTACCATGTTCTTACAAGGTCCTCCTTAATATGACCCCTCCCACCTCTCCGGCTTCGTATTGTACCACACTGCTCCTCATTCATCATATGCTGTCTTTATTAGTTCTGCCAAGCCCACTCCCATCCAAAGAGATTTGTACTTGCTGCTGTCTCCTAGGAGTCTTCCGTTAGAGCTTACGTATCTGCCTCCTTCTTGCTGTTTGGGTCTCAGCTTCAGAGAAGTTTCCCTAATCAGCATCTAAACTAATCTCTTCTTTCCTTTTCCTCATCTCTGCCTTAGTATCCTGTTAGAATTTTCTCTATAATACTACTATTTGAAAACCTTGCTTGTTTTATTAGATTGTCTGTTTCCTTACTTACTGTTTACCTCTTCTCACTACAATATTATCTGATGAGGGCAAGGGCTTTGCCTATCATGTTCATCTTTGGTATTTAGAACAGTAAATACCATGTAATATTAAGCACTCAGTATATATTTGCTGAATGAATAAATACCTGTTTTCTGATGTCATCCCAAGGATTAGAAATAACAACAATAAAGCCTTAACTACATACAGTGCCTAGCACATAATAGCATCTTTAATGCAGATTCACACTATATATTATTGACTGACTTATTGAGGTCTTTGAGAACCATTCTGTTTTTATTGACTGAGCTATTATTTGTACAGATTTTATGCTTTTATATACTTCCAGTTCCTTTATGCTCTCAAACTTACTCTGATATCATTAAAAAGTAGCTGTAACTCTTGGGTACTCTCTTACTTTGGAAAATGTACTACAGTATTGCTTGGAATCTATGGTACTGTTATTTATAAGATGCATTGTTACTTTAAGAAAAAACTCTGCCAGTTTTAAGATTTCCAAGGTTAGGCCGGGTGCGGTGGCTCACGCCTGTAATCCCAGCACTTTGGGAGGCCGAGGCAGGCGGATCACAAGGTCAGGAGATCGAGACCATCCTGGCTAACATGGTGAAACCCTGTCTCTACTAAAAATACAAAAAAATTAGCCGGGCGTGGTGGCGGTCACCTGTAATCCCAGCTACTCGGGAGGCTGAGGCAGGAGAATGGCATGAACCTACGAGGCAGAGCTTGCAGTGAGCCGAGATTGCGCCACTGCATTCCAGCCTGGGCGACAGAGCGAGACTCCGTCTCAAAAAAAAAAAAAAAAGATTTCCAAGGTTACAATGTGTATTTTTGAATAATAAAATATGGTTTTAAGAAAAAATAGCCTCTGGAAATACATGTCCAAACAAATTGAACTTATTGAAAGGAAGAAGAGTACCTATCTTTTGTGGGGAGTAAAGTGATATTCTCAGCTGGGCGCAGTGGTTCACGCCTGTGATCCCAGCACTTTGGGAGGCCAACGCAGGCGGATCTCCTGAGGTTGGGAGTTCGAGACCAGCCTGACCAACATGGAGAAACCCCATCTCTACTAAAAATACAAAATTAGCCGGGCGTGGTAGCGCATGCCTGTAATCCCAGCTACTTGTGAGGCTGAGACAGGAGAATTGCTTGAACCTGGGAGGCAGAGGTTGCAGTAAGCCAAGATTGCGCCATTGCACTCTAGCCTGGGCGATAGAGTGAGATTCAGTCTCAAAAAAAAAAAAGTGATATTCTCTGTGTTTGGAAAAATTAACCTTTGTAAATGGGCTGTTGTACTATACCCAAGAGAAGACACCAGTTCTAGGACGGTGTTTCGTATCTAGTATATGAGGATCATTACAAAAACTCATTTTGTAAAAATGTTAGGGAAGCACATTTAAATCAGAGTATTATTGCCATTTTAGGGGAAAGTATTTCTTTTTTTCACTCCTGTCACTATAAGATGGCATTTTTATATAGTGGAAGCCCTTTTATCTAAAAGGATTGAGTCAGTTAATTAAAAATGTCAGCTAATGTAAGCAGTCATTAAAAGATACACATACTTTATTTTAAATTAAAGCGCATAACTGTAGATGCATTAATCATTTGGTATTGAAACAAAGCCTTTTGAGCATAAATCGACTGATAAGTGCTTTACATGATTGTCGTCACAAAAATCACAATCAGAATATGTTCAGTTTCTTTAAAGTAGAGCAAAAATTGATGCTTGAGGTGTGGAGTTACTTTCCTAGTGATTTTCCCCCAGTTTTCAACAGTTGTCTTACCCATACCTAATTCAATAGCAATTCATATGATTCCTAGTCATCCTAAAATAGTCACTTAGGTTATATGGAATCAGTCACTCTTTTTGCACCCACATTTCATCAGTTTCCATAATATTTATGTCACACAAATAGAATGACAGATACGACTGATATGAACACGTCAAGAATAAATACTGTACAACTGATTCTTTATAAGTATATATCTCACATGGATGGAGCAGAGCAGAGATGTACAGGCATATCAGACAGTAGCCATCTGGAATAGGCTAAACCCATCAATTGTAGAGGTTGATGGAGGGATGGAGAGCATGGATTAATCCTGTGTGTTGCGTAAGTGGGGTTATTTAAGAGTGTTTCTAGTGTAATATACAATTTTCTCTCTTTAAAAAAAATTTCTAGATTTGATCCATATGGAAAGAATAAGTTCTCCACTTGTAGAATTTGTAAAAGTTCTGTGCACCAACCAGGTTCTCATTACTGCCAGGGCTGTGCCTACAAAAAAGGTAAGTTTCTTTTAATACCGTTTTCTATTCATAAAACCGACTTCATTTGCTGCTAATTTGGTTAACAGAAAAGATGTAGCCTGTCATAAATTCTGTTAGCCAAACACTCTCTTTATCCTAAGGCAAAATAGAACCTAAAACCTGTTTATAATTAAAATTATATATATATATATATTTTTTTTTTCTTTTCTTTTCTTTCCTGATGCTGTTAAATTATGTTTTAAGCTTCAGGATTGACTTAAACCAAACAGTTGGTATTATGATTTGATTGATCACATATCTTCTTTTGTTTCAGGCATCTGTGCGATGTGTGGAAAAAAGGTTTTGGATACCAAAAACTACAAGCAAACATCTGTCTAGATGTATTGATGGAATTTCTGGCTTTCTAAATGATTTTACTTTCTGCCTTGAATTTTCAAGGCATAGATGTCAACTTACAGAATAACATGTTTTAAGATAATTAAGTTTAAACCAGAGAATTTGATTGTTACTCATTTTGCTCTCATGTTCTAAACAGCAACAGTGTAACTAGTCTTTTGTTGTAAATGGTTATTTTCCTTATAAGAATTTTAAGAACTAAGTGGCAAATTCCATGAAAATATTTCTCAGTTCTGTATGCACTTTTATTTAACATTATTCATATAATTCTCCCCCCACCACTTTATTTATAGATACTGCAAAAGTGAGAAGGAGATAATAGATACTTTGCTCTGAATTTGGCATCCAGAGTTAACATTTCTCCCCTCACTCCCTTGCTGGTGTCATAGTTATTAGAATCAGCAGCCTCTTAACTAATTGCGGTTTCATAGGATATATAAATGTTTCAAGCCATTATTGCTGAATGGTTCTTTAGTTATTAACCTAGACCCAAATCAAAGACCAGTTGGATTTATGATATTTTTTATTTGTTCTTGCAGCCAAAGTGCCAGTTTCTTTAATATGTGACCAAGAACACAAGGAGCATCCATATGGCCAAATAAATACACTGAATTTTAGAAAAACATATTACTTTGAATTCAAATTGTCATGAAAACCAGAACAGTGTTTGTCCATGTTGCATGTAATGAAAATAAATCCCTGCTCTGAGAAAAGCTCTTTGAAGCAAAAACCAAACTTTTTTTTTTTTTTTTTTACCTCCTGTCTTGCCCCCTAAAAGAAATAAATAGAGCAAACATCTTGACTCTCCCTTTTTAAAATTTGTTTGTTTTTTTTTTTTTTTTTTGGATACAAGAGCTCACTCTGTTGCCCAGGGTGGAGTGCAGAGGTATCATCAGGCTCTCTGCAGCCTCCATCTGCTGGGCTCAAGCAATTCTTCCCCCTCAGCCTCCTAAGTAGCTGGGGACTACAGGCGTGTGCCACTGTGCTCAGCTAGTTTTTATTTTTAGTAGAGATGAGGACTCACTATGTTGCCCAAGCTGTTCTCGAACTTCTGATCTCAAGCAATCCTCTGGCCTCAGCCTTCCGAAGTGCTGGGATACAGGTGTGAGCCACAGAACTTGGCCTCTCTCTTTTTTTTTTTTTTTTTTTTTTTTTTTTAACACTACAGGTTTCAAATGAATACTTTTCTTATGTTGCCTTCAGAGGTTCAGGACTTCTGCTTTTAAAACCTGCAGCCTACCGTGGGAAACCAAAAAAGCATTCCCTATTTCCAACTGCAGTATGTATAAATACATATCACTACAAAATGTATAGAAAGTGTGATGAGATACATGAATGGCATTTTTATTGGTCATAACATTTTGATGAAAAGCATTTAAAGTTTTAACTTTATAAGGCTTTTCAAAATGTGTTTTTCTGAGATACATTGTTATTTATTCATATCCAGAAAAATTACAAGGATAATACAGAATATAATAAATAATTTATCTGAGAGCAGGAAGTATCCTCTCATGCTTAATCAGTTTGGGGTTTTTAATTATAACACAGGAAACTCATAACAGGACCTGGTCAGAGAGCATCCCAGATCCATTAAAGATTGGATTCATTGACTTGGAGAAAAGTACATTTCTCAGGGATCAGCTAGAATCTGGACTTGCCTAACTCACATTTCATTTTTTTTGTTGTTGTTGTTGTTTTTATAATTTCAACTTTTATTTTAGATGTAGGGGTACATGTGCAGGTGAGTTATATGGGTATATTTTGTGATGCTGAGGTTTGGGGTACAAATGATCCTGTCACCCAGGTAGTGAGCATAGAGTCCAACAGGTGGTTTTTCACCCCTTCCCTCCCCTCTTCCCTCCAGTAGTCCCCTATGTCTGTTCTCATTTTTATGTCCATGTGTACCCATTGCTTAGTTCCCACTGATAAGTGAGAACATGCGGTCTTTGGTTTTCTGTTCCTGTGTATATTCACTATAATGACCTCCAGCTGCATCCATGTTGCTGCAAAAGACATGATTTTCATTCTTTTTTATGGCTGCATAGTATTCTGTGGTGTATATGTACCAATTTTCTTTATCCAGTCCACTATTAATGAGCATCTAGGTTGATTCTGTGTCTTTGCTGTTGTGAATAGTGCTGTGATGAATATGTGAGTGTATGTGTCTTTTTGGTAGAACAATTTATTTTCATTTGGATTTATATCCAGTCATGGGATTGCTGGTTCAAATGGTAGTTCTGTTTTAACTTCTTTGAGAAATCTCCAAACTGCTTTCACAGTGGCTGAACTAATTTGCATTTCCATCAGTGTAGGCGCATTCTACACTGCACTGGCTTCTACAGTGTTGAAGCATTCCGTTTTTCCCACAGCCTCACCAGCATCTGTTATTTTTTTGACTTTTTGATAATAGCCATTCTGACTGGTGTGAGATTGTAACTCATTGTGGTTTTGATTTGCATTTATCTGATTAGTAATGTTGAGCATTTTTTCATGTTTGTTAACCGCTTGTATGTTGTCTTTTGAGAAGTGTCTGTTCAAGTCTTTTGGCATTTTTTTAATGGGTTTTTGTTTGTGTGTGTGTATTTTTGTTTTTGTTTTTGTTTTGAGATGGAGTTTCACTGTTGTCACCCAGGCTAGAGTGCAATGGCACCATCTCAGCTCACTGCAACCTCCACCTCCCGGGTTCAAGCGATTCTCCTGCCCCAGCCTCCTGAGTTGCTGGGATTACAGGTGCCTGCCACCAAGCGTGGCTAATTTTGGTACTTTTAGTAGAGACAGGGTTTCACCATGTTGGCCAGCCTGGTCTCGAATTCCTGACCTCAGGTGATCCACCCATCTCAGCCTCCCAAAGTGCTGGGATTACAGGAGTGAGCCACCACACCTGGCCACGAGTTACTTGGTTTTCGTTTTCTGAATTGTTTTAGTTCCTTATAGATTTTGGACATTAGACCTTTTTCAGATGCACAGTTTGTGAATATTCTCTCCCATTCTGTAGGTTGTCTGTTTACTGTATTGATAGTTCCTTTTGCGGTGCAGAAGCTCTTTAGTTTGATTAGGTTCCACTTGTCAATTTTTGTTTTTGTTGCAATTGCTTTTGAGGACTTAGCCGTAAGTTCTTTCCCATAGCTGATGTCCAGATGTTATTTCGTAGGTTTTCTTCTAGGACTCTTATAGCTTGAAGTCTTACATTTAAATCTTTTTTTTTTTTTTTCCCCAAAGACAGAGTCTCCTTCTGTTGCCCAGGCTGGAGTACAGTGGTACAATCTTGGCTCACCACAACCTCCACCTCCCAGGCTCAAGCGATTCTCATGCCTCAGCCTCCCAACCTAACTGGGATTACAGGCACATGCCACCACGCCTGGCTAATTTTTCTATTTTTAGTAGGAATGGGGTTTTACCATGTTGGCCAGGCTGGTCTTGAATTCCGAGCCTCAAGTGATCCACCCACCTCAGTCTCCCAAAGTGCTGGGATTACAGGCATGAGCCACTGCACCCGGCCCCTTATATTTAAATCTTTAATCTATCTTGAGGTAATTTTATATATATGGTGAAAGGGGTCCAGTTTGAGTCTTCTGCATATGGCTAGACAGCTGTTCCAGCACCATTTATTGAATTAGGGAATCCTTTCTCTGTTGCTTATTTTTGTTAACTTTGTCAAAGGTCAGATGGCTGTAGGTGTGTAGCTTTATTTCTGTCTGTTCCATTCCATTGGTCTATGGGTCTGTTTTTATATCTGTACCATGCTGTTTTGGTTACTGTAGCTTCCTTATAGTATAGTTTAACTCAGGTAATGTGATACCTCAGCTTTGTTTTATTTGCTTAGGATTGATTTTTTGGTTCCATATGAATTTTAGAATGGATTTTTTCTTTTTTTTTTTTTTTGAGACGGAGTCTTGCTGTGTCTCCCAGGCTCTGAGTGCAGCTGTGCAATCTCAGCTCACTGCAACCTCTGCCTCCTGAGTTCAAGCAATTCTCCTGCCTCAGCCTCCCAAATAGCTGGGATTACAGGAGCCCGCCAACCATGCCCAGCTAATTTATGTAATTTTAGTAGAGATGGGGTTTCATCATCTTAGCCAGGCTGGTCTTGAACTCCTGACGTTGTGATCCACCCGCCTCAGCCTCCCAAAGTGCTGGGATTACAGGCGTGAGCCACTGGACCCGGCAGGATTTTTCTAATTCTGTGAAAAATGATGTTTGTAGTTTGATAGGAATAGCATTGAATCTGTGGATTGCTTTGGGCAGTATGGCCATTTTAATGATATTGATTCTTCTAGCTCATGAGCTTGGAATGTTTTTCCATTTGTTTGTGTCATCTCTGATTTCTTTCAGCGTGTTTTGTAGTTCTTGTCCAGCTCACATTTTATCTTCATACTTTGAGTAGCCTCCTTCCATGAATGGATCATCCAGTGGCCGCACTTAGGTTCTCCTAT
This sequence comes from Homo sapiens, assembly GCF_000001405.40. Taxonomy (NCBI): domain Eukaryota; kingdom Metazoa; phylum Chordata; class Mammalia; order Primates; family Hominidae; genus Homo; species Homo sapiens. Next base: position 46,628,676 of record NC_000002.12, read on the forward strand.
GAAGATTTTTGTTGTATTGTACCTCAGAACCATCTCCATATTCTCTAAATAATAATAATGATGGTCATAAATTGAATAGAAGTATTTACTAGATGAGGAGGAAAACCCTAAAACAAAACATGAACATAAAATATTTTTAAAAGGAAGACATACAAACAGACACTATAACCAAATAAGATGACAGAATTAAGGCCTTATGCCACAGCCAGAGTTGAAAAATGCAGAAAAAAAGTTTAAAAACAAGGAATTAAAGCCAAACCTAACTTTTATCAAAATAAATGTAAAAGTGATGAAAGAATCTGTTAAGATATCAGATTGTAATATAAAAGATACTAGAAACAAATGCCAATAGAACACTTAAGTACATTTTATATATTCATCCATTAGAATATATAGCTGTCAGAATGATAGAAGAATTACATATGTGTGCAAAAGTTTTTGTATCCATGTGGAAAACACAGGAAGCTAATAGTACTGTTTTTCTCTGGAGTGGGTGTAAGGGTAGAGACTTAACTCTTTACATCCTTATGGCAGCCTTCGAATACCTTTTAACTCCCAGTTCCCTTAACTGGGGGTGTGTATCCTAGAATCCTCGACCCATTAGAAAGTATATTGTAGACATCATACTCTTTACCCTTTAACACTACACATGCACTTCATAAGAACAAGCATGCTGTCTTACCCAAGTACAGCTATCAAGTTCAGAAATTTAACATTGCCATAATACTTTACAGTCCATATTTCAATTTCATTTGCTGTTTTATTGGTAATTTTTTTCAGCTCCACGATCCAGCCTAGGATCATATGTTGTATTGCCATAACCCTCTAATCTGGAGCAGTTCCTCAGCTTTTCTTTGTTTTTTATAATAGTAATATATTTGAAAAATACAGGACAGCTAAAGGATAGAGTATCCTTCTATTTGGGTTTTTCTGATGTTTCCTCATGGTTAGATTGGGGTAGTGCAGTGAGGGTTGAAATGCTGTAAGTGATATGTATTGCAGGTATACATCCAGATGCACAGAATGTCCATTTGTCCCTTATTGGTGATGCTAATTTTGATCACTTGGGTAAGATGTCCAGTTTCTCCAGTGTATCGTTATTGTTTTTCCTTTTGCAATTAGTGGGTAATTTGTGAGGAGAAACTTTGAGACCTTGTTGACAATTCTGTTCCTCATCAAATCTACCCCTCCTAGGTTTAGCATCCTTTGACGATTCTTGTCTGAATAAATTTTTACTAGGATGTTTCCAAAATTGTGATTGTTCTAACTCTATTATTATTTCTGTATTAATTAGTCATCATTCTACTGTAAGGAAGAGGTTTCCCTTTATCATCAACTTCGAGTAAGTACTTTTTTCTGAGCCATTTGAATATTCCTTACTAGATGTGGTGCCTCTTTACCCCAATTACTTAAGTTTGTATTTCCAAAGAACAAGGGTGTTTTCCTGCATAGCCATAGCACAATTACCAAAATCAGAAAATTAACATTAATACTTTACTATTATCAAATCTTTTTCATATTTTGCTAATTGTTTCAGTAATATGCAAAAAAAAAAAAAAGTCTGATCTGGATCCACTCTGGAGTAACATTACATTTAGTTGTCATGTCTGTAGTCTCATTTATTCTGGAGCAGTTCTTCAGCCAGTCTTTCAAAATGCCAAGGTTATGGGCCAGTTGTATTTTTTTTTTTAATTTCAACTTTTATTTTAGACTCAGGGAGTATATGTGCAAGTTTGTTACATGGGTATATTGCGTGATGCTGAGGTTTGGGGCACCATTGATCCCGACACCCAGGTAGTGAGCATAGTACCCAATAGGTAGTTTTCCAACCCTTGCACCTTCCCTCCCTCCCTCCTCTAGTAGTCCTCAGTGTCTATTGTTCCCAACCCGTAGACTTTTTATAGAGTAACTCTTAATCTGGGTTTTTCTGGTATTTCTTGATGATTAGACTGAGCTTATACATTTTTGGCGGGGATACCACAGAAATGGCATTGTTCTTTTCAGTGCACCGTATCATGGTGTCAGTTGTCCCATTACAAGGATGTTAATTTTGATCACTTGTATTAGGTGATATCTGCTATATTACTCTACTGTAAAGTTTCTAATTTTTTACGTTAAGTTAGTAAGCATTTTGTGGGGAAATACTTTCAGATGATAACTATTTTGTTTCTCAACAAACTTTCACACACTCATTTTAGCATCCAGTGATATTTCTTGGTGGAATTAATTGTTACTCTGGTGTTGCCAAGTGGGGATTCTTCCAATTGTATTATTATTTCTGTGTTTATTCTGTGGCATTCTACTATAAGGAAAATATTCTACTAAAGCCTTGGAATCAGCCATTTCTCCAAAGAGCCTTAGTTTCTTTTAGTGGAGAATGGTTTTTAGAAACCATGATCTGAGCCTCCTGGGTTGTCATTGCTTTTAGGCCCCTTTGACAGAAAGAGCTAGGAAACATGTATTAGAAATCACAAGTTTTCCTGATATCTCCAGTTCCAGTCCAACCGCTACAGGGTTCTTCCTTGCCTTTTCCTATTCCTTACTTTTATCTTCTTCCACAGTCAAAACCCTGGCACTCAGCATTATCAGTGTATTTGTTCATTCACAAAACTGTGAATGTTTAAAGTGTTAGGTATGTATGCCTTTTGTAATTAAAAATAATTTTAAGTTTAAAAAAAAAAACTCTGGGTAAGCCCACAGGAGTATTACACATGTGAATGTCGTTCATTAATATGTTATTATAGAAAACAGCTTGGGAATTTCTGCGCGTGTACTGCTTCCTAGATAAATTAGGCAAATGAGCAAATGGTGCCACTTTTTCAATTCAGACAGCATTTATTGGACTTCTACATTGTTCTCATCTCTAGCCAGACTGCTGTTATTGGTTCCACAGTTTTTGCTCATAAGCAAGAACTTGATACAGAACCCATCAAATTAAGGCCGGGTGCAGTGGCTCATGCCTGTAATCCCAGCATTTTGGGAGGCTGAGGTGGGTGGATCACCTGGGGTCAGGAGTTCAAGACCAGCCTGGCTAACATGGTGAAACCCCATCTCTACTAAAAATACAAAATTAGCTGGGTGTGGTGGCGCACACCTGTAATCTCACCTATCAGGAGACTGAGGCAGGAGAATCGCTTGAACCCGGGAGGTGGAGGTTGCAATGAGCCCAGATAGCACCACTGCACTCCAGCCTGGGCAATAGAGTGAGACTTTGTCTCAAAGAAAACAAAACAAAAACATCAAATTAATGTGGAAGTGTAAAAATAAGATTGACAACAGGAACAAGGAAAATATTTTGAAAGAATAGTAACTAAAGGGAGAAAAGCCAACTGTAGTGGCTTACACCTGTAATCCCAGCACTTTGGGAGGCTGAGGCGAGAGGATCATTTGAGCCCAAGAGTTGAAGACCAGTCTGGGCAAGATGGTGAGACCCCATCTCTACAGAAAATTTAAAAATTAGCTGGGTACAGTGGCATGCGCCTGTTGTCCCAGCTATTCTGAAGGTTGAGATGGGAGGAGTTCCCTTGAGCCTAGGAATTCAAGGTGGCAGTAAGCTGTGATCATGCCATTCCACTCCAGCCTGGGTGACAAAGTGAGACCCCTTCTCTTTAGAAAAAAAAAAGAAGAAGAAGAAGAAGGAGACCAATTCAAAAGCAATGATTTTAGCAAAAAAAAAGAAAGAAAAAAAAAAGAAACTAGACTAAGGCACTGGGAGAATGGAAGTCAAGGGACAGATTTGAAAGACCTAATAATTAAAGATTTGACAGGACTCAGTTACTAAATGTGGGAGGAATGAGAAGGCCTTGCCTGAATCATTGGGTCTCATTTAGATTGGTAATAGTAGGTCTCTCCACCAGATGGCAATGATGCTCTTTTCTTAGTTTTTAATTTGCCATGCTAAGAGATTTACAATTACAGCAATTTAAAGATCAGATAGATAGACAAGTTTCTAACAACTGCCAGAGAAACTTGCTAAACAACAGTAAAAAGCCTGAAAAAATAGGTATATAAACACACTTGTGCATATACATATGGAAATATATATATAATTTTAAAACATGAGTATGATTAAACTATCAAGAGGTAATGATTATCTTCTGAGGCTAGAAAAAAGGGCAAGTACAAATTCAAAAAAAGTACTAATGCTTGCCCTAGGAATATCCGCCATTCCCTCAGGGTCTAAAGCCTATGCTTTAAAGGGTATCGTATGCGTGGAAGACAGAGCCCAGGACTTGAGCAAGTTGAGGAGGTTAGATCAGAGATATGTGCCCAAAGCATGGAGCCCTGAAAAGCAGCAGTTTCAGTGTGTTTACTAGAATATCCCCTCGCATATGATGAGAAAGACAGTGGGAATACTTTTGTATCGTGGCCTTAGCCCCAGGAACAGTGGGAAAGAAAAAAATTGGAAACCTCTCCAAAAACTTAGGCACAAAGATCCAATGATAGAAAATATGACAAACAGGCCAGGCATGGTGTTTCATGCCAGTAATCCTAGCACTTTAGGAAGCCTAAGCAGGAGGATTGTTTCATCCCAGGAGTTCAAGACCAGCCTGGGCAACATGAGACCCTGTCTCTGCAAAAAAAAATTTTTTAATTAGCCAGATGTAGTGGTGTGCACCTGTAGTCCCAGCTACTCAGGAGGCTAAGATGAGAGGATTGCTTGAGCTCAAGATGTTGAGGCTGCAGTGAGCCATGGTCACACTACAGCACTCCAGCCTGGGCAACAGAGTAAGACCCTGCCTCAAAAAAAAAAAAAGCCAAGCGCAGTGGCTCTTGCCTATGGTGGCACACACCTGTAGTTCCAGCTACTTGGGCGGCTGAGGTGGGAGGATCACTTGTGCCCAGGAGGTGGAGGTTGCAGTGAGCCATGATCACACCACTGCACTGCAGCCTGGGCAACAGAGTCAGACTCTGTCTCAAAAAATAGATATATTGAGTTAAGATAGCTCATAACAGTCTCTTTGTGATCTTTGTTGCATCTATATTTGAAAAAATAGAAGAAATGGATAGTTTCCTTAAAAAAACAATAATTGAAACACCAGAATGACGTGATTTTATAGGCAAGTTATACCAAAATTCTAATAACAGCTAATTCCAAACTTGCACAACTTTTTCAAACAATGAAAAAATGAGAATACTTAAAAGGCTAATTACCAAAACCAAGCAAGTATTATAAAGAAAGGAAAATGACAGGCCGGGCGCAGTGGCTCATGCCTGTAATCCCAGCATTTTGGGAGGCCAAGGCAGGTGGATCACCTGAGATCAGGAGTTCGAGACCAGCCTGGCCAACAAGGCAAAACTCCATCTCTACTAAAAATATAAAATTTAGCCAGATGTGGTGGCACGCGCCTGTAATCCCAGCTACTTGGGAGGCTGAGGCAGGAGAATTGCTTGAACTCGGTAGCGGAGGTTGCAGTGAGCCGAGATTGCACCACTTAACTCCAGCCTTGGCGGAAGAGTGAAATTTCGTCTCAAAAAAAAAAAACAAAATGACAGGTAATTATCACTCATGAGCAAAGACATTAGAAAAAAAATATGAAATAGAAATTGAGACATGAACAATAGAAGGAAAAGGTCTGATATATACCCAAAGTTCCAGAAGAACTTATTCTCTCTACGTTTATATATATTTAAAATTTTTCTTTTTCTGTTTTGAGATGGAATCTCGCTCTGTCACACAGGCTGGAGTGCAGTGGTGCGATCTCGGCTCACTGCAACCTCTGCCTCGCGGGTTCAAGCTATTCTCCTGCCTCAGCCTCCCAAGTAGCTGGGACTACAGGCGCCTGCCACCATGCCCAGCTAATCTTTGTATTTTTAGTAGAGACGGGGTTTCACCATATTGGCCAGGCTGGTCTTGAACTCCTGACCTTGTGATCCACCCTTCTCGGCCTCCCAAAGTGTTGGGATTACAGGCATGAGCCACCATGCCCGGCCTAAAATTTTTCGTAACACACCTGCTCTACCACATGTCAAAGCATATTTTAAAGCTGAAATATTGAGACGATATTCAACACAAAAACAGACCAGGAGTAGATAACTACATATATGTAAAAGTGATATATGACAGGTAGTATTGTAGATCACTGGGGAAATTCATCAGTAAATTCAAACTGGATTCCTATCTCTTAACCATATGTGCACACACACACAAAAATCAAACCCAGGACTTAGATGTAAAAGACAAAACCTTTAGAGAACAAATATGAATGAGGTTCCATGTTTCAAAAGTAATTTAACTTTTTTGTGGTTTTCAACTTTGTTTTTGCTTCCTCTTCATTCACTTGAAAAACCAACTTCCTTCAGTAATATTCATTCAACGTCATTTTTGATGAGATTAATATTTGCCAGACGCTTTCAAACACCAAGGATACAGTAGTGAGCAAGACAAGCTCTCTTCCCTCACAGAGCTTACACTGAGGTGGTGACTATGCAAAGGTACATAGTAACCAAGTAAACAAGATGTTTACAGAGTGTGAAAAGTGACAGAGAGTGAGTGAGGAGTGTGGTCAGAGTAGGCCTCTCTAAAGCAGAGACATTAGAGTTGACACTTAAAAGATCAGACAATTGAACATTTCAAGAGGGAAGGGTGTGCATAAGAACAGAGGGAGAAATGTCTTTATGGGGAGATGTGAAGTGTGTGTTGTGTGCCTTCAAAACTTCCTTGGGTCTTGTAACACCCACTGCATTTTTCAAGTCCTTTCTTACTGCCTGCTCCCACCTCTGCTGAGATAACTGAAATAGCCTACTTCATATTATTGTTTTTTACTGTCATCAAATCTGTCAATTGTATGTTTAATATTTTCTGCAATTTTTATATATAAATTAGCATGAAAGTTTTAACATAAAAGCTTAGGAGCAAGCACAAACCTATCTGTGCCAAAAGAGGGCAAAACAAAATAAAAGTTCCTAAGAGAAGATAAGCTACACATAGTCATAGTTTCGGCTTCAGCGTTTTGGAAAGTATACAAGAATACCCTTCTAGAAAGTCAGCAGGCAAAGTAACGAATGAGTATTGGGGAGCATAGCACTTGATATGGTGTAGGCATGTGGCCAGCCTGTACCGTAGACCATGTACTGACCATTCACTGGTCATGTACCGTGGACCATGTACAGCAGCAGGAATTTGCCTTCTAAACTCAATCTTAATTACCCCCAGCTCTCAGGAATGGGTCAGAGAAAACATGTCTGTAGGATGAAATGAGTATCTTCAGCTGATCCAAGCTGTAAGGTGTGGCGGAGGACACATGAATTTTACCAGGACATGATCTAGGCAAGCCAAATACAGATAAACTTGGTCAGGTTCAGATTTAAAAAATGAAAAAGGATAATGGCAGCACGCATGTTGGTGATGATAGCCACCAGTGTACCTGTCTCTTAAGATTCACTCTAGTATGAACTGATTATATCTACACCTGGTGCAGCTGTCACCTTTGGATTTCCCTACACCTCTCTTCCGTGTTGAATGTCCTGTTTCTTTATCACTATGTCTTTCTTTTTCTTAGTTTCCTTAGGTTTGTTTCTTTTTCTTAGTTTCCTTAGGTTTGTTTTGAGGCAGGGTCTTGCTCTGTCGCCCAGGCTGGAGTGCAGTGGTGCAATCACAGCTCACTGCAGCCTTGACTTCCCTGGGCTCAAGCATTCCTCCTGCCTCAGCCTCCCAAGTAGCTGGAACAACAGACATGCGCCACCACACTCGAGTAATTTTTTTTATTTTTTTGTAGAGACAGGGTCTCGCTATGTTGCCCAATACAGTCTTGAACTCCTGGGCTCAAGTGATCCTCCCACCTCAGCTTCCCAAACACTCCATTGTTTTCCTGGAGCACATCCTCCAGTAAATTCCTGATCAAGGATACATGGAAGGTAAAATTTTGAGACCTTGGATTTCTAGAATTTGTCTTTATTCTACTCTCATGTTTAATCGATAGTTTGGTAAGTTATCAAATTCAAAATAAAAAGCACTTGCCTTCAGAATGTTGAAGGCATTGCTCTATTATCTTTTAGATCCCAGTGTCGCTGTTGAAAGAAGCCATTGTGATTTCAGATCCTTTATTGCTCCCACCACCCTGGAAACTTGTAGCATCTTTCATTCATCCTCAGTATTTCATGATGACTTGCTTTAGGGTGAGTCTATTTTCATCCAATATACTGGATACTCAATAGGCCCTTTTAGTCTAGACACCAATGTCCTTTAAGAAAATTTTCTTAAAGTAGTATGTGACTATTTTCTCCCCTCCAAATTTTCTGTTCTCTTTCCAAAACTCCTTTTATTCAGATGTCACACAAGTTTTCATCTTTTCTCTACCATTCCCCTTGTGTGCATGTGTGTTTGCAGTTTCCTCTACTTTATGGGAGATTTCCTCACTTTATCTTGTCACATGTCTGTAGTGTTTCATTTCTTCTATCTTGTGTATTTATAATGTCTAAGGTTTTGCTGTTATTATTCTATGATTTTTTAGAGTATTCTTGTTCCATGGGTATACTAGCTTCTCTTCTGCCTATGAGTATATTAACAGCTTTTTTTTAATTGAGCTGTATGGCCCAGCATGTGATTTATCTTGGTGAATTCTCTCCATATGCTTGAAAAAAATACAACAATCTTGCGCTTGTTGGATCAGTGTTCTAGAAATGTCAATAGGTCAAATTAGTTAATGCTGTTATTTAGTTCTATGGCTTTACTGATTTTTTTTCCACTTGTTCTATCAATTACTAAGACAGACGGATTAAGTCTTCAACTATAGTAGATTTTTCTGTTTCTCCTTGCAGTTCTTTCAGTTTTCATGTATTTTGAGGGTCTTTTTAAAAATGCATACACATTTAAGATTTTTATGCCCTCTTTATGAATTAATCCTTTATCATTATTAAATATCCCTTATTATCCCTGGTAATATTTTTTGTACTGAAGTCTACTTTGTCTGATAGTAATATAACCATTCTGGCTTTCTTATAATTAGTGTTTTTATGACACATATTTTTATATGATTTTACTTTTTATCTATGCCTTTATGATTAAAGTGGGTTTCTTGTATACAGCATATACTTGGGTATTATTTTTTATCCAGTCTGACTTTTAGAAAAAATTCAGCCTGTCTGTGAAGTGTTTAGATTATTTTCATTTAGTGTAACTATTCAGTGGTTAGGTTGAAATCTAATAACTTGCTACTTGTTCATTTGTCCTACCTGTTGTTTGTGCCTGTTTTCCTCTTTTTGTGCTTTCTTTTGGGTTGAGTGCTTTTTTTTTTTTTTTTTTTAGATGGCGCATCAGTCTGTTGCCCAGGCTGGAGTGCAGTGGCATGATCTCAGCTCACTGTGAACTCCGCCTCCTGGGTTCAAGTGATTCTTCTGTGTCAGCCTCCCAAGTAGCTGGGATTACAGGCATGTGCCACCACGCCCAGCAATTTTTTTTTTTTTGTATTTTTAGTAGAGATGGGGTTTCACCATGTTGGCCAGGCTGGTCTCGAACTCCTGACCTCATGATCCGCCTGCTTCAGCCTCCCAAAGTGCTGAGATTACAGGCGTGAGCCACCACGCCCAGCCTAATGTTTTTCTTGACTCAGTAAGATTAACAACATCTGCTTGGGTATGGAATGTGTCTTCAGGACTCACGCCTCTCAGGAGTCACAGTCCTGTGCAGCCTGCTATTCAGTATCAGAAAATACTTTCCAAATATCCCAGTTTTCTAGCTGCTTAGGGCAGGAAGGTAAATCTGGTCCCTCACAGTCAGTCATGGCCATAAGTGGAAATCGATTATAGTTTAAAATTTTAAAGTTTTCATCTTCCTGCAGAGTCTCTATTACTCCAAGTTGCTGTGTTCTGTTTGTTTAGCAATCTGTTGTTGGAGGTTTTCCTCAGATATCTGGTCATTTCTTGTTGTCCGCTCTTTCTTTTCTTTTTTTCTTTCTTTTTCAGGTCTTACTCTCTCACCTAGGCTGGAGTGCAGTGGCACACTCATGGCTCACTGCAGCCTCAACTTCCCCATCTCAGGTGATCCTCCCACCTCAGCCTCCCAAGTAGCTGGGATTACAGGTGCATGGCACCACATCCAGCTAATTTTTGTATTTTTGTAGAGATGGGATTTCACCATGTTGCCCAGGCTGGTCTCAAACTCCTGGGCTCGAGCAGTCTGCCCACCTTGGCCTCCCAAAGTGCTGGGATTACAAGCGTGAGCCACTGCACCTGACATCTTGCTCACTCTTAATAGAGTAGGATGATCATTGGGTTGTTTGAAAACTGCTTGTATTGGTGGTCCAGTTGACCATGAGTTTAATGTAAGGCAGAGTTTATCAACAGTGACACTAATGACACTAATGATATTTTGGACTGGATAATTCTTTGTTGTGGGAGGCTGTTGTGCATTATAGGATGTTTAGCAGCATCCTTGGCCTCTATCAACTAGATGCCAGCAGCACACCTCCACCTCCAACCCCCAGTTTTGTGGCAATCAAAAATGTCTTTGGGCCGGGTGCAGTGGCTCACGCCTGTAATCCCAAGAATTTGGGAGGCCGAGGCAGGCGGATCATCTGAGATCAGGAGTTCGAGACCTGCCAGGCCCACATGGTAAAACCCCATCTCTACTAAAAATACAAAAATTAGTCGGGTGTGGTGGCACGCACCGGTAGTCCCAGGTACTCAGGAGGCTGAGGCAGGAGAATTGCTTGAACCTGGGAGGCAGAGGTTACAGTGAGCCGAGATCGTGCCACTGCACTCTAGCCTGGGCGACAGAGACTCCGTCTCAAAAAAAAAAAAAAAAAAAAAAAGTCTCCAGACATTGCCATATTCCAGTTGAGAAACACTAATATAAGAGTATCTATCTAGGATGTTTGTGAGGAGACTCTTGAAGTCGTTGTGTTTAGGTGTTTCATATTGAGATAGTCATATTCTCCAGAAAATAGCCCTGTCATTTACCTTGCCTGAAGGATAAAGTGCAGGAAGAGAGCAGGGAGCCCGAGTAGTCAATACACATACCTTCACTTATTCTCCCTACTTTAAGTACTTCATGCCCGCCCTCAACTGTGCCTGGTGTTCCTTCACCCAGAAACCATCTTTTTTCCCCTCTCTGGAACCTAAACCTGTAGACATTGGCCAAAGTGTGGGAGGAGCAATCAACCAGTGATATAAAGTGGGAGAAAGGAGAAATCCAGGAATTCACCTGACTCTCAAACAACCTTCATTCAACCAGTCTTCCTTAATCCAACATCCCAATTCACGCCACTTCTAGAGATCTCATCAACTCTTGAGCATTTTGACAATTCTGGAGTGCATATTGAATTTGTTCTTGTATTTACTTAATGTCCATTTACAACTTGGTTTTTCAAGCCTGCCACCCTCCAAAATTTGGCTCCTTTGATACCTTTTTTCACATCATTATCCTTAGAGTTTATGCTAGCCCCACACCCCCCAACAAGCATTTTATATAGTTTTAGTGGGAACCCTTGGGAAGGATAAAAATTAAATGTGTTTTGGCCGAGTGCTGTGGTTCACGCCTGTAATCCCAACACTTTAGGAGGCTGAAGCAGGCAGATCACTTTAGGTCAGGAGTTTGAGACCAGCCTGGCCAACATGGCGAAACCCCATCTCTACTAAAAATACAAAATTAACAGGACATGATGTTTCACGCCTGTAGTCCCAGCTACTCAGGAGGCGGAGGCAAGAGAATTGCTTGAACCTTGGAGACAAAGGTTGCAGTGAGCTGAAATCGTGCCACTGCACTCCAGCCTGAGCAACAGAAAGAGACTCTGTCTCAAAAAAATAAAAAAAAAAATAGGCCAGGCACTGCGTCACGCATGTAGACCCAGCACTTTGGGAGGCTGAAGTGGGCAGATCACTTGAGGTCAGGAGTTTGAAACAAGTGTGACCAACATGGTGAAACCCCATCTCTACTAAAAATACATAAATTAGCCGGGTGTGGTGGCACACGCCTGTAATCCCAGCTACTCAGGAGGCTGAGGCAGGAGAATCACTTGAACCCAGGAGGCAGAGGTTTCATTGAGCCGAGATCACACCACTGCACTCCAGCCTGGGCAACAGAGTGAGAGTCTGTCTCAAATAAATAAATAAATAAAATAAATTAAATTAAAATAAAAGGTGCAGGCATGTATCAGTTCTAAAAAAAAAAAAAAAAGTCTATTTCATTCTTTTTTTCCGGAAATGTCAATTTCATATGCTTTTGAGACTTTTGTCACATTTCCAGTGGTTGCCAGACATTGACCGTTACTTTGGAATGTAGGTTGTCAGGTGGAAGGTGATAGATATAACCTTCCTTCATTTTCTTCCCATCCTTCCTAATGTGTGGCCTATAGATAATATTGCAATTAGACTTTGACACAGAAAGGAGATACTCTAATTAGTAGAAGAAGTAGTGGAGACAAAAACAAGCAAAGGCATGGAGGTGGGAATAGAGAGTGAGATATAACAGAGGATATAGGACATTAACCTGATTGAAGTTGAAGTTCATGTTGAAGGGTCATGGGAGATATGAATATAATAAATAGATTAGGTGGGACCAGATTATAACACCTAAAATACTGGATCGAATAACTCAGATTGGATCTGGGAAATAATAGGAAAGTACTGTGGACTTTTTTTGTTGTTTGTTTTTTTAGATGGAGTCTTGCTCTGTTGCCAGGCTGGAGCACAGTGGCATGATCTCAGCTCACTGCAACTTCCACCTCCCGGGTTCAAGCAATTCTCCTGCCTCAGCCTCCTGAGTATCTGGGACTACAGGCGCACGCCACCAGCTAATTTTTGTATTTTTAGAAGAGACGGAGTTTCACCATGTTAGCCAGGATAGTCTCAATCTCTTGACCTCGTGATCCACACACTTGGCCTCCCAAAGTGCTGGGATTACAGGCGTGAGCCACTGTGCCCAGCTGGACTTTTCATCTGAGAAATAATCTGATGAAAGTAGGTTTAATCTAATAGCTCTGACAACAGATGGACAAGAATAGGGAGAGAGTAGAGTCAAAGCAATTTTATAGGAGACTGTGGGTGAAATCCAGATAGGAGTGATAAGGTACTAGGCCATAGTGGACGAGGTGGGCATGGAAAGGACAGATCAAAAAGTCATGGACGGCAGGCGGAGTGTTTTGGGCCTATAATCCCAGCACTTTGGGAGGCTGATGCAGGAGGATTGCTTGAGCCCAGGAGTTTGAGGCCAGCCTGGGCTACATAGGGAGACTCCATTTATACAAAAAATTGAAAAATTAGCCCAGCATGGTGGCACGCTCCTGTGGTCCCAGCTACCCAGGAGGCTGAGGTGAGAGGATTGCTTGAGCACAGGAGGTTAAGGCTGCAGTGAGCCATGATTGCACCGTTGCACTCCAGCCTGGGTGACAGTGCATGACCCTGTCTCAAGGAAAAGAAAGAAAAAGAAAAAGTCATTGATAGCCAGGCCTGGTGGCTCATGCCTGCAATTCCAGCACTTTAGGAAGCCAAGGTAGGAGGATCACTTGAGCCCAAGAATTCAAGACCAGCCTGGGCAACATAGTGAAACCTAATCTTTGTTTGTTTGTTTGTTTGTTTGTTTTAAAGGCATTGACAAGGAAATTTTTATTGGATTTGTTACCTCCAGCCAATATAGAAGTTAAATAGATGTCAGCCAAGCCTATGGAAGCTTGTGTTGGATGACAAATCTAAACATGAAATAAAATGTTTCATGGCTTGTTTCTGTGGCAACTAACCAATGTTAGATGTGGCAAGAATTGTGCCCAGTAGAGCATCACATGATTCTGGAGTGCGTATTGGAAAGTCAGTTATTCATTAGAGAGGCCCACTCAAGGCAACTCAAGAAAAGGGAAAGAGAAGCTTTTGTAAATCCGCAGAGTGATCTTTCTGGAATGTAAGGATTCCTGAATAGGAACAACTGGCCTTCTTGGATTATAGAACTGGAAACTATCAGGGGAACCAGCCCCCAGTGTTTCAGTGTAGGTTCTTTTCTATTTTCCCTAAGTGTCAGCCAGTGTGAGAAATAAAGAGAAAGAGTACAAAGAGAGAAATTTTACAGCTGGGCCTCCGGGAGTGCCATCACATATTGGTAGGACCGTGATGGTGACCTTGAGCCACAAAACCAGCAAGTTTTTATTAGGGGTTTTAGAAGGGGAGAGAGTGTACGAATAGGGAGTGTGTCACAGAGATCACATGCTTCAAAAGGCAATAAAAGATCACAAGGCAAATGGCAGAGCAAGATCACAAGGACAGGGCGAAATTAGAATTACTGATGAGGTTCCATGTCCTGCTGGGCACGCATTGTCATTGATAAACATCTTAACAGGAAACAGGGTTCAAGAGCAGACAACCAGTCTGACTAGAATTCACCAGGCTGGAATTTCCTAATCCTAGCAAGCCTGAGGGCACTGCAGGAGACCAGGGTGTATTTCATCCCTTATCTTCAACTGCATAAGACAGACACTCCCAGAGCGGCTATTTTAGAGACCTCCCCCTGGGAATGCATTCCTTTCCCAGGGTTATTCCTTGCTGGGAAAAGAATTCAGTGATATTTCTCCTATTGGCTTTCTGCAGGAAGAGAAATATGACTCTGTTCTGCCTGGCCTCACAGGCAGTCAGACCTTATGGTTATCTCCCTTGTTCCCTGAAAATCACTGTTATCCTGTTCTTTTTTAGGATGCCCAGATTTCATATTATTCAAACATATGTGTTTTACAAACAATTTGTGCAGTTAATGCAATCATCACAGGGTCCTGAGGCGACATACATCCTCAGCTTACAAAGATGATGGGATTAAGAGATTAAAGTAAAGACAGGCATAGGAAATTATAAGAGTATTGATTGGGGAAGTGATAAATGTCCATGAAATCTTCACAGTTTATGTTCAGAGATTGCAGTAAAGACAGGCATAAGAAATTATAAAAGTATTAATTTGGGGAACTAATAGATGTCCGTGAAATCTTCACAATTTATGTTCTGCTGTGGCTTCAGCTGGTCCCTCCGTTTGGGGTCCCTGACTTCCCGCAACAGGAAACACTTTCATAATATTGCTTGTGCTTTTTCATTGAACACATCTTGTACAAGGCCCCCTAGAGGCTATTCCAGGCCTTGAGGCCACATGACCCTTCTGGCTGTGTCTCTGCCTGCATTTTCCCTCTTGCTTTCAGTTCAGATGACTGAAAGAGAACTAGGGCCCAGCTCCACTTTTCAAGACAGAGTGCAAGTTACACATAACTGAGTGGCCAACTATGGCAGGGGATAGGTTGTGGGGAGTGGTGGGGTGGGGGGCTTACAAAGCAATGTTTATTCAGCAGGGACCATGCATATGGCAGGAAAATGTACCTACCCAGCCCCAAATGAAACATTTGCTTAGTTAGAAAGGAAACTGGAACTTTTTGGTGTACAACCTTAACTTTTGAAATTGGTATCAGGTACAGAATCCCCATGTTACCTCACAAAGCCACAGTCCAGGTGAAAGTGTGAAAAGACTATGGGATTGGCTTACTGTGGTTATTCCTGTGGTTTATACCTCAAACTAACAATTCTCCCTGAATCCCACATCAAGTCTGCTGCCTGCTGAGTCATCTGGCCTCTTTGACAGCACCCATCAGTCTTTATAAAGGCTTCCTTATATAATATTTATAAAGAAAGGGGCTGGGCGCTGTGGCTCACACCTGTAATCCCAGCACTCTGGGAGGGCAAGGTGGGTGGATCATGAGGTCAGGAGATTGAGACCATCCTGGGTAATACGGTGAAACCCCGTCTCTACTAAAAATACAAAAAAATTAGCAGGGTGTGGTGGCAGGCACCTGTAGTCCCAGCTACTCAGGAGGCTGAGGCAGGAGAATGGCGTGAACACGGGAGGCAGAGCTTGCAGTGAGCCGAGATTGCACCACTGCACTCCAGCCTGGGAGACAGAGCAAGACTCTGTCTCAAAAAAAAAAAAAAAGGGGGGTGCAGTTTGCAGGCCAGTGGACTAATGCACCCTCACCATATAGCCCCACAGAAATTGGTCTGCCATGGAGCTCTAAAGAACTCATAATTTCTCCAAAAGGACCATCTTTCTACACCTATGCAATTGTTCAAGATCAAGGGTCAGCAAACTGTGGTCCACAGGCCAGTTGCATATTTATGCACATAAAGTTTTATTGGAACATAGCCATAGCCATTTATTCACATAGTGTGTATGGCTGCTTTTGTGTACAATGGCAGAGTTGCAAATCCTAAAATATTTACTGCTTGGCCCTTCAAGAAAAAGTTTCCTGACCCCTGTTTTAGTTAGTTCTGGAATGATGAGCATGTGTGGAAAATCCTCGGGTTGATGCAGAAGCTTAGTGGCTGCACAGTAGTGATACATTGTTTTCCCAGGCTATTTTATTGTTTCTTAATTTCTTAATCACTTTGTGGATTAAATTCATGGCCAGAAGTAACTCAGACATCTCTAAGGATTGTCCTATTGGCATAAGCTAAAGCACGTATTATTCTACATTCATGGATTAAAATATTAAGTAATTTGATCTAGATGATTGTTTACAGTTTAACGCAAATACACTTAGTCTGTTCTGATTATTTACTCAAGGATTATATTACTACATTCACTCAAGAATAATAGTATGTAATCATTTCCTGTGGGATCTGCAATGTTTGGGCCTTCCTTCAAATTCGGTTCTCTGATTTGTCTCCATGACATGGAGTTGGCCTTTAGGTTATGTGATTGAGGTTCCTCAAACAGGATGTTAATTTTCCACTCTTCGTGGCAGGAGAAATATAGTCTAATCTCATGATTTAGTGAGCCAAAGAGCTGTATCCCTTTTCACACTATCCTTCTTTTATAAAATAAATGTTAATTTTGTTTCTTTGTGCATCTTTTGGAACAAACTTGTATTTTCAAAGCCCTCACCCCATACTCAGGTGAGCATACTTTCTAAGGCAGCCCATTTGGAACAAATGAGCTTTAGCCAAGAGTTTAATGATAAAAATATATTGCTTGCAAAAGCTCTAATTTAGCACTCTGGTGCCTCCTACATGGTTTTGCCAACAAACTCATCTTTGCCTGGAATATAGGCTCTTCGAAGGCAGCTGCCACTCTCTCTTCAAGATGTGAGGGGGAAGAGAGTTTGAGGCTTTTCATTGTGAAGGACCCTCCACCCCCGTGTTCCTCCTACAGGCTCCTGATTCACACAGCACAAGTTGAGAAACAGGGAAATGGAATCTTCTTGCCCAGGCATGTAGCAGCTAACTCCTTTGAATCCGAAAAATGTGTGTTCATAATCACCAAGTTTGAAATGCAGAGTCATCACTGCTGCTGGAAATCTGAGGCTGGTTCAGAGCCAGACCAGCTGCTCCTGGGGCCCTCTTCTACTTAAGAGGCAGTCTAGCCTGTGGCCTAGCCTGTTCAAGGTTGCTCTTTCCCCAGAGCCCTGGTACTCCCTCTGTCAAGTTTCCACTTATCTTTCTGGCCTATCCAGGAACCCTTCTCTGAGTTCTCAAGGACTGGCTAGGTGTCCTGCCTCACAGTCACCTACAACCTGCATTTTCCTCATCATAACTTTGAAATTGCTACTTTGCCTATCTTCGCATGGGCTCTTCCTCCAACTACACTGTGAGAGCCTTAAATCCAGAAACCATGTCTTTTTTTTTTTTTTTCAAAGAGAGTCTTAGATGAATTTGCCAGGACTAAAATACAGAGTTCCTTGTTCCCTGTATATAGCCCACTATAGAAATTCAATGGTTTTTGAATGAAAGGATAAATGAGTGAATGAAGGGACTTCGGATCTGGCTGGGGCAGAGACTGTGGAGCTAGAAACTTAGGTTGCTTTCCCTTTCTTCCCTTCCCATCCCTCCTCTTCCAAAACCCAAGTCTGACAGGCTGTGAAGCACCTCTATATACGACTGATGGAGCTTTAATTGTTCACCCAATCTTTAGAAAAGATCCTTTTAATTCAGCACTGTGCCCGAAGTCCAGGCACTTAGCTCTGGATGCCCGACTGCAGAAAATACCAACAGCCAGTAGAAAAACTGCACCAATGCTGGGGGTCCTATTTTAATTATTCTAGAAAAATTCACTTTTTGCTCAGTGTTTGGTTTCATTTGGGGCTGACCTCCTTTCTTGCAGGCCCTAGATTCGTGAAATCTATATTAATCAGCAGAATAATATTAGCCAATTCCTTACCTCGTTTTTCCTTCCCCTCATTTGGACAGCTAGCCTGGTTTGTACTCCTTATCTCAGAGATGAGATGTGATAATAAGAGGCAGAGAAATAAAAGTATGTTCCTGGCTTTTGGATTCAGAAGTTGCCCTTATGGGAAGGAAAAAACAAACAAATGTGGCATAGATAAAATATTTGGAAGAAAAGATAACAAGAGTAGAAAAGAGTTTCTTAGGGGGAGGAAGTGAATTCATGGGAAGGTACAGAGGGCAGAGATGTTTCTGGATCCTGTGTGCTACTTCACCCTGGGAAGGTGACACAATTGCAGATGTTTTTGTGAGACTTGGGAGCAGAAAAGACATGTTCTTTGCATCCTCAGTGAAGCCCCAGAGGAGAAATGGGTGCATAATGGGTCCCCACTGAAGAGAACGTAGGCAGATGTGCAAAGTTTCCCATGCCCCAGTGAGAAAGAAGCATGTCTCTTCATGCCCAAGAGCACATCAGAGAAATGGAGAGTGCTCCTGAATCCGAAAGGGTCACACAGACAAGAGTGAAGAATGTCTCAATAAATACCAGTGTGGAAGAATGATCTTGAGGACCACATCCTTCACTCTCTCTCCTTCCCCCCTCCCTTTCTGCACATCTTGCATCTCAGAAGCCCCCTCCCGGAAACTAGATACAACTCCAGGGGAAGGTGAGGTTGAAATCCACAAGTTCACTGAGATAAAGTTTCTGACAATGCAAAGAAAGGGAGGCTTGAAATCAAAATTAGTTTCTATTTCTTACATAAATGTCTGGACTAGAATTGTGTCCACTGCTCAGATCTTACTTATATTCAGGGATGACGTATCTCATGGAAGAACAGGGCTCAACGAGCCACTTAAATGTCTTCCTATCAAATGTTAAGGTTCTAGAAACCAAATGGTGGGTATATTATCCAACATATGCCGTGAAAGCAGAGCCAATCCTGGGGGAAAGCTTCTCTCCTAATGGTAAGGTGTCCATATCCTCTGCCCCAAGAACCAAGACAAGTGATCTGACAAGTGTGAAGACTGCTTTTCAACATGAAAAAGAGTTTTCTTAAACTCAAGCATGATATTGGCTCTACTTTGAATATCAGTTACGAAAATTCATAACGAGCTGAGGTATCTTCACTAACATTGCAAATTAATTTCTTGTATTCATCACAATGACATTTATGTGTATTTGAAAAGTAATCCATATGGATGAGCATATTTTTCATTCACTCTACAGACGGAACATGCACGCTGGTTTGCAGATCCCTTGCAGTGACTCTACAGCTCCCAGGAATCTGAGGTTCACAAGGTGAAACCTACCAGGCCAAACAATTTAAAATTGGTTTTGTTTTGAAAATCCAGTAAGTATGATGGCAATGTCTTGCAGAAATTCCTCTTTTAGTATTCCAGTCTGTGGGCTCTGGCAGAAGTAATAGTCTGCTGCAAACAGATCACTCTTTTTTGTTTGCAAAGTCTTCGTACCAGCTGAATCACAGCTTGCTTTTCACTTTTCGTAACACCTTGCAACATCGCAAAATATTTGCTGGAGTTTGTGAAGGGCGGCTGCAGAATTAGTAAACTGAAAGGAGGCCTTCCTTTACTCCCACCCCTGTCAGCACCTTCTGTTCTAGCAGACCGAAAGGCAGCTTGAGAACTCTGATTGCTTCTCTAGATTATGACAATTCTTGGCACCATCGCCCGGGGCAAGAATGGAAGCAAAGGAAACATTATGGAGTTTTGCAGGTGCCAGTACATAATATTGTCACTTTACAAAATTGAATTTATAAATGACTTCATGAAGGTGAGTTGCTATGGTAACCAGCCTTCTCAACTTTTATATCTGGAAGTAAGGATCATATGGCCCCTTCTGTTTGGGACTATGTATTCTGGGTTTAATGAATAACTACCCATCCTCTAACTTCTAGTTAACTAGGCTCATGGGATGCTAGACCAGGAAGCAACATTAGCAACCATCTCATTCCACCTCCTTCATTCATAGATGGGAACTGAGACACAGAGAAGTGGCACTACACAGCTAACGTGTGTCAGCCCTGAGCCTATGGTTTCTCACTTAGTTTTCTTTTTTTCACAATGAGTGATTTTTGCAAGCCAGTTTAGTTATATATTGTTATTTTTAAACATTTTAGATTGAGAGGGTCCATATGCATATTTGTTATATTGTGTGCTGATGGGGATTGGGCTTTATGTTAGTCAGGGTTCTCCAGAGGAATGTTTTCTTGCTTAGTTTTCTAGTGCTCTTTTCTTTCTGCCACACTGAATTTCTGAAGGGACGCACCCAGCTTCCACGAGTGGATAAGAGACATGGAACCACAGTTAGACACAGGGCCACTGTCACTTCTTACTGAGATGTTAAAACAAGTCCTGTCCATGTACTGGTGTGTGAAGTGTCTAATTTTCTCTATCAGAATTATTACAAATTCCACATGACAACAACTTCCACTGATTCAAAATGATGTATGGGGGGACAGTGTGGGGAGGTGGGGAATGACCTGAGGAAACGTGATCTAGTATTGTGGTTCCATAGTCTAGCATACATAGATTAGCAATCTGCAAAGAATTAGACTGTACCCGAATTGTAGTGAGCATAACGTAAACTTCCTTTAGTCACTCAAAAAAATATATCTTTGGTTTTTTAAAGTCTAGTTTCTTGAACAATAATTCCTGTTGCATAAATACATGAAAAGGTGCTTCGGATAACAGCTTTTCTTCCAGTTAAGAAATCACCAGGCCACAGAAGATTTAGCTATTAGGATTTTCCATAGATTCTTGGAGTGAAGAATGGCAGAAGCTTAAGAGTATTTAGTACATTCTTCTAAAAGCAAAACAAAATGCCAAATTAAAACTAAACAGTGAAATTAGAGTGTTCGTTCACTTTAAAGAGATATGAATACAAACACTGGATCCTCAACAGTCTTTAAACATTGCAGATCACCTGGATATCTTGTTAAAATGCAGATTCTGGTTCAGGAGGTCAGGGAAGAGACCCAAGATTCTGCATTGCTAACAAGCTGTCGGGTGGTGTCAATGCCGCTTGTCCTTGGTCTATACCTTGAGTAGAAAGGGACTAGTTAACTTGCTGTCTCCTTGAATGTGTTTTCTGTGAGGGTCAGCCCTGACCACCCCAGTCACAGGAATCTTTCTGGCCTCCGGATTCCTAGTGCTCATATTGTATATATCGTCCACAAGGTACTTAGGTACTGTTGTATATTGGTATGTCCCATATGTGCATGTCTTCTGTCCCCAACCAGATTGTAAGCCCATCTGTGTTTGCTCAGCCCTGTGTGTGCAACAGAGGTGCTGAATGAAGACCTATCGATGATTGATTGATACGTTAAAGATTATTTCCTCCTTCCTCAGAATGCTACACTTCGCTCATCAATGGAGCTCAAGATGTAAAAGTCTGGTTTAAGAGACATTGAATCTATTCTGCCTTTTATTATCCCTTTCTTATAAGTTGACTTTTAAGAAATCAATGACTGTGTGGAGAGTTCTAACTGGGTACGTAATAAAATAACCAACTGTGGGGGTGGGCAGGGGGCCCTATCGCACCAGGAAGCTTGTTTATTGGTTGCATTAGACCACTAAAGTGGAAGCACTGAGATATTCTGGAAAGAACACAGCTTGGGGGCCAACAGATCTGGGTTCAGAGCCTTACTGCATCACCTACAAGTTGTGTCTCTTTAGAAAATTTACTTAAAATTACTGGGAATTTATTTCATCATCTGTACAATGGGCTACTTTTTTCTGTGATTGTTGTAAGAATTGTAATAACTGTTAAATTGCCTAGCATGGTGCTCAGTACAAGATGTTACACTCTCGGCGGAATCACTTCCAAGTCAAATTGGAAATTGACTGTTAGCCACCCATCACTCTGGTTTGAGAAAGCTGGTGGGATAGTTTACATGCATGGCATTAGCGCCATCTAGTGGTGTGTTACTGCCTACGCTTCCTTACGGAATTCTCTCTTCCAGTACCTTTGAATGGCCACTTAATTTATTCATTTTATTCAACAAGCATTTATTGAATGCCTACTGTGTGCCAGACACTGATTTGGCAGCTGAAGCTACAACAGTGAACAAGATAGATCATGGTCCCTGCCTTTAGGGAGTTTGTGGTCAGGTGGGAAGATAGAAATAAAATAATTACTGAAATAAAATTTGAATTCAACTTATGAAAAGCACTATGAAAGAGTACAGTAGCCTGTGAGTTTATAATAAGGCTTCCCTAGGGAAGTGACATTAAAGGTAAGAAGCATAGAATCCAGTCAGGAGACCACATCAGGCAGGTAACAGCTGCCCAGCGGCACCTCCCTGGACACATTTACCCCATCAGGATCAGGAACCTGCCAGTCTGTCAGGAGCTCCCATCTTGAACTGAGGCCTGTTTCATCAATCATCTAATGTCTATCACATCCCACTCTGTGCAAGTCACTTTACGTACGCCACTGCGGACTTTCTCATGTTATCCTTTTACAGGCGATGTGCAATGAGGTTAAGTAACTTATACAAGGACATAAAACGGCATGTCAGAGTCAAGATTCACACCAGATCTTTCTGCTCACAGCGCCCATGCTCTTTCCTCTACTGAAGCTGTCTCCCAGATGCCAAGCCCAGATCTCTTTATTCTGCATTATGCTGCTTGCCTTGACAGAAAGGAAACCATTAGAAGTGCTTGGGGAGAACGAAAATGCAGAGGGAGGGCGGGAAAATTAAATAACAGCCCAGTGGGTCATGTGTGAAGGGCAGAGAGGAAACTGCTGACTTGGCTAGTTATGTTCTTCTGGTGTGATTTTAGGAAAGTAAACCCAAGAGATCCCTTTCATCAGGAAAGAGAGTATCCCTAATAATGTTGCTTATACTCTTGTGGTTTAAAATGTGTTGCAGCTGCTGCTAAATTGAAATGATTTGGGGGATCATTTGGAGAAGAGAGGTTATCCTCTGGAAATCTATAGGAAGTTGCAAGGATTAATAACCACTAAGGAGCAGAACATTGCTGGGTCAGAAAATAGCTGCAGGACTTAGAGGTTTTCTGCAACACAGGACTTTCAGCTTCAAAACTGGGACATTCTCATGGCAAACTATGGCGATTGGTCACCTGGCAGTGAGCCAGACTGGGAGGATCTGATGTACCCATGGAAGTTAGGCCGAAACACTTATTGAAATCTGGGGTCAATTTGAGGCCTTGGCCACAGACCAATGCAGAAAAGGTGGGCAAAGCGTGGTACAACGAGTACCTTGGTACTCAGTCCCTAGATTACCAACCTAGAGCACCTGCTGTAGGCCTTGCATGCAGAATTAGTTGGCCCCAGTTCTGAGGGAGGGCTCAGGCAGAGGACAAGAATGATCACAGAATCAGGCCACTCTGTGCTTCAGCTTCCTTATCTGCAAAATTGGATAAATAGCAGCACTTTGTGCCTAAAACTGCATGTGAGATCTGTTAGTTAATATGTGTAAAGTGCTCAGAATGGTGCCTGGTCCATATGAATATAGGAAGTATCACCATGGAATTCTCAGGAAGAGAAACAGGTGTGTGGCCCTGGCTGGATCATGTCTATGATAGCTCAGTTTTCCATCTGTAAAATGAAAATCAAAGTCCCTGCCAAAGCTTTCAGAAGAAACAGAACAAGACACAGTCAACAAGGAAAGAAGTCACAGATAGTAGGTAGGAACTTGTGCTCTGAAATCAAACCCCCTGGATTACATCCAGCTCTGCCTCTTAGATGTTCATTTATTTATCTGCCATACCCCAGCCACCACCGCAAGACCCAAGAAACCAGGGTTGAAATGCCAGGCACCAAAGCTGCTGCAGCCATCATCCAAACCCTCCACACAGACCAGTCACTGGCCCCAGTCACTGGCCCAAGGCAGGGTGGAGCATCCAGACAAGGTGGGGAATGGAATTTGCCCAATAATGGATGCCAATGATTTGAGGAAGACAGCAGCCAAGGGAGAAATGGAAATGCAAACCAGGTACAAACACCAATGGGCCCGGCGCTGTCCTGAGCACTTTATGCATTAGTTCATCTAGTTCTCCTGGCAGTCTTATGAAGTAGGCACTGTTATTCACCCCATTTTACAGATGAAGAGACTGGGGCGCACAGTGGCTATAACTTGCTCAACTCACAGAGCGAGCCAGAACTCTGGGCAAGTTTGTTGACATTTCTAGTCCCTAGTTCCTCTCAAAAGAATGAGGGTAATAAGTTATGACATCTCCTCATAGATTTGTTATGCAGATTAGATGGGATAGTCTATACACAGCACTTAGCAAAGGATCAGAAACATTTTAAGCACTCATACTTAAACCCAAAGTCACTCACTAGGTAATTGGCGTGATAAGATACATGGGCTATAATTACCAAAAATATAGCTGGTAATTTAAGAAAATGGCCAAATGTGCAAGGTAGTAAAAGTCTAGGGTGGGGCAGGGGACATAAAATACCATAGGAACTGAGGAACAGGGGGTCAGGTCTGAAGAATCTGTTTTGCATGAGACACTTTGTAGGCCTTTGGAGAGAAATTGTGAGGAGGACTTGAAGGACGGACAGTTGGCCCCCAAACTCCAGGCTTTCACTCCCTGAACTAAGAGGGACCTTGAGCAAGCCTTCACCTCTGGGAAGAAGCCCTCAGCAGCCCAGATAGGAGAGCTGAGGTGTCTGGAAAAGCCCACACCGAGGCCCAGGGCTGGGCCAGTTATGGAAGGCCATCAGTGCAGCCCCGTCTTGACTCCTGCTGCAGAAAGACTGGGCAGGGCCGCAGCTCCAGCCCATGTTCCAGATTTCTGCCATGACCACCCTCCTGCGTGCCAGCTTGAAACCACTGTTTGTTGACATGATCTCCCTGACTTCATCCATTTAGATCATCTTTGGCTCACTGACCTCAGCCCACTCCCTTCACCTGCTCTATTATTTTATTGTGACCCCTGATTCCAGGCAAGACATTCCATTCACTCCATCAGCCCCAATCTGGGAACCTTGTCAGCAAAGAGGATTGGCCAGGGATGAGGAATTGTGGTGAGGTGAAAGGAATATCTCTGATAAGAGATGTAGCAATGCTACTCACTAATAGCTCTAGATTCTTGGCAAATGCCTAGGAACTCACCCCACATTTTTCAGCAGAGGGTGTATTAGCTGCATTTTGGAAACCTATTAAGAGTTGTAATTAGCAGCAGGGAGAGAACAAGAACTCTTCTCTAGGGCAAGTGATAACAGCAGTAAGCATTGAGTGGACAGTGATCATCCAGCCAAGCCATGATACCTTTCCTCCTCTTCCACCTCTTAAAAAGAGACTGGAGCTGTGCTCTCAGGCTCAGGGAATTCTACCTGACTGTACTGCTTTGCCTCCAGATGGATTCCCTCTCCTGAGCCCTTTCAGGTAGACGGCTGCATTGGACAGTACCTGGTTTGCATTTCCATTTCTCCCTTGGCTGTTGCCTTCCTCAAATCACTGGCATCCATTATCTGGCAAATTCCATTCCCCTCTTGTCTGGATGCTACACCCTGCCTTGGGCCAGTGCCTAGCGGCCCCTGGCCTGTGTGGAGGGTTTGGATGATGGCTGCAGCAGCCTTGGTGCCTTGCATTTCAACCCTGGTTTCTTGGGTCTTGAGGTTGTAGCTGGGATGTGGCAGGTGGAACCCAACAAGGAGATTTACCTCCAATGGTAAGGAGGGGTTTCTGTGCGAGGAAATGAGCACCTGGGAACCCAGGCGGCCAAAGGTGATTGAATTGTTCCGCACAAACTGGGTTACCCCTCAGGGCTGATGTGGCCTGGAGAGACACCCCTAAAGTCATCATGTGCCTCTAAGATTTCGCTAGGAAAGTTTCCAAGAAAAGGCTAGATTTCCATTGGGCTTGAAAGGTGAGCCACCCACACTGGGCGCTCAGGTCTGCATTTCTGCTCCAGTGTTCCCTCAGTCCAATTTTACACAGCAGTAACACCCTCTTCCCCTCATGTTCTGTTGTGTTCTGCAGATCCTACAGGGGAACATCATGATAATGAAACCTTTGTGTTTTCCATGGCTGCTACAAAAAGACCAGATCAAACATTTTATGACACTTTTGTTTTTGTGTTTCTGTATGCTGCATGTGAAAATATCTATTACACAAATCAAGCACTCTGCTTTCCATTGCCAAGCATCTTTGGCACAAGAGCTGTAATAAGAAGTGTAATGAACATAAAACAGTTTTTAGAATCACTCCTTTGGTAGCTGGTATATGAAGCTGACAAGGCCCCCTCTGCCAAAGCTGCAGAAGGTCGGGCATATCCTTCCCTTAGCTCATATGGCTGCAGAGGAAGGAGGTGTCTTTCTTTGGGCTTCATCGCCAGGCAACCCACACACTTTGATGCTCACCTGTCTGCCTTGGGGGACTGGAGTTGAATGACTGCTTGTTTTGCTCCTGGGATCTGTGGGCTCCACAGTCGTCCCAGGCCTCCTTGCTTAATCGGACTCCCACCCATGGCATCTGAGTAGTTCCTCTTCTGGTCCTGTCACTATCATCTCCCTTTCTCTCTCTCAAGGCCTGTCCTTCTGTAGTACATCTTTTTAATAACTGGTAAGAGTCTCCTCCGACCTTCCCTTTGGAGACCTTTTCTCTTCAGTCAATCCCCGCCCCACCCAATCCCATCCCTTGTTCTCAGCGTCCTGCTCACAATCCCTTTTACTATGCCACTGACTTACCCAGACTGGCTAGGACATCTCTATTTGCATTGCATTGCAATATGGACTGAGGTGAGCTTGCCTATGAAATCAGCTGTGAACTTATTTTTTGTTAACTGTGATTTTAAAGGGCAGGGAGGAGAAAATGAATACTGAGGGAAGGAAAGGAGACCTAACATTTATTGAGTCCTTGGAGTTCTTGAGATAGATGCCTCATACACGTTAACTTATGCATCCTCACAATGATCTTGGGAGGTGTTATTTACTCCATTTTACAGAGGAGGAAATGGAGGTTAAATCACTTACACAGGCTGGGCACGGTGACTCACGCCTGTAATCCCAGCACTCTGGGAAGCCAAGGCAGGAGGATTGCTTGAGCCCAGGGGTTTGAGACCAGCCTGCCTCTACAAAAAAATAATAAGTTTTTAAAAATCACTGCCCAAAGTTCCAAAGCTAGTCAACAAAGAAACCGGTTACAAATTTGCTCTTCATTTAGTGTAAAAATCAATGAAACTTTTCTGAATGTTTCAGTCTTTAAAAAAAAAAAAAACATGAAGCATGCCATCCAATGAGCTGTGTGACCTGGGGCAAGTCAGTGGACCTCTCTGGGCAATAGTTTGAACATCTTTAATGTCAGGAGCCTGTGCTAGAAGGTCCTAACTCCTACAAGCTTTTAACCCAGGCTGTAATTGCCCTTGGGACTTCTTCACATCCAGTCCAAATCTTTAAAGAACCCAAGTCATGCTAACAAGAAATAAATGACTAACACTCTGGGAGCGCTAATCAGGAGCACTTCAGGAATTCCCTTCCTTTTTCCTGCCAGGCAGCAGTTTCACAGCCATTCTCCAGCTCTCCTAAATCAGGATCTGTGGGTGGACAGGAGGATGAGAAACACAGTGCTAAAGGGGCCTGGGTTTCTATGTCACCACCCCTGCCTACCCTCTGCCGCAGCCACTGTAGCCAGCGTGCCTCCACCTGGCTGTCTTTCCCTACACAGCCCGCATGCCCCCCATAGCTGGCTGCACTATGGGAAGGACTGATCCCCACCAGACAAGCTGGACTTTCCTGGCCTCCCTTGCACCCTGGGAGATCCTTGTCCATGTGGGGGAAATAAGATTATATTTATTAAAAACAATATAATTTATAGCCTCCGTGTACACACCTTGAAATTCCTGGGGCCATAAACTGGAAGGGCATTTCTTTAATCCCTGCAATTTACAGTTTTTACTCACCTGGCTTAGGTGGGGGGAAGAATCACACACATACATACCTGTTCACACATACACACATATGTATATGCACGTGTGTATACTGACTCTCTCCTTGGGATTTGCTAAGCCTCTCACATGAAGCCTCAACAGCCCTAGGGAACTGTGCTCAGGTCTCTGATTCCGCTGGAGCTTGCCAGCATTCCAGGGCCAAGTCAAGACTTTTGTAAATTGCTGAGAACTGAATTCTGACCTGGGAGCAAAGAGTGGACAAAGAATGGCACAGAGATGCCAAGGAAGCTGAGTTCAGGAGGGAAAGTGAAGCCTGCCCCACTCACCATGCTTGTCCTCTTCTCCCCAGCCTCCCAAACCCCAGCCCCTACACACACACCCGAAAAGAGGATTCAGCAACTGAATATGAGAGGGACAGACCTGGTGGAAGGCTTTGGTACCTGTGAAACTGTGCCCAGTTATTGATCTAGAGATTGACCACCAGAGGCAGTGTTATCATTTAAGACGAGTTTCCTTTGGCACTCACCATATCTTACAGCTTCTCCTATTTGTTCTTGTCCCAATCCTCTTCCGGCCCCCATCCAAGAAGCTCTGTGCAATTCAGCTAAATTTGTAGGACACTACTCCAGTTAGCACTGTGCTTAGGAATACAAAGTCCTTCTGGTACCAGGTCTGTTGCAAGATCTTGCACTTCTCAAGGTCACAGACTTGACAAGAACACTTGACTATGTTCTTGCTCCAACTTACAGAAACTGGAATGATGCAAGAAAGATGATGACAAGCTCATGCTCAAATAAAATGCCTGGGTCTTTCATCAAAACAGTGGCCAAGAAGCACATATTTGTACATTTTAAGTTAAAATAAGATGTTGAAGGCTGGTGTGTTTCATTGTCTGTTAACTGGTCAACAGTCCCAATTGCTTTTTTTTTTTTTTTTTTTTTTTTTAGATGGAGTTTTGCTCTTGTCACCCAGGCTGGAGTGCAGTGGTGCGATCTCAGCTCACTGCAACCTCCGCCTCCCGGGTTCAAGCAATTCTCCTGCCTCAGCCTCCCGAGTAGCTGGGATTATCAGCATGCACTACCATGCCCGGCTAATTTTTGTATTTTTAGTAGAGACCAGGTTTCACCATGTTGGCCAGGCTAGTCTCGAACTCCTGACCTCAGGTGATCCACCCACCTTCGGCCTCCCAAAGTGTTGGGATTGCAGGTGTGAGCCACTGCGCCCGGCCCCAGTTGCATTCAGTGAGAGCATGTGTGATGATACCTTAACTCCTATTTTTATTAACATCTAGTTTGTAAAGGACTACAGAGACACTGTGCTGAGCACCCTGGAAGGGTGGGGCTTGAGCCAGGCTGATGGACACGTGGGAGGACCAGGCTGGGGAAGGACTTGGGGCATGAACTTCTGTCTGGATATAGCACCAAGTGGGACAGGGTCGGGGGTCAGGGAGATTGGATTGGCCAGAGCACAGGAACTTGCAAAGAAATACACAACAGGACATAGGTAGGATAGAGAAGAGGCAAAAATATGTAAGTAGGCACCAGTTAGTGTAGCACATGATTTCATATACTGTATATACTTTAATTTAATCATAGCAACCATGTGAGAAGAGTACTATATCTTGACTTTCAGTTGAGGATTAGGCCCCAAAAAGGCTGCTGATACAACAGTACTTAATTTCAGGTGGGGCTAGGGACAGTGGTTCCCCAGCCTCTGACAGGGTTCGTCAAAGATTATTTATTTGCTTAATCTGAGCTACTTAGTGGTAAAGCCTAGATTCCATCCACCTTTTGTCTCCAGGCCTAGTGAATGCTCTTTTCATTTTACCTCACCTACCTAGTTACTACCATATTAACTTGCTAAAAATATTCTATGAAATGGATTCTATCTGCAAATAAATGTAAATAATATATGTGTCTTGCTGAAGAAGAATAAAATAAGCACTTGCGGCCCCACCACTCAATTTAAGGCATAGAATATTACCACCGCTATCGAAGGTAGCGTGAAGGTCACCCTTCAGAGGCGACCATGATGCTGAAATGTCTGCTGATGACTCCTTTACCCTTTACAATGTTGCCACATACATCTGCTGAATAATTTCCATTTGCCCCTTCAGCTCCGTCTCCAGGCTTCTCCATACTGCCGTGTGTCCCATGAGGCTGGCCCATCTGGACTGCACCAGGGAGCTCCCTTGATCCTTGGCTTCCTGGTGGGTTTGGCCAAAGTGAAACACTGACAGGAAAGCAGAGGATGAGAATGAGGCCAGGGTGTCTGCTCCCCTGCTCCCTCTCTGCTGGGGCACCCACCATGAATCGGTGGCATTCATCTACCGAGGTCACTCTTGGTTCTGGCAGGTAGCCTTCTCCACCCTGCAGCCCTTTCCATGCCCTCCCCAGCTCCTTCAGGTCTAGTGATGGTAAAGCTTCCTGGCTGCTCTGCCAGCCCTAGGGTGCTGAACCATTCCCTGGTGGTTTCCCAAACCTAGTGTTTCTTAATCATTTTTAAAAATCATGACTCCCCTAAATACCCTTTTCAGACTTTTTCCCCCAGTCATCTCCCTGCCATGAAATTTTAATACCACACATATACCGTTGATCTATTTATGTACTGTAGATATCTTTGTGTTTTATATTTGACAAGAATACTATATTTTGCTCACTAAGAAGCAATTTCACCCCTTGAGGGTGATACTGCCTTATTAGGAATGTATACCCTAACCCAACTTATATTTTGTAGTTCCCTCTAATACATTCTATTTAGTCACCCATTTCCAGTGTGCTATCTCTTTCTTGCCAAGACACTAACATATATAACAATATGTTATGCAACATATTGTTATAGTATATATATTAGTTAAACATATAGTGAATAATATAACAATATACTGTGTCCATAAACAATATTTTAGTTCTGTCAGGTTTTTATCTTTAAGTGAAGGAACACAGTATATTTTTCTTTTTCTTGGCCTTTGTCAATATTTGTGAGATTCACCCATATTGAAGCATGTAGTTATTGTTCATTTTTACTGCCATATGGTATTGCATTGGATGAACATATACAAATTTACAAGTTTGTTTAGTGGTGGGGATGGATATTTGGGTTGGTTATTTTGAACACATGGCACAAAACATTCTTGTACGTATCTTTTGGTAAAGACATAGATATACATATACATAATATACACCTACATATACATATACAGAGTCTCTAGGGTACCAACCTGGGAGTAAAATTGCTGTATTGTAGGGTATGCCTATTTTTCTCCTTACTAGAAAATGCCAAATTGTTTTCCTGTAATGATACCAACTTATTTTCATACCAATAGGATTTGAGAGTTCTGGTTGCTCCACATTCTTTCCAGCATTTGTTATTGCTGGACTTTTTAAATTTTTGCCTGTCTGGTAGGTATGGAAAAGGTATTTCATTGTAGATTTGATTTTCGTTTTGCTTATTACTGATAGGTTGAGCATCTTTCCACTTCTTCACTGCCCATTTGGTTTTCTTTTCTGTGAATGCCAGTTTGTGTCTTTTGTCCACTTTCCTATTGCAGTGTTTCATTTTTTCTTATTGATTCATTGGTTTCCTTCATATATTCTAGATGTTAACCCTTTGCCAGTTACATAAACTGCAAATAATTTTTCCCAGATTGTGGCATGTCTTTTCACTATTTTAAAAATGAATTGTGATGAATATACATTTAAAATTTTAATGGAGAAAATGTATTAACCATTTCCTTTCTGGTTTGTGTCTTTTGTGACTTATCAGAGACATTCTTTCCTATGCTGAATTCCTAAAGTTTTTCTGTAGTTTCTTTTAAAAGATATTTAAAATTGTGCCTTTTACATTTAAGTTTCATTTTTTTGTATATGGCAGGGATTCATTTTTTTTCATATTCATGGAAACCAAGTTTCCAGTGTCATTCATTGAATAGACTATCAGCCCCGTTGCCCATCTTTCTTTCTTTCTTTCTTTTTCTTTCTTTCTTTTTCTTTCTTTCTTTCTTTCTTTCTTTCTTTCTTTCTTTCTTTCTTTTCTTTTCTTTCTTTCTTTCCTTCCTTCCTTCCTTCCTTCTTTCTTTCTCTTTCTTTCTTTCTCTCTTTCTTTCTCTTTCTTTCTTTCTTTTTTTTAACAGAGTCTCACTCTGTTGCCCAGGCTGGAGTGCAGTGGCATGAACATGGCTCACTGCAGCCTCAACCTCCCCAGCCTCAGGCAATCCTCCCACCTCAGGCTCCCAAGAAGCTGGAACTACTGGCACCCACCACCACACCTAGCTAATTTTTGTATTTTTTGTAGAGACCGAGTTTCACCATGTTGCCCAGGCTGGTCTTGAACTCCTGGGCTCAAGCGATCCACCCCCACCTCAGCCTCACAAAGTGCTGGGATTACAGGTGTGAGCCACCACGCCCAGCCCCGCTTGCCCATCTTTACTGCCTCCTCTGCCACGTGTTTATAAATATGTGGGTCTGTTTCTAGGCTCTCTTATTCCACTGGTGTATTTTTATGTCCCTGCACCAACAACACAGTTCCTATTTCTTTTTTTTTGTTCTTTTTTGTTTTTGAGATGGAGTCTCGCTCTGTCACCCAGGCTGGAGTGCAGTGGCATGATCTCGGCTCACTGCAACCTCTGCCTCCTGTGTGCAAGCAATTCTCCTGCCTCAGCCCCCTGAGTAGCTGGGACCACCGGCACGTGCCACCACGCCCAGCTAATTTTTTGCATTTTTAGTAGAGGCGGGGTTTCACCGTGTTTGCCAGGATGGTCTTGATCTCCTGACCTCATGATCTGCCTGTCTCCACCTCCTAAAGTGCTGGGATTACAGGCATGAGCCACCGTTCCCAGCCCACAGTTCCCATTTCTATAGCTTAGAAATAAGTCTTGATATCTGTCAGGATAAGTCCTTTTTTCTTCTTTAGAAGTATCTTGTCTATTCTTTGCTGTTAACTCTTCCCTGTGAAATTTTTTAAATGATTTATCAGATTCCAAAAAGGGCCTGAGCAGGCAGTGTCATGGGTAAACAGCAAGGGCAGGGATGAGCATCTACGTGCAGATCAATAATGCCGGTGCAGCAATGCTGGGGCAGAGTAGGGGCCAGACCATGCAAAGCAGTGTCAGAGACCACAGCACGTCTGCAGTCCAGGGCAAGGCCACCCCATGTAGGTAGGCTCAGCCAATGTCAAAACATGATGGGTGGCAGTCTCTGCTTACTATTATCCTAGTGGCCCAAGGACATCACAAAGGTACTAAACCTTTATCATAAGCCTCCTTTGGGAGGTTTATTAAGGAAATGGAATTATTTATTCTGAAATTGGAAAAAAGCTAGGAAGGACTTAATTGTTAAATATTACGCTAGGCTAAGAAGATAAGTGAAAATGGAAAAGAGGCCAGATTTGGGAATTCAGACTCACAGGGATCAATTAGTATCACAAAGAGACAAACCTAGCTGAATCCATAGCTCCAGCCTGCTTTTTCCCAAAGGGAATTTAGGTGGTTTCAGTACAAATCCATGTTCATTACTGGGGTTTATTTTAGTTGTTTGGTTTTGTTGTTCATTTAAGATAACACTTATTGAGCTTTTACTATGGGCTGGGCTTTCTTCTAAGCATTTAATATGTATTAACTTATTTCCATGCCCCCTGCCAACCCAAATCAACTCAGAGTATGTATCCAACAGATGATTGATCGGTTGGCATATTTCCCATAGCAATAAATCACTGAGGAAAGGTGAAGAATTCCCTTTATGTGTAGACCTTTGACAACCACTCCTCAAACTGGGCTTTTGAACATTTTCCTTGCGGATCTTGTTTATTTGGCCTGAATGGAAAAATGTAAAGCTAGGAGTCAGGTTATATCATTTAAAAACAAAAACCAGACAGGATCATGGTGACCATATCTTCTCCGAGGGGAGGCAGGCAGAAGGAAGGGGATGAGCAGGAAGATGAATATTCTACAACAGACTGGGAGGAGTAGCCATTCTATCCTCCACAGAGGTTTCTTGAACAAGGAAGACTTGGCCCCTTGCTGCGGGCCAGGAAGTCCATGGTATCAGATGCCAAGCATTGGCATCAAGGAATTCCCAACAAGAAGGCAGCCGCCTCAAATCCTTTGTGGAGCAAGGCAGGTTATAAATAGATCTATAAATTTTTTTAACCAGAAGGCAACAGGCTTAGCACAGCTATTCTTCCCTTTCAGTTCTCCTCCCTGCATCGCTTTGCCTATTAAATCCCTGCTACCAGGCAGAGCCATCTGCGTGTCAGCCAATCCACTGCCGCAGCCTCAGGAGAGCCAGGATGGAAACTGGCTTCTATTACGACTTCAGGTTGTGACCTTGCTTGTGGAAAAAGTAAATCTTCCTATCTTACCTCTGGCTAATTGGGCAGGAGGTAGAAGAGACAAGAATTTATTGTACACTTTGCCTCCTGCTGGCTAGAACGCTAATGTAGCCCTTGCAGAGGCAGGCTCTGGTTTCAGGGACAGGCTGAGGAGAAAGAAGCTGTGGGCTGGGTCTCTGGTACATGCAGCCAAGACCTGCTCATGGGGCTTTTAACTGCAAGATTTTAGAAGATGGGTTGTCTTACTGGCCAAGTTATATGTGGCTTGGGGTGTGTGTGTGTGTGTGTGTGTGTGTGTGTGTGTGTGAAAAGAGAGAGAGAGAAGACTTAGAGAAACGGAGAGATTGATTTCATCTCTCCTAACAGATGATGACTTAGAAATTATTTAGCCTATTGAGTCTCCAACCTTGTTGTAGATCAGAACCCCCAGAGGCATGTTAAAGCACAGGTTACTGGGTTCCACCCCCAGAGTTTCTGATTCAGTTGGTCTGGGGCAGGGCCCGATCATTTACATTTCCCATATGCTCCCTGGTGACACTGGTGCTGCCAGTCTGAGGATCACATTTTGAAAACCAGTGATTTAATCTAACCTCCTGATTTCAAAAATGAGGAAACTGAAGCCCAAAAGCCCAACAGTTAATGAAAATACATGCTCAGGCACCCACAACTGGTTACTGGCTAAAGCCAGACTAGAACAGGGACTTCTGGACTCCTAATCTGGTGCTTTCTCCACCACATCCGGCTGGTACCTGGCCAGGATGCCAGGGAGTTGCTATTCTAATAATAAACATGTTATCCTTCATGGTTGAAGATTACCATTCCCTGCATGGTTTCTTCTTCCTCTGCCTTCCCTAGTCCAACAGAGCCCGCCCTGCTGGCTCAGGACAGAAATAGCCTAGCCCAGCCCACTCACCCACCAACCAGTGGGGCTTAGAATCAGGTCATGCCCCACAGCCAGGTGCCTAAGCACCTGGTGTCTATGTTACTGTCCAAGGGTTATTGCTGGTAAATGAATTGGAGATCTGAGGCCTTTGTAGTGACTACTGGGTGTGCATATTGGCCCTGAGTTATATATAGCTCTTTCTACATTCTCCATGTTCTCCTGAGGCTTTGACCTTGATGTTGGACATTTCAGCTCATTATTCTGCCTAGCACCTAAATCCTCTGCTGAGGTTAGAGCTCCACTCTGAATGATGATCCCATGATAGGAGACTCTACTGCTGTTGGTCTTCGTTCCTGAACTGGAGTGTCGGTCTATACCCAAACTTGGTTGCTGAGTCCTGCAGCCCACAGGTCAACCGTCCCTGTGGTATCTGCCCACCCAGAGGCTTTCTGAGCTCCGACTCCCTTTCAAATTCCCTGGGCTATGCTCTGCCTGCCAGATTAGAAACCTCAGGCTCAACCTGGTATGAAATCAAAGCTGAGATTGACCTTGAGATGCTTGTCTACCTGTCACTGGCACTTCCAGGGCCAACTTCTGCACTGGATCACTTCCCCAGCCCCACCTCACCCTGGCCACATGCCTTCATCTGCCAGTGAGATCTAGCACAAAGATGTCCTGCAGAGGACAAGTGCTTCAAGTGATTTTTTTCCAGCATGGGGAAGGAGTACACTAACCTGTCTGTTGTAATAGTTTGCAGGTCTCTGTCGATATGGGAGGTGGTCATCTGGAAGGAGACAAAGGGTTGGCTCAATTGTTCTGCATAAATAATTGGTAGATACTGGAGGTAATGGAGAAAATACAACAGAGAATCTTGGAGAAGATTGGAGCAGTTTGAATGATACAGGTGGCTGGAACATAGATGGGGAAAGCAGAATAAAAAATTTGCTATGTGGAATAGCCAGAGGACTTTCGCCGCTCAATTTTAATTTGTCCACTGTAGAACAATATGACCTCCTTATTGCTCCAAATCTTGATACATTTGTATAGCTTTTGTGGTGGTGGCATGTGTTGGGGGGGAAGGTGAAAGAGCAGGGCCATATATAGAAGTGTGGCTTGCTCCACTCACCTCTGCTGAGACCTACGTGTAGCTAGCAGCATTGTAACTTGGTTCTAGGTTGCACTTTGCTAGTTCTAGGTGGTGAACCTGGAGGAGTGAGCAGTGGCTGGAAATGGGGCTGGAAGAGGAAGCAAGGAGAGCTTAATGCAACTGGCAGCTGGCAGATGGGTGACTTGAATAGATGCATGAAACATACACCTAGTTTGCTCTAGTATGTTTGCCAAACATACTAGAGGCTTCAAAGGCAACTCTTAGATGACAGTACTGGATAATTCTGGAATTTATTGTCAGCACACTCTAGCCATTTGAGAGAACTAGCCTGATGTGAGACATAGATTTTCTTTCTTTCTTTCTTTCTTTTTTTTTTTTGAGACGGAGTCTCCCTTTGTCGCCCAGGCAGGAGTGCAGTGGCACAGTCTCGGCTCACTGCAACCTCCGCCTCCCAGGTCCAAGCGATTCTCCTGCTTCAGCCTCCCGAATAGCTGGGATTACCGGCACCCACTACCATGCCCAGGTAATTTTTATATTTTTAGTAGAGACGGGGTTTCACCATGTTGGCCAGGCTGGTCTCAAACTCCTGACCTCAAGTGATCCACCTGCCTCAGCCTCCCAAAGTGCTGGGATTACAGGCATGAGCCACCGCACCCAACCGGTAGATTCTCTTTCATTTAGATCCAATTAACTTGGAATCTGTGCTTCCTTGGTCAGAAGTTTGGGGGAAATAATCTTTTGTCTTGTCTATGAAGAAACAAATCAGAAGTAGAAACAAAGTGAGAGGGAGAAGGTTTAGATTTTGTAAAGGAACAGGTCAGTACTTTTCCCATACTAACAAAGTGTTTATTGCCCTAGAAAAATAATTTGCAATAAATCCATCAATAGTTTACAGGAATGTATGGGTTTTTAAAATGTGAAACCCTCAATCCTTTTTTGAAATTTGGTTTGAGGACAGTTCTAAATTTCTTCCTAACCCCTTTCTCTCCCATAACTTTCATCCCTTTATTTCTCCCAGCCAGGCCTTCCATGGTGTGGAAATGATATGGAAAGTCAGGTTGCCATTTTTTGTAAGGCTCCCCACAGTATCCTGGACGAATTTTCTTTCTCCTTTCCAAATAAGCGTCGATCATTGGACTGAAGTGGATGGTTGAGATGTTGCAGTGGGAATAAAAGGAGGTGGCGAGAACGTTCTTGCCTAAACCATTCCCCTTCCTTTGTTCCCAGCCCAAGGGCTGCTGGACAGTGTCTCTCAGAGTACACCTTGGTCCTTTTCCTGAGAAAGACAAACTTGGAAGTGACTAGCAGGTCTAATTATGCCTCTATGGAATCCAAATGCTGGAAGGAGACAAAGAGAAGTCTGGAGGCCTCCGACTGGAGAGAGAGCCTGATGGATTAAATCCAAGCTTCGCACAGTCCCAAAAAGCTGTCAGGGTGCCTGGGCAGCGTGGAGCCGATCTGGACGATGCATTCCAGATGGCCCGCCTTCCTTCTTTAGGTTTGGGGCCAGTTGGAGCTCCCGGGCGGTCTCCTAAGGTAGCCCCCCAGAGAGCTCGGGGCAGCTGTCCAGATGGGAGGAACCAAAATAAGAATCACTGTGGCAGGCTTGGAATTGGAGGAAAGCCCCCACCCCCCAACTTTGTGTTGAACATCTGGATATCATTTTTCAGACTTTTAAAAACACTAACTCTACTCTGTGAAATACAGCCAATTCATTTCTTTAAAAAAAAAAAAAAAAAAGCACTTGGGGAACATTCTAGGCCAAGCAGTTGCCCCAAAGTGGATCCAAATAATTTTGGGCTATATGATATAGTGGAGCTCAGAGAAAAGCCTCCAAAACTAACAGGCATCTGATCATCACCCGACTCCCCACCTCCCAAATTCACCAGCTGACAATGATGCCACCCGCTACAGGGACTCTAGGGCAATGCCAGGGATTTGCAATATATTTTACTTTTTGGTTTTGTTTAATTTTAGCTTACACAAAATGTACAAGTCAGATGTGGAAGATTGTCTCATATTCAAGGATTTCAGGCTAAGTTATGGAAAATCAGCATGAGACAGAGAGAAGGGACAGAGAGAGTATGTGAGAGAGAGAGGGGGGAGAAGGAACAGACCCACTGAGCCACTTGAAAACTCCACGGTCTGTAAACCTGCTCTGGCCATGACAGAATTCTTTATTGTGAAGACAGGTCTACTGGCCTGCAGGTCCCTTGCAACCACGTGGCTGAATGGTAACCTGAACTGAGTCAGCCAACTGCAGCCCCTTCTCCAAAGGCCCTGAGGGGAGGCGAGAGGCAGGAGCCTCTACCCCAAGAGTGCCCATGGTCAAAAAGGAGAGAAACCCTTCCTGCTCTTAGGAAATCCCAACTTATGAGGCATAGGTAGGTCCTAGTGCTGGCAAGCTTTTGGCTTACCAGAAAAGAATAGTCACAGAGCACCATGTGCTAGAAAGTTCCAAGGGAAAGGAGTCTAAAAATATTGAGCAGACACAGTGAAGGAGTGAACAAAATAGGTCAGGTTTATTTGGAAGGAAAAAGGTTGCTAAAAGAGAAAACCCTTTCCAATCCAATAGTCATAAACAAAGGAAGCCCAGGTACAGATCTTGCCCAGCCATTCCAATTTCAATTCTGTGGCTGTTAGAATTCTACTTCAGTGAAGCTATGCGGACACATATCTAGAAAGTATGTGTCAGGAAATGAAAATCTGACACATCCTGTCAATTCTCCAAGTGTACCTTGATTGAGGAATAGAAAATATTTGGCCTAGTCTACATTCGTAGAAAATAACACCCAATACACAAATATCTACTGTAACTATGTATCATTGTACGAAAACAAGCCATGAATAATCACATACATAAGTCTATAGACTGTAAACACGTGGTGATACATCCTTATGCAGCATATCCATGCACTCCCAACTGCCCGATCTCACTGTGTCCTCAGGAGTCACAAGAGCATCGTTATCCCTATCATTCAGAGACCTAATTCAACCCTGGTTCTCCGGATGGTTCAGCATGCAGATCTACAGCCTTAAGGCTTAGACCTTTGCCTGTCTTGACAAGGGCTTTTCTGAGCTGCCAAACAATTCCCTGCTATATGCCAAGGTATTATTAATTAATGTTGATCCCGCTTATGGCAGCTCTGCTGTGAAATGCCAGCCCTGTTAATAGCTCAACGTTGGGCTCATGTCGACTTGGAGTTATAACTCAGGCCTAACCTTTATTTTATCTCCTTTTACGATAATAGAACACTGGAAGATTCTCAAATGCTATAAACAATACTCTTCTGAAACTCATCCACCTCGTGGTAGCAGAAGCACACCATGAGCACCAGCCAATCTTCCTGAAATTATGTTGTAAGTGACAGGCATGCAAGGAAATGACAGGTAAATTTTACTTCCAGACATAAAGGAGAGTTTTTGGTATTCTGTTCCAGACCAGAAAACGTACGTGGTGGAGAATTTCCTTGGACTGGATGTTTCTTGCTCACTTGAATTTTAAGAGAAACTTTCCCAAGGGGTCCAGACAAGTGCTGTTTTGCTCTAAGTCTCTGTATGCAGCAACATTGGTTGTTTTCATCATACCTATACCTGGTAAGCGGCAGCATTGCTCTTCTGCATGATATTAGTACTTTCCTACTGTGGTTGGACTTCTCCCCTTGCGACTCCTGCTTCTCCACGATGTGATGCAGGTTGAATGAAGGAGCATGGGGCTCTCCCAATCAGAGACACCTAAGACTGGCCCCAAATCACCTTGCCCAGGGAACAGAAGAAGCAGATGCCTACGGTGTGGAGCAATGCCCCACATCTGCGCAATTCTAAATTCCATGGCCACTCAGTCTTCATTTCCTTTCCTGAAACTGCCTGTGAGCTCTAGTAAGATGGAGACTCCAAACTTAGAAAGCAGATGCCTGGGGAGGTACTCTGTGCAGAAACTGGAGTCCCTGAGGTTCTGCCTCCTAGGGTTTGGCCTGGATTTTCTAGGACAACTCACTGCACTGGGGAAAATGAGCTCATCCGGTCACTGATCAGACATATGTCAGTGACTGATCAGGAGTGTCAAGGACAATTCCCCAGAAAATGGCTGCTGCTCCCTGTGGCTTTGGTGGCAGTGCCACACAGATGGGTCAATCTACCTGGTAGCCTTCTCAAATCCACAGAATGTAAACACCAAAAGAAGCCACAGGCCCTGGGACCTGCATAGGAAATGTCTCAGCAGGCATCTGACCGGATTGGAGTCAGCAGAGGAGAATCTGTCAAAACAAATCCTGTTTTGGAAATGCAGGGCTATTCTGGTAGGGTCCATCCCAGGACCTAAGAGGGGAGGAAAATTGGCTAAAAAGAGCAAGACTCACCCAAGAAGCTGTGATGGAGGCACACCCGTGCTGCCCTGATGGCTGGCTGGCACTGTAGATGAGTTCCAGATAGGTTACTGGCAAAGAAAAGAGCACTTCTTCCTGCTTTGCATCGGCAACCTGTGCCTGGATTATGAGCTGCTGGAGCAAGGGTAGACTGGAAGGACACCAGGAGGTTTCTGCTGTCTGATAACATTCCTGGGGCTCAAGGAATTCTTCCATCCAGTCTCCTACTTCCAGGAGGCTTCCTCCCCTGGTTTCTCCCCAGGTACCATGATGGGCCTTTCCTTTGATATAGAGCAGCTATTTCCACACTGTCTCTGTCCATGCCTCCATCTGTGAGAGTTTGTTGTATTCTTGGTTGACCCAGGTGATCACAATCGCCTGTTACTGACAAATTAGATTACCATGCAATAAGTACTCTAAGCAGAAGGTACATATGTTTGTTGTTACCAAGAATGTCTAACTTAACTTTAATCCATAACAACTCGTGTTAGGGGAAATGGCATACCAGTTTTCCTTTTCAGAGAGTTTTCTTTATCATTGTTCATTTTATCTTTGTACCTCTTTGGACCATGTAGAGATTAGTCAAATTACCTGCATTTGACAAACGAGAACAATACAGCCCCATAGTGACTTGTCTGAAGAAGCCCAGAGAATTGGTGACAAAGCTGACATCTGGTCTCCTGATTTCCATTCTGGGATTCTTTCTACTGATCTTTCTTATTTCATTTATTCAATGTACCAACTCAAATGAAAACGTGCCTACTACATGGCATGGAAGAAACAGGCTTCTTGTCTTATCTCGCACAGTCTGCCCACGCAAACCATC
Source organism: Homo sapiens (assembly GCF_000001405.40). Taxonomy (NCBI): domain Eukaryota; kingdom Metazoa; phylum Chordata; class Mammalia; order Primates; family Hominidae; genus Homo; species Homo sapiens. The sequence goes on from NC_000002.12 coordinate 46,670,180, forward strand.
TGTCCAGCCAAACCAAAATAGCACTGTGCTTCCAGCCTCTGCACCCTGGCTCCTGCCTTGTCGCTGGCTTGAACCACCCTCCCCCAACTCTCTGCTTAATGAAACTTAATCATCCTTTAATCCGAAGCTCAACTGTCCTGTCTTCTATATTGCCTTCCTGATTATTACAGCAGGAAGTAATTTCTCTTGCTCGAAATGCAGTTAATTAAAAAAATGGGCGACTTTGGTGCCATCATACTCTGCCTTGGATTGTAGTGTTTTGTTGGTGAATTTTATCTCCCCAAGTAAGCTGTGGGCCTGAAGAAGGCAGCAACTGTATTTCACACATCTTAGTATTCCTCACAGTCTTGCGTATGATGTAAGCTAAATATTTATTGAATGAGTCAATGAAAGTGATTTTCAGTGTTGAGAGCTGAATTCAGAACCCCACAATCTGATCTCCATGTTTCTTCTACCAAGTCATTCTGAAAGCAATGCAGTTTCTACTATGATTTGCCTCTTTGTAAGCCAATCACGGTTGAAAATAGGCTGTTTCATATGGTGCAGTCTAACCCAATGCATATGGAACTGTTTGGACAGAATAAAATAGTTTAAATGGCTGAGCTTGAAAACTGAACTTCCTGTGCTGTTGCTGGCTAGCATTAAATGCGTATCCCCTCCCAAGAAGGCCTCCTTCTTTCATAAACTTGTATTAGTTCTCACCAGGAGTAGTGTGAGAATAAAGTATAGTGGTCGTTGGGGTGTATCCATGGACCAAATGAAGAGGAGAATGAGGGAGTGACCTGGTGTTGTGTCTTCCGTCAGTCATCCATTCACTATTTCCATAAGCATTGACTAAGCGTGTTCTGTCACTGGCCTAGATGATGTGAATACAGAAATAACACAAATCTCTATAGAGTCCCAATCTACTGATCATCTGTGGCCACGGCAAAGAATTTAAGTAAAATTCTCAAATTTACTGGATAATCGTTCTTACTCTTCTTTTTGCTTCAGCTGAAGAACTGAATTAAGGGTGGAACTCCAGGCACCATTCTGTAAATGAAACATATACTGAAAATGGAAACAGTATACTGAATCAATCTGTATACTGATATGTAATAAAACAGATAATATGCTTACTAGGAGCCTCTCAGGAAGCTGTTTGGGGTAGCAATGGAACGCTGAGACTTCCAAGGGCCTGCTCAAGTAACCACAGACCTTCCCTTCACCTACCTGCCTTCAAAGAGGGCTGGGGGTGTTGGTTACTGCTATTGTCACATTCTGCTGAGCAGAGGGTACAAGTTTGAGTCAGAGCTGAATTGTTGAAGCCAGTGGAGAAGAGGCCCATCCTATCCTCTTTCCTCTGTGCTTATCAGGCTGTCTTTAAATAAATCATAAGCGTATATTTAAAGAATATGGGCTGAAGCAATACTAAATTGGCCTACACAGACAGCTGTCTGTCTTCGTCTAGCCTTGATTATCTGTATCCATTTACTTCAAAGGGAATGAAACATTCCCTGGGCAGTAGCAGAAGCCACAGAGAAACTCAGGTGTCTTAACCAAGTCTGGCATCCTATGCATTAATATCCCATTGCTAATAGTAATTCATCCCATTTGTTTATTTATTAATGACAGTTATATGCATTGCTCAGATAACTTCCTCATCCAAATTAAATATTAGCATATTAGGTCAACAACATCAGTCTTCTGAAGGTGATATCTCTCTGAAGTACAAAAGGGATTCAACAAATCAAGCAAAGACCTGTAGCCTACTTCCTACCAGGCATTTTCCTAGGTACTGTGACACTTAGTTCATTCAGAAGACTACCGTGATAGACAAGCTAAGAAATGTCTTTGTGGAAGAACAAAAATAATCTTCAGTACATCATCTTTACAAAAGTGTAGACATATCCTAAACAGCTCTATCTCCCTTTAACAACTCATTGTGAGTACTTTATCCATGCAGTTATCTGAATCCCTTCAGCATGTATTCTGTTCATGTCTCTAGCACTGCTTGGTATGATGAATGTATAACTCAAAGAGTACAGTAGAATTTCCTTCTATATGTTCTAAAATTACTTCTTTCAACATGCAAGTGCTTCTTCTCCCCTTCAGTTTCAGTGCTGCATAATCTGGTGAACCACTCCTGATTACATAGTATATAAACTTCATATTTTCATGAAATGTAATCATGTTCCTATTCGGTCTTCCTTCCAAAATGCTTTATACCCTGCAGTAAGCCATCAGTCCTTAAGTCATTTTTGAGGCCATCCTGAAAATTTTCTAGCTCTTCATGTTTTTACTGATGTGTGTGGTTGACAAAAGAGTAGGCAATAAACACACAAATGTAGACAGTGTGAATCCGTATATATTTAGGTTGATGTCTCCATGATTACTTAATAATACATAGGTCAGTATGTCATACAATCATTTATCATTAATTCATGTTTCTGATCCAGACACATTTTTGCTATATGAACTTCCTTACTGCAAAAACAAACAAACAAATAAAACAGCCCTAATGTAACAGACACCTGTTTAGCACATTCCTTTAAAACTCCTTGCTGTTGTTGCATTCTCTTCCCTGATTTTGGTTTTCTGTGTACACTTAAGCACTCATCTATGTACTTAAAACAAACGAGCAAAACAGAGCAAAACATAATATATCCCTCCTTTCCTCCTGGCAAGACACCAAACAACAAGCCTTCTCCTTATTCCCTACATATCCCTTATTTTCTCTTTAACCTATTTCTACTCCCTCCCTAAACTCCATTTTCTCTTCTGGCCTGTAGGGGTTCTTTCTCTTCTTTTTTTTTTCACGTAGTGTATGTTAAAAACATAACAAAAAGAAAAGACTGCTTATTCCCCAGCTAATGCATAGCTAATGCATAGCTAATGCAATGAGGAGTGAATAGATCTGTTAAGCCACATAAATTTTAGCAATCAACAGTATCTTCTGTGCATGGAACTTAAAAATATAGCTTTTAGCTGGGCGCGGTGGCTCATGCCCGTAATCCCAGCACTTTGGGAGGCTGAGGCAGGCGGATCACTTGAGGTCAGGAGTTTGAGACCAGTCTGGCCAACATGGTGAAACCCTGCCTCTACTAAGAATACAAAAATTAGCCTGGCATGATGGTGGGCCCCTGTAATCCCAGCTACTCGGGAGGCTAAGGCAGGAGAATCACTTGAATCTGGGAATCAGAGGTTGCAGTGAGCTGAGATTGTGCCACCGCACTCCAGCCTGGGTGACAGAGAGAGACTCTGTCTCAAAAAAAAAAAACCTCTTGACATTTCATATTTTATGAATGCCAATTGCAAAAGTGTATTTAGGTAATAATTAACTGCTTTAAAACTAGACTCTACAACATTGGATATGATTTATGATGATGCCTTGGGTGCAGGAAATATATATTAAATACTCGATCGGTCTTTATTCTGATGACTACATGAAAAATATCCCACTATCTTGTAGGTTGTACTTTTTAATGCAGATTTCTGGCGGAAGTTTAGTTAGCTCTGTGAATGTTTTTGATGAATAGATGGGAATCGTGGTGGCCTGGTTAAGAATGGGATGGAGTATTTGGGTTTTCCCTTTTTAGGAGGTAATAGTCCTTTGGTACCATCTAGATGGTCTATGGGCTAGTGTTCTGTAGAATTCATGCAAATATGGGAGCAACGTACATTTAAATAAGTTAATGAGTTCTAGAAACTGATGCTTTTTAATGTTCCACTGGCGTGTCCTCAGAAAGGTTTCATTCGCTGTTGTATGCATTCACTGGAGAAGCTTTAAAAAAGCACATGAAACTTGATAGTAATGGGACTTCAGGGGTCTTAAATCTTTTATTAAACTGGTCCACTCTAAGTACTTTTAGCGTAGTCTACAAAACCATCATTGGCCTAGAACTCCCCAAAGAAAGCCTCTATTGAGTTTTCTTCCTGAATTTTCCAGTGGCAGGTTCAATGCCACAGGGCTGCACCGAGATGTAGGTGGGATCCTCACCTCTAAGTAATCAGGCCACTGAGTAAGTAGGTGGCATTATATTTCAGTGAATTTGAACTAAACAGGAAATTCACAGGAATAATGTTGACCCAAGCATAAGGAAGGAGATTGTTGAATCTAATATTCTAAAATATATAATTTGTCAACAACTGAGAATCCACATATCAGTCTGGAAAGATAAGTCACATACAGAATATTTTCTTTTTGTAACCTAAATATCTGCACTAGTTGACTAGACAATACTGTCAGTTCCTAATTTTAGAGGCCTTGGACTCATTTTTACAGTATAGGCATAAACTAAATATGAGGTTCAAAACAGCTAGCTTTTTTGAGAACATAACTAAAAGTCCCTGTCAGAAGCTGCTTGTTGTTAATGAAAAGCCTGTTGGAATAGAAGAATATAATAAAAACCAACTGTCCTTCTCAGCTGACTTAATTTTTGAAGAAAGCTGAAGAAACACTGACATGTGACCTGTGGTTTGAGAGATTCCCAAATAAACTCCTCGAATGTATTTAGATACAAACTTGACCCTAGGGAGATTTGCAATTTCTGTTTCATAGATATGATGGCTCATGGAAGGATTCATACACATTTTCCTTTGACTGGGACTCTGGAAGTCAGTATGTTCCCCTGTCCTCCATCTGCATTAATCATCTCAGAGCAGCCCAAAAAGATTCTGTAAAGATTCCACAGAATTTACAATCCTACCAGCCCTTTTTTGCAAAGCCCTTTGATACTATTTGCAGACTTTGGGTTCAGAATGAGAAGGCATAGGACATATGGCTTCTTCCTGGAATGTTCATAGTTTTCCTTTTGCTGTTTAGGAATAGGAAGCCTTTATTAATTTAAAGCAAATGTCCACAAGAAGCATATCATCCTCTAAGAAGTTTGGTAATACCTATCAAATTTTTAAATCAGGAGAGGATTCTTGGAAGATGGCAGAGGAGGAAACATCAATGTAAATTTCCCTAGATCCCTTTACAAAAAGAGTAACTAAATAGCAAAGACCACAACTCTTGGAAATATATATGATAAAGCTAGGTGACAGAGTATCTCCATAAACTTCAGAACACTAGCAACAGGGGATGGCCACAAGACCTGCATGCTGTTAACACCTGTGCAGGAAGAAGCAGAGGGTAAGAATAGTGTATCTAAAAGATCTGGGAGCAGGTAAGCTATGAATATGATAGGTATTCATTGGAAGGCACAGTGGGCCGGTGTGATAACAGTGGCTGAATCTGGAGGAATTTCACCCTTTTCAATAGTGGATGAGTGCATGGAGTCCACAGTGAGAAGAACTGAAGGTGGTTGAAGCAATGTAACCCCTATGAACTCTCAAGACTGAAAAGTCAGAGCATCTTTCCAAGGTAGGGCCCCCACACTGAGGAGAAACTTTTGAGAGTAGAACCAAAATTGTGGTTCTACTACTTTTGGAGTCGAACCAAAAATTGGATTAGGATAATAGAGACAAAGGAAGATAAATTTCTGATTTAAAAAGGGGAGAAGAACACAGCCAGACATCTCAGAAAGCTGGCCACTGTGTTTTTGAACACCTCACAAAGGTTACAAAACAGGGACCTCTGTGAAGTTAGCTTTTCTAACTCTGAGCCATGACTTTTTTTTTTTTAAGAGATGGGATCTCACTATGTTGCCCAGGCTGGTCTTGAACTTCTGGATTCAAGTGATTTGATTTTCCTGCCTTGGACTCCCAAAGTGCTGGGATTACAGGTAAGCCACTGCACCCATCCTGATCCATGTCTTTTAACTAAACATGCCCCCAGATAAAAATTTAGGAACACTAATTTTACATAGAAATGAACAACAGAAAAGGATCCAGGTTAAATCCCATACAAATTTTATTAGAAAAAAGAGAATAAGGAGCTCAATAGGGCAAGTCCTCAAATACTAAATAAGATCAAAACTGTAACCTACCGTTTCAAAATGAAATGAAAGACACTAGGAAAGTTATATAACATACGAAAGAATAACACAAATCAAAATTAGAAAAGCTCAGAAATGAGGCAGAACTCAGGAAAGACTTACAAATAAAAGAAAAATTTAGTTCAAAAATACTAAATAAAAAGGAACAAAAGAGCAAATAAATACAACAAATAATACTTTAAAATACATACCAGGCAAAAAGGAGGAAAATCTTTAAAATCCATATGAAATGAAGAAAGAAGTAAAAAGATCCAAGAGAAAGTGAGAAATATCCATGGTAGGCAAAGAAGACACAACATACAATAATAGGAGTCTCTGAAGAAGAAACTCAAAGCATGGGAACAGAATAAATATTTTTAAAAGGAATATTCAGGAAACTTTCCTGAAATTAAAAAGATACCTATCTATCTATCTATCTATCTATCTATCTATCTATCTATCTATCTAAAACTATGTGTAGAAAGAGCACACCATGTACCTGAGAATTGACTTAGAGTGATGAACCAAGACATATTCTAATAAAATTACTGAATATTTAAAAAAAGGAAAAAGTCTTTTGGTATATAGTTCTAAAAGACAGTGACTTGTAAGGGAAAGAAAATTAAGTTAGCATCATATGTTTCAACAAGAACACTTATGTCTAAAAAAATGGAGTAACATATTTAAGATTCATAAGAAAATATGATCTGAGGATTTTATATGTGGAAAAACTGACTTTCAGTTACAAATAATACAAACTGCTATCAATATGCAAGAATTCAGGAAATATTGTTCTTGTGAACCATTCCTGTGTATCTACTGGAAAACAAACTTCAGAATGACTAGAGACACATCAATGTAAAGACTCCTGGTGAGCATTAAATATGTAGAATTAAGATTAAGGCCAGGAGCAGTGGCTCACGCCTGTAATCCCAGCACTTTGGAGCCCAAGGTGGCCAGATCCCTTGAGCCCAGGAGTTCGAGACCAGGCTAGGCAACAAGGCGAAACCCTGTTTCTTAGAAGAAAAAAAAAAAAAAGATTAAGTGAGGGATAAAAGAGATCAAGTATTATGTGTAATGGCTACATACTCTGACAATGTAGATACAGTAAAATTACTCTTAGAAAATAGAGGCAAATGCGGAGAGCAAATTAAAAAATGTATCTCTTAATAATTAAAAAATTTTTATTATAATTTTATTACAATAGAGACAGGGTCTCATTATGTTGCCCAGGCTGGTCTCAAACTCCTGGGTTCAAGCAGTCCTCTCACCTTGGCTTCCTAAAGTTCTGGGATTACAGGCATGAGCCACCACACCTGGGCATAACTCTTAGTAATCATATTGGTTGAGGTACTGCAGCATTGTTGTTTTGAGCCTGTTGCATTTATAAAAACCAATGAGACTAAATTTGAATTGGAATATAAAAATGAATTCAAAAGCTATTTTATATTTAAAAACATATAGGTATTTTTGGGCTGGCTACCGTGGCTCACACCTATAATCCCAGCACTTTGGGAGGCCAAGGCAGGTGGATCACGAGGTCAGGAGATTGAGACCATCCTGGCTAATATGGTGAAACCCCATCTCTACTAAAAATACAGAAAATTAGCCAGATGTGGTGGCACGTGCCTGTAGTCCCAGCTACTCGCGAGGCTGAGGTAGGAGAATCGCTTGAACCCAGGAGGTGGAGCTTGCAGTGAGCAGAGATCGTGCCACTGCACTCCAGCCTGGTGACAGAGCGAGACTCCATCTCAAAAAAAAAAAAAATAAATAAATAAAATAAAATAAATAAAATAAAATAAATAAATAAATATATATATATATATATATATATATATATATATATATATATATATATATGGAGAGAGAGAGGGATTTTCTAGCTCTGGCCACTGAAAAGGCTTAGAAACTGTAACTAACACGGTAATGATGAACATGTTTAGTGCCTGGATTTTGGTTTTGAAATACTATTTCCCATGAAAAGAAATCAGGGTTTGTTGGAGAAATGACAGATTCCAGGTCTGGGGTGTGAGATGCACAAGATGAGCCTGGAATATCTGGTCATGTCAGATAGCAAGGCAGCTATCAAAGGCTACTACAGTCAAATCAAAAGGATTCAAGTGCCAGTGGGAAAGGCTCTCACTATCCAAAGATGGGTCAAATTGAGCTGCAATAAAGATAATGATTGCAATGGCTTAAAACCCATAAAATATGTTGAATGCATGTGTTAATACATACATATGTGAGATCAGGATAACTAAAATGAAAGGTCACCTTTGTAGGATGATAGGAAAAATTCATTGTCTTGAAAACTGGTAAATAAAATCAAGCTTTTACTTTGCCTTTCCCATCTGAATTGTACCACTGATTAAACAAATAATAGATGAAGGGAAGTATCTTTTTATAGAACTATTCCAACTAGTAAATGAAAAAGAAATAATGGAATTGGAATATTCTATAGCCCACAATAAATTAATAAATCCAGACATTGAGCATTGATGTCTGCTAATGTCATGAAGAGAGACAACCAGATGTTGTGTGCCCTTAGAGGTACCACCCATCACTGTCTTGCCAAAGGAATCAAACCTGAGTCTGGTTAAGCCTCTGAATCCAGCTGGCAGGTTGCAGGAAATATGTAAAAGACAGAAAAATGTGTTGAACTGCATCAGGAGTAAGCAACCAGCCCCATCCAGACTGCAGGAAACTCTAGGCCAAATGCTCTAGGTACTTCAACAGATAAGTTGCATGGAAAAGAAAAGTTTGAAGAGGAAAACTGTAGGTTTAAGAGATGTTAAGGACATATCAAAGTTTTCAAAAATGGACAAAACTGAACTACAGTGTTTAGGGATGCCAATTGGGTGATAAACCACACACACACAAAAATAGAAGGAAGTGATTTCTGTAGATGTCAGTATAGTAGTTACTTATAGGGGAGGGAGACAGTTGCGTTCACAGCAGAGCACTTGGAGAACTTCTGGCTTCTTATGTGGCGGACAAAAGTTCTGTTTTTGGCTGGGTGCGGTGGTTCACACCTGTAATCCCAGCACTTGGGAGGCTGAAGTGGGCAGATCACTTGAGGTCAGGAGTTTGAGACCAGCCTGGCCTGCATGGTAAAACCATCTCTACTAAAAATACAAAAATTAGCTGGGTGTGGTGGTGGGAGCCTGTAATCCCAGCTACCTGGGAGGCTGAGGCATAAGAATCCCCTGGACCCAGGAGGCGGAGGTTGCAGTGAGCTGAGATTGCGCCATTGCACTCCAGTTGGCCAGGTGCCGTAGCTCATGCCTGTAATCCCAGCACTTTGGGAGGCCGAGGCAGGTGGATCACCTGAGGTCAGGAGTTCAAGACTAGCCTGGCCAACATGGCGAAACCTCGTCTCTACTAAAAATACAAAAATTAGCTACGTGTGGTAGTGCGTGCCTGTAATCCCAGCTACTTGGGAGGTTGAGGCACAAGAAATGCTTGAAACCTGGAGGCGGAGGTTGCAGTGAGCTGAGATGGTACCAGTGCACTCCAGCCTGGGTGACAGAGTGATACTCTGTCTCAAAAATAAAATAAAATAAAGTAAAATAAAATAAAATAAAATAAATTGATGTTATCTTTCCAGGCAATGAGTTTTTTCAATCTCATGTTTTATTTAAAAACTTTGAGAGTAATTTAAGAACCACCTCAGACTCTGCTTTATGATTTTATGCACTTGTTAGGGATTTTCTGTACTCCTCTGCTTTTCTCCATTGTTCACATTCTTCTCCCTTGCTTTAGAGCTTTTCTTGATTCTTCCAGCATTTGGTTGGAGTATAAGGATCTACTTGAGTACAATCTCACATTGTTTCCATTTTCAACATTTTTTTTCTGACCAGAACTACATTTTTTAATATTATAGTCATTGCTCTGAAAGCTTGTGCATGACTTCCTTTTATTTCTCATTTAATTAAGAAAGAAGGAATATATTCTACTTTGAGAGGTAGGCCATGTGACTATTTTAGTAGTTTCTATTGGGAGAAGACTATTTGCATTATTTTTTTCGGTAGAAATTTTAGATTACTTAGTTCCTTGAACAACATAAAAAAATCTAGATTTAGAAGGACTTAAATTAGAGGGAGGCTTCCTCCCACCCCCCAAGAATGGCAATTCCTTGGCTATATGGGAGAATTTCGAGGATAAGAGGAAAGAGAAGATTTGGGGTACCACTTTACTTTGTTTTCCAAGTTCTGAGAAAGCCTATTTGGCAAGAAATACAAATTGATCCAAAGATTATTTTGACTGAATCAACAACATAGGCGCTCTAAATTACAAAAAAGAAAAAAAGAATAACAAAACAAAAAACACATTACTTTTCCTCCTGAAAATATTTAAATAGAGAAGCAAGGAACAATAGGAAAATGTTCTTAGAAGAACATGGCAATTTCTGTCTTCTACCCAGAAAAAGATACAAGAGATAATGTCAAATAAGTGCTTTCAGAGTTTAAGCTGGCAGCCCGGGACCTGGGTTTTCACTTCTGCTAAGTATTTTCTCCCTTTCCAACTGCAACACAGTCTTGAAACTACAGAAATATTTTTCTTTTTCTGTTTTTTTTTTTTTTTTTTTTTTTTGAGACAGAGTCTTATTCTGTCACCTAGGCTGGAGTGCAATGGCGCAATCTTGGCTCACTGCAACCTCTGCCTCCCGGGTTCAAGCCATTCTCTTGCCTCAGCCTGGGATTATAGGCACACGCCACCACACCCGGCTAATTTTTGTATTTTTAGTAGAGACAGGGTTTTGCCATGTTTGTCAGGCTGGTCTCAAAACTCCCGACCTCAGGCGATCTACCCGCCTTGGCCTCTGAAAGTACTGGGATTACAGGTGTAAGCCACCACACCCAGCCTACAAAAATACTTTTCACCAATCAAACCATAAAACAGCAACAACAAAAACAACTGTATAAGAGATGTTTTATTTTAAGTTTGTATTTTGCTTTGTATTGTTTGTTTTATTAGCAACTCCCAAAACACACATGGCCCCAGAGAATAAGAGGACCACAGCTGAGTTGCTTTTCAGACATCAGACAGCTGTCCTTGTGGATGAAAGAAACTCCTTTCCAACTTTGAAGAAAATGTCCAGGGATCGGGGAGCAGGCATGTGATATTCTTCAAGGTGCCACCAGCCTTTCTCAATAAAACATCTCCAGTGGGAAAACATGGAACCCAGAAAGGGCTGGTGTGGGAAAAATATGACAAGGATGGCCGGCAAAGTAAACCCATGGTGAATTCAACCCTGAGAAAGCAGATTTCCTGGAGTGTGCAAGCTTTGCTTAGGCTTAGTTTTAATAAATAATAAAGAGACACAATTAAACAAACTAAAGGTGATCTTGCCCCGGATGGCTCCTTAGGATCTTTAGAACATGGCAATTCAATTTAAACGCGGAGCCCCTACTCTGCTGGACTGACAGGAAATTGAACTGTCCAGGTCATGACTCCCGTGTATGAAGTGCAGCTGTCCAGGTCACCCCTGGAACATCTTTCACAACCTTGCTGAGGGCCCTGCTAGGAACCAGGCATCTTAAGAAGCACTAGGTCATCTGGAGGCCCTTCCCATCATTAGTTCACATGAGCACGTCCCAGTCTGCATGGTCTCCTTGGGGTTACCCCTCTGCTATTAAATATTTTCTAGAAAAAAAAAAAAAAGACTCTTTGGCAAAGACCCAGCCTCCCTGAGGCACATACAGCGAGGGGGTACCACCAAGAAGCAGGTGACATCCTTGAGGCTTCTGGATTCACAGACCTTTTTAGTTTAGGAAAATACAGCCCTCCTCAAACCCTATTCTTCTCTGCAGGTTTATTTGAAATGAAAGCCTGGAAGTCCAGCCACAAGTCTCTCCTGAGGCTGAGACACAGAGCCAGCCAGAATGAAAAATGGAAAGGGGAAAATACAGAGAGAGAAATTAAATCAGTATCTCAAAGGTTTTCCTCTTTTTTCTAAAATGAAATTCCTTTCATTTTAGTGTTTATTTTAGAGTTGAGGCAACTGAGACATGGGCATAATGACCAAAGGCACACAACTAGTTACAAACAGTGACACAACCAGTTACTGACACCTACTAGTTACTGACAGATACTAACAGCCAACAATAGCTGGCTCTTTCTATTATACCATGGTGCCTCTTCATTTTTTCTGATTTCCAACCTCTTTTCTATTCTAAACTGCCCTTGTTGATAGGCACTTAAGTCTCTGCACCTACAGTCTTAGACATATTTGGAAACTTCTCTTAAGCATGTTGATCCATCCAGGGCTGAATTATCTGTGATCAAAAGAATTACTCCACCCTGGGGCATATCCAACAAGATGAAAGATTCAGAAATAAATTACATTGTGCTCCATTCTTCCTGGCTCTCAACATCTTCCCGCATAAGAAATCAGTTTCCTGAGAGTCTCCAGGCTCCAAAAGGCCATCCTAAGGGATGAAGGCAAAGTCTCATGGGTCCAGCCACCCACCACAGACATCTCTAGGATGACTTTGGGGACCTGATTGTTCCTGTGGCAATGATGCATGTGGCCTGGGAGTTTTGGGAAAGGTAGGTTCATGAGCTATTTATGTGTAGTTAAGTGTTTGGTCTTTCTGAGCATCAGCTGGCAAGGCCATGTCCTCATCCCACTGCCTCTGAGAGTCACTGCTTAGCTGTGTCTAAGCAATGAGGGGAAGAGGGGGTGATATTGTATCTAACTTTGAGAGTAATCATTACTGTGTCAGTGTGCAAATGACAAGTTCCAGTGGGTAGTGTAGAAGGTTTTCTAGTTATTTTGTCTATTATAGGCATGGTCCAATACTTCCTCTTCCTCTTTCTTTTAATAAAGGACTGCAAGAGAAAAGGATGTACTGTTATGCTTTATAATTCAGGCAGACAATACAGGTATTGGCTAACTTGATTTGCCATGATCAGCTGCCTTTTTTTTTTTTTTTTTTTTTTTGAGACGGAGTCTCGCTCTGTCGCCCAGGCTGGAGTGCAGTGGCGGGATCTCGGCTCACTGCAAGCTCCGCCTCCCGGGTTCACGCCATTCTCCTGCCTCAGCCTCCCAAGTAGCTGGGACTACAGGCGCCCGCCACTACGCCCGGCTAATTTTTTTGTATTTTTAGTAGAGACGGGGTTTCACCATTTTTTAGCCGGGATGGTCTCGATCTCCTGACCTCGTGATCCGCCCGCCTCGGCCTCCCAAAGTGCTGGGATTACAGGCGTGAGCCACCGCGCCCGGCCTCAGCTGCCTTTTTTTTTAAGCCAATCTGGCAGAAAAGAGTTGGACTGTTGTGAGAGTTGTATCGGCCCTTCCATTGCTTTTCTGTCCAATCCATTCATTAGCAGCAGAATAGTCAAGGGACCACATTACTTTACTGTAGAACAGAGAGGTCTGTTGTTGTGAGTGGGTTGACTGGGAACAAAGTTCTATCACTCCAATTCTGATTCTGGATTCTGAAGTCATTGCTAAGTTACTACCAGTCCTCATCTCCACAAATCACTTGGTGGACAATTAAAACTAAGTTAAACAAAGTTGAGCCTACTGAATACAATTTTTTCTTGCAGTCGGGGGCAGAGGTATGGTGGGAAGGGGGGCCAAAACTAGACCTAACCAAATAAGTGAAGAGCAAACAGCCACAGTGGAGGTTCTCATGGTGGCTCGGGTACTTCCTCATGCCCCGCCTCTGCACCTGCCATCTCTCTGCAACCAGAGTCCCTCTGAATGCTACCGCCACAGCCACTCTCTTCTGTCACCCTTTGCTCCCTCCTCACAGATTCCCAGGACTTGCCAGACAGAATTATTGCCTTTTCAAATGATTTAAACCTCCTCTCTCAAGGCTTTCCTCCCCAAATTCTCCACCTCCCCTCAATTCCTCTGACTCCCTTGTACATTCCATATTGTTCTCTTTGTCACTTTCTTTCTCTCTTTTTTACCACTCCCATGTCCAGGTATGCTCGTGTATGGAGAGACAACATTCTACTTAGGTTAAATGATCTCCTTTTCAAAAATGTGGAGTGTATTTCCACAAATCTCAGACACTGAGTAGGTAGGATATTAGAGTTGCAAGAATGTTTGGACAGTAGCAACTTTAAATATTGCTTTTCTGTTTGTGGTTCTTTGAGACATATCCAAACAACTAATGGAAACAATTTTTTTTCTAAGTTTTAAGTAAGCTCTGTTGCTTTGGTGTCAGCAGCCTCTACTGCTGCCTCTTGCCAGCTTTCCACTTGGTAGAAGATGCTTCCTAAAGATGCACTTTGTGAAGTCTCTGCAGAACCAGCATAGACCAAGCCAAATCATGATGAAAATTCTTGTTGTCTGCTCCTTCTCCCAGTGCAGTCCTGTGTTTCCACTTGTTGGAAATATATCTGCCTGTCAATGTCTGAGAACGCCAGCACCTTTTCGATGTTACGAACTCACAGTGCTCCTCTTCCAGAATGCCAGCATTCATAATTTTTAAGCCTCAAACTTTCAAGAAATGGAAGCAATTGAATTACACTGCATTTAAAAGTAGAAATGGTACTATTACATAGCTAGAAATTTCTGTCAGGTATGTATTGGCAGTAACATTATTTATGCTTAAAAAATGAGTCCTTCTAAATTTACATTTGTGTGCCAGTCACAAGTTATGTTTCTAGAATGTTCTTTAGCTTCAAACAACTTTCTTTTTGTCCCAGAAATTCTGATTGCTGTGATACAGAAATTTACAGAAGTTTGAATTGAAACAAAAAGTTTCAAAACTCAGCTGGACATAAATTATATTTATTACTGTGAGGAAAACACTTAGTTGTAACCTCTCTTACAGGAAAGTTTTTGAATTTTTAAGATATGACTAATAACGATTTATGAGGTACAACTTCACAAGGAGAAAAAGGATTTGAGTGAAAACTTTTGGAGGTAAAATAGAAAATCACAAGTGTAACTATAGATGAACTCCTATAGAAATCATCTGCTAACTTAATTGAGCAAGTGAAATCCATTAAACTTTCAAAAATCAAACATGCATGATTGAGTTCTTTTTATTTACCTGCAGAGTTGTTTGTGGAATCTATTATTTTCAAAGCATGCTATCATAACATGGGTTGTCAATAACTTGATTCTAGTAATATGGTAGAAAGGGCATTGAATTAGGAATCAGATAACCTGGATTTTATTTTCACCCTGCTATTTACCAGGTTTGTGACTATGGTCATGTCTCTTCAATACTTTGGATCTCTGCCTTCTCATCTCTTCAACAGGAATAATAAATACCCTACACCTCCTTGCCTCTTAATGTTGTTGTGAGGATCAAATAAGGTCCTAGTTGTTAAATAACTTTGAAACTATAAAGTGCTATACAATATAACACATTCTGCTCATTATTACCTCAGAATTCCTCTCAGATTACATTGCCTCAAATGCATTATTTAGGAAAAGTACAAACTTGAATGCCATATGGAGTCCTTGTTGACACTGCAGATGTTGGTTAATTTTAGATTCTAAAAGAACAAAAGAACAGAAGCACTACCAAGCAAATTAGCCTCTCTTTAGCTTTTTCTTCGAAATCTCATATTATACGAATACCAAACTAAAAATGGCAGGCTAAATATTATAGACAATTACATCATTTGAAGCATTGAAATTCTGTATATCCAAGCCCTTTTGCAGAACATGAGTTTATTCCCTCCAAAGCAGATTGCCAATGAATTTAATGCTATAAGATTAATTATGGTTACTCTTTTGAGGGCCAAGTAAAAGAATTTTAATCTTAAACTTTAACTGTAAATAATACAAAACCAAGGAACACTCAAGAATCTCAGAACCACAAAAAGACATGCAATCCACTTTGGTAGCCATAGTCTCTCTTGAGCTAATGGAAAAGTGAACTAAGCTTAGCTAACCTTGGGCCTCTCTGAAAATTTGGTCATATTTACAAGAGGGCATTTCTTTGCAGAAGAACAGGTGTGACAGACGTCCACATATTCATGACAACTGTTTTGATGGCTCCATCAGTTTGGGAAGACCTGTCCTGCTAACATGTACCATCTGTAAGACATCTTTTTGCATCTTGTCAAATCCAACTTCTGCTTACACATGCATAAGCAAGAGGTGTTTTTGTAAAATATATAGATGGCATCTGTCATTCTATCTTTTGTTTGCATACCACCCACTCACAAAATATATGCTAGAAAAAGCTGAGCATTTTGTAAGTGTCTTGAAATTTTAAAAAAATTATGGAAGCAATGGAACAAATGATCCTTCATATCAAAGCATATTCAATAGATTACCTGAAGTAGTTTAAAGTGGTCTATTTGATATTCTGAGCCTATGTTTTTAATGACATTTCCCAGAGAATAATTCTGTCCCAAGACTGCACACTAGGTCTTAAGGCCTTAAGATACTGATGAAATATCACTCTAACTAGAAATAATTTTCAAATACAGGCTATCAATGTTTCACCTATAAAAATCTTGTTCCTCTAAAAGAGGCAAAAATGACAAAAGATGTTTTAATTTATATTTTAGTAACTTAGTGGCCGCTATAGGATGTATTTCAAAGTATGCTCTCATGTGGATTAGAAATATTAAAAGTAAATCCAAAGGGCAGGCTTTATGACACTGCTTATTTTGGATGCAGTCTAGACTCACTTTTTGAAGTGTTAACTATGTTATCAATGTCCCTCTACCCTGCTCATATGCGTTCAGTACTAAAGACCTGGTAAGACAGGTGCTACCTGATTCCATGTTTCCTAGTTCTCTCAAATTGGAATAACATTTTAACCCTCCAAATATTTGTCCCACGTGAAGAATTTTGTATCCGTCCAGATGATTACAGGCCTGAACCAGAAACTGATTCAAACAACTTCATTCACTGCTGAATGTGAACTGCAACTGACCCCTAAAGTAAATTGGCTTAATTCCCTCAGGTTACCATCTGTTCCCTTCCTTCTTTAACTTCACCAGTGGGCTGAGTTTAATCATAGACCTGGAGGAGTCCTCGGAGGAAGGGGAAGGAATTCTGGCCTGGGTTGGTGTTCAGTCCTTGGGCAGGGCTGCAATAGTAGCATTATTCCTACCATGAAAAGCAGACTCTGGGAATTACCTAGAGAAATCATTTGTCAAACCATGGGAACACCATGAGTTTAATTTGCCTAATTTTGCTTGAAGATATTACATCAACTAAAAATCCTCTGCCAGAGATTTAAAAACGTAATCCAAACTAACTTAATGGAAAAGGTGAATTTGGCTGGGCACAGTGGCTCGTGCCTGTTATCCTAGCACTTTGGGAGGCCAAGAAGGGGGGAATCACTTGAGCTCAGGAGCTCGAGACCAGCCTGGGCCACATAGCAAGATGCCCATCTCAAAATAAATAAATAAATAAAAATAAATAAAAACTTAAAAAGGAAGAAAAGTTCAAAAAGGTTAATTTATTGGTTCTTGTAACTGAACAATTTAGGGCATCTGATTGAGGTGAAGCTTGATCTAGGGCTCCAACAGTGACCCAGGACCTGATTTCTCTCTCTCCATTCTCAATTCAGCATCTTCAATATTGGTTCCATCTTTGGGCAAGTTCACCTTTTGTATGCCCAATATGGATGCAAGCTACTCCAGGGACTACTTGCACCTAGGCTCAGACCCAAGTTGACTTTTTCTTGTGAGTCCAGAATGGATTATTGTGACTGGGGGAATAGGACATACTAGATGGTATAGGCCAAAGTCACATGCTTCACCCCTAAGGCAGGCAGGGAAGGATTAGATGTGGGGACATCACTCCCCTTGTCAATCCCATGGACCGTGAGTAAGGGAGGACCATAGTTCCCTGAAGACCATGAGAGTGTGGTCAGTAGAACTGATATTCTCAACAGACATTGGGACTATGTGCACAAATAATTTCAGAAAATACTATTTTTCACATAAGGGGGAATTCTGGATAGATAAAGTCCAAGTCTTACCAGCTGAGGAAGAAAAAAAGGTAATAGGTAAAGGATAGACTGTACCATTTAAAAAATGGAAGATAGTTTCAACTAGAATTGGACTAGATACTCTTCAGAGAGTTTGGACCGTTCTATAATTTGTAGATTTTGTGATTTCTGACGTGCACTGGAGCTAAGAAAAACTTTCTGGATGGTTATTTGCTGTATCTTGTTAACCTCATTTTCTATTTTTAAATACTTTCTCTTATGCTATAATTAAACAAGAAAAACACAAAACAAAAAAACCTCCATACACATGAAACAGAACCAAAGAGAAATTCTATGTGGAAAGATAATTTTATTTTCTAATAATGATAGTGGCCAGGCGTGTTGGCTCACGCCTGTAATCCCAGCACTTTGGGAGGCCAAGGTGAGTGGATCACTTGAGCCCAGGAGTTCAAGACTAGCCTGCACAACATGGTGAAACCCTGTCTCTACCAAAAATACAAAAATTTAGCCGGGTGTGGAGGCACGTGCCTATAGTCCCAGCTATTGGGAGGCTGAGGAGGGAGGGAACCTCGTGAGTTCAGGAGGTTGAGGCTGCAGTAAGCCATGATTGCACCACTGCACTCCAGCCTTGGTGACAGGGTGAGACTCTGTGTCAAAAAAATAGAAAATAAAAAATAAAATAAAAATGATAGTGATGTGGCTGGGCTAGCTTCTTAAGATGTATATATTTTTTAAATGGCAGCTCACACTACCACATCACTCATGCACATTTCTACATCTGTATATATTCTCGCAAAGAACTCATGTAAGTTTAGGATCCTTCTATCCTCATCTTGTATATCTGTAATCTGATAAATAAGAAAAGGTCTTTTGGGAGTAGAGGGGGGAACTAATGTAAAGATAGAATACCTGCTCTACATGGCCCAGTTATAAAGCACATTTACAAAAGTCTACCCACTTCACCAAGCCCTAAAATCTATTTTCCAAAAGCAACTATGGGAAAATGAAAAATTACTAAGGGAAATGAGAAGGAATGCTAATGAAAAATGGTCAAAGGGTATTTGGCCCTGGGGCTAGGGTAGCACTAGAGCTGTTTCAGGTGGGGAATACCTTACAAGTTTTCAATTCCAAACCCATCAATCCTATTTGAGACTTCATTCCAGAGATGCTTCTATATGTTGAATTAAGAAAATGCAAGTTTTCTAGAGGATGCAATTCATTAGCTGGGGCGTAATCAAATTGAATTTTATTCTCTCTGAGTTTTTTTTTTCTTCCCTTTTAAAGCATCATTCCAACTATTACTGGTTGCAGGAGAGGCAGATTAAATATTTTTAAATGTTCCTTATTAGAAAAAATATGGCTGGGTGCGGTGGCTCATGCCTGTACTCCCAGCACTTTGGGAGGCCAAGGCTGGTGGATCACTTGAGGCCAGGAGCTTGAGACCAGCTTGGCCAACATGGCAAAACCCTGTCTCTACTAAAAATTCAAAAATTAGCTGGGCATGGTGGTGGGCGCCTGTAATCGCAGCTACTCAGGAGGCTGAGGCATGAGAATCACTTTAACCTGGGAGACAGAGGTTGCAGTGAGCTGAGATGGTGCCACTGCACTCCAGCCTGGATGACAGAGCAAGACTCTTGTCTCAGAAACAAAACAAAACAAAATCAAAACAAAACCCATAAAGAATGTACAGGGTACTCTTTTTTTTTTTGACGGAGTCTCACTCTGTCACCCAGGCTGGAGTGCAGTGGCACGATCTCGGCTCATTGCAACCTCTGCCTCCTGGGTTCAAGCAATTCTTCTGCCTCACCCTCCTGAGTAGCTGGGATTACAGGCACACGCCACCACGCCTGGATAATTTTTGTATTTTTAGTAGAGACGGGGTTTCACCACATTGGCCAGACTGGTCTCGTACTCCTGACCTCGTGATCCGCCTACCTCAGCCTCCCAAAGTGCTGGGATTACAGGCGTGAACCACCGCGCTGGCCTGTACAGGGTACTCTTAATGAAATGAGAAAGTTAATTCTTGGAAAACTGAGGTTCTAATTTGGAGTCCCAACATCTTAGAACATTCCTTTGGAAGATGTTATCAGTTTATTACAGTTTGGGAGACCTCTGGGGATTTATCATAAGGATATATTTGCAGAGATGTGCCAGGTTATTCACTACAGAATTGTTTGTAAGAAATAGCAACGACTGGAAACAACCCAAGTGTTCGTCAAGAGGGGAACGATTAAATAAACTATGGCACATCATGCAGTGTAACGCCATGCAGATGTTGAAAGAATGAGGAAGCTCTCTTAGTATTGATATAAAAGATCCCCAAGGAACATTGTTAGAAAAGCAAGATACAGATCAGGGATACAATATGCTACCTCCTCTGTAAGAAGGGGGAAGAGAAGAAATGTAAGAATTGCTTGTACTTGTATGAAGAAACACCGAAAGGATATACAGACAAACCAATATAAATAGATAGCTCTACCTATGAGAGTGTGTTAAGGGGGAGAACAGAGTGAAAGGGCAGGGTAGGAGAGAGACTTTTTTATTTTTCATGGCCAGCTCTTACAAAGAAGGAGAGAGACTTTCCACTCCACCTTTTTACAGTAGTCTCCCCTGATCCCCCTTGGGGATGTGTTTCAAGACCCCCCGTAGATGCCTGAAGCTGCAAATGATACTGAACCCTATATATACTATGTTTTTTCCTATAAATGCATACCTATGATAAACTATAATTTATAAATTAGGCACAGTAAGAGATTTGAACAACTAATAATAAAACAGGACAATTACAATATGCTGTGATACAAGTTATGTGAATGGTCTCTCTTTTTCTCTCAAAATACCTTATTGTACTGCAGATTTGAGCAACCTCAGCCTACTATTTTGTTTTCTTTCTTTGAGAATTTTCACCTTTTTACTTAAAGGAGCATTTTTCAGCTTCTCTTTTGACATATCTGAATTTCCAGCTTCCCTACTCTTGTGCTTTGGGGCCATTTTTGAGTAAAATAAGGGTTCTTTGAAGAGAAACACTGCAATACAGCGATGGTCAATCTGATAAGCGAGATGCTACTAAGTGACTAATGGGTGGGTACAGGGATGATTCACATCCTGCTGGATGGGATAGAGTGGGATGATGGGAAATTTTATCACGCTACTCAGAACGACGTGAAATGTAAAACTTTTGAATTGTTTATTCCTGGAATTTTCCATCGAATGTTTTCAGACCACAGTTGACTAGAGGTAACAAATCACAGAAAGCAAAACCATGGATGGGGTTTTGATTTGTAAAATGTGAATGTATCAGCTGGTTAAATATAAATAAATATTAAAAAGGAAAATGCTTGAAAGAAGTCATTAAAGGAGTCAGAGGGAAACTTCACAGGAGCTGTAGTTGCTTTTAAAACCACAACAGAAAACCTGAATCCACCCTCCACAACGAAAGGCATCTTTTCGGTAGGGGTCAAGTTGGGGGCTGCAACAGAAACCCAGACCATACTGATTCCCATTCTCTGAGTGTCCCATTCGCTGAGCACCTGGCCTGTCTAATATCTTCAGTGCACTTGGCTATCTTTTCACAGCTTTCTTTCCTCTAAGAAATCAGAGATTCTGGAAGATGCTGATGACAATGATTATACTTTATTAATATAATAAAGAGTTAAATTAAAGCTTTACTAAGAATGTGGGTTATTGCATATATTCATAAATGCCAAGATAGTTCCCTAGTTATCTTCCCAAGAGGGTGAGACTCCTGGTTCACGTGTCTGGACTGGGTTCCTTCTCGATGCCCTCATGATCACCTGTGTGTAGCTTAGTTATTGAGCTTAAAACATTCCATGGGAATCACTGGGGTATGAGGCAGTCTTTTCCACTAGACTGAGTTTTTTGAGGGCAAGCAATGTGTCTTATTCATTGAGTTTTGTATTCTCAGAATCTATCACAGTGCCTGCCACAAGACTGGCACTCTACAAACTGGTATTTCATCCACCGAATTGCTTAGGCCAAAGTCCTAAGAGTCATATTGAATGTCTTTCCCTCACTCACCCCATTAAATAAGACTTTTCGGTTCTACCTGCAAAACATACATTAAAACCCACTTCTCTTCACCATTTTCAGTGTTACCACCCTAATCCAGACCACTGACATCTGTAGTCTGAACCAAAACAACTAATCTTCCTTCTGATCCTCACTCCCAAAGACCCCAGGATGCATTCTCCATATGCAGATGAAGCAATCTTTATTGTTGTTTTAGAGACAGGGTCTTGCTCCATCACCCAGGGAGGAGTGCAGTGGTGTGATCACAGCTCACTGCAGCCTCAAACTCCTGGGCTCAAGGGATCCTCCCATCTAGGCCTCCCAAAGTGTTGGAATTACAGGCATGAGCCACTGTATCTAGCCCAGAGCACTCTTTTAAAAAATAAGTCATATCACATCTCTGCTTAAAACCCTTCAATGGTTTCCTGTTACAATTAGACTAAAATTTAAACTATTCACCCTGACCTTCAAAGTTCTGCATGATCTGGCCCCACTTGCTTCTTTGATTTCAATTCCTACCACTGCCCCTTGCTTCTGTCATGCCACAAAGATCTTCTTTCAGTTTCTCAAATCTACTTTGTGCGCTCTTGTCTCAGGGTCTCTGCACTCTTCCCTTTGCCTGAAATGCCCTCCTCTTGATTTTCGTATACTTGCTTCCTTCTAGTCATCGATGCTCAAACACCACTTCCTTAGTGAAGCCCACCATGACCACTCCAGTTACATTATTGTTCTGTGCTATTTGTAGCACCTTTAACTATATAGATGAAAATCTTGGTTGGTTTGTGCTTATTGCCCCCACTATCTTGTAAGTTTGATGAAGACTCGTGATCATCTTTGCGTGCCTGATGCCTAGAATAGGGCCAGGTATATAATGCTCTAAAAAGTTTTTGTTGAGTAAATAAAGGCCTGTAAAATTAAACATGGATAGAATATTTATTTAATTTCTTTAGAGACCTTTTTATGTCACTATTTAATTATAAAGGCAATACACGATTATTAAAATAAATGAAGATGTCATGATTGGTTTTTGAAGAAACATTGTAGAAAGTAAGCTAAGAAGCTGGGCATGGTGGCTCATGCCTGTAATCCCAACACTTTTGGGAGGCTGAGGCGGTAGGATCACTTGAGTTCAGGAGGTGGAGACCAGGTTGGACAACATAGGGAGACCCTGTCTCTATAAAAAATACCAAAATTAGCTGGGCATGATGGTATGTGCCTATAGTACCAGCTACTCGGGAGGCTGAGGCAGGAGGAATGCTTGAGCCTGGCAGGTTGAGGCTGCAGTGACCCATGACTGCGCCACTGCACTCCAGCCTGGGTGACAGAGTGAGACCCTGTCTCAAAAAATAAAAAAAAGAAAGTAGGCTAAGAGAGTTAATTAAAGGACTAATTGGGAGAATACGATTCTACAAAAAACAATAATTTATGTCATAAACCAATCTAGGGAGGCCCAGGCACTATGTCAGGTAGAAGGCATATAAAGATGACTGGACAAGCTGGGTGCAGTGGCTCACCCCTGTAATCCCAGCACTTTGGGAGGCCAAGGCAGGTGGATCACCTGAGGTCAGGAGTCCGAGACCAGCCTGGCCAACATGGTGAAACCCCGTCTCTACTAAAAATACAAAAAATTAGCTGAGCATGGTGGCAGGTGCCTGTAATCCCAGCTACTCGGGAGGCTGAGGCACGAGAATCACCTGAACCTGGGAGGTGGAGATTGCAGTGAACTGAGATTGTGCCATTGCACTCCAGCCTGGGCAACAAGAGCGAAAAACGCCGTCTCAAAAAACAGAAAAGCAAAAACAAAGCAAACAAACAAAACAAAGATAATTGGACACTGGTTTTTTACTGAAGGCACTCAAAATCTATCAGGAGATATAGTTCTGTAATTATAATATCTAATATCTGCATAAAGCAAATCATGTTCATATTTATAATTACTTTATTTGATCACCACAAGGGTCCCATGAGGTAAGGTATTACTATGGTTTTATTACAATTTTATATGTGAAATAACCAAGGCTCAGAGAGGTTATGTGATTTGTCTTGGATGACATAGCAAATAACTGAGATTTTAAATTTAAGCCCAGATCTTCTGACTCAGGTCTCCTGTTCTACTTCATCACCATGTCTATTTAGTGTGATAAATGTATGTGCAACCTGTTATAGGAGGTTAAGTGTAACTGAGAGGACTATTTTTATTGGAAAAGTCTGGAAAAACTTTGCCGAGGAAAAGTCATTTAAATGGGGCTGTGAAGGACAGACAGGAGTTTTTCAGGTAAAGAAGGAGTCGCATTTTAAGCAAAGATTTGATGAAAAAGCAGAAAGATGACAATGAACAGCACATTCTATGTAGTGGGTAGCGGAGAGGTCCAGTAGGGAAGGTTGGGGCAATTTTGTGCCGTTTTGTATGCAGTTGGGTAGTCCATGAAAGCGGGGGACTGAAACAGTCAGATCTGGGCTTTCAAAAGAAAATTAGAGTGGCAGATTGGTAGATGAATTGGAGCATGAAGAAACAAGTTAGGAGTTTTTGCGATCTTGCGAGGTAAGTGTCTGAATGAGGATAGTGAAAATGGAAAATACTTACTAAAAAATGTATGTGTGAGTTAGAGTCACTTATTGACCTTGGGAGGTGGCAGAGAGGGAAGAGAAGATTATTTTAGACAACTTCTAGCATATGTGACTTTGATAAATGATGATTAGCTCAACCATATGGGAGAGGACAGAAAAAGTGGTTTGAGAAGGAAATGGTAGGTGAGGGATGGGAGTTTTCTTGTAGTTAAAGCATTTACCATTAGCCATGTTTGGTTTGAGATGCTTGTTTGTAGTATGTAGGTCGAGCAGGTAGCTAAAAATATGGTTCTAGACTTCGAAAACAAGGTTTAAGCTGGAGATCTAAATTTTAGAGTCGTCAAAATACAAGTTTTATTAAAATTCCTACTGTAAACGGGCACAAGGAAACTTTTTGGTGTAATGCAAATATTCTATTTCTTGATTATGGTAGTAGTTACAGGGTTATGTATGTCTCAAAACAGATTAAACTGGTACACTTAGAACGTGTCTATTTTACTGAAATTTAAATCCCTTAGAAAACCCCACTAAAATTAGTAGAAGTAAACTGCCTTGTACAACATATAAGTACTGAAGAGTTTAAAAATTGACAAACATTAAACTATTTAAAGATGAAATTAACTACTTAAGTTATATAGTTAACTAAGTTTAAATTAGCTATATAACTATTTAAGGGGAAATTGTTCTACACACATCAGTTAAAAACAAGTGATTGGCAGCAAAGAAAGTTGCCATGGTTTCAGTTGCTTCAGAAGCCACTGCTAGATGTGCCAGTTTATTGGCCATTGGGGGATCCCTCCATCCAAAGACCTATTCCCTCCCCAAACCACCTGCCTCCACCCTGAGCACACTCTTCCTCAGCCTATGCCTGCCAACTCAGTGCCACATGGGTTGGCTTCCCCATTTGCTGTGGCTGAGACAACAAAAGTACTTGAAGAACACAATGTGACTCATCGCTGAACAAGAAATGTTTCCTTATTGATTAATTTTAGGCTTATGGCCAATTTGGCCTCCTCATTTGGCATAAATCCCTCAGCATCACTTATGAACTGTCCTTTCAATGCTCAGCTTAAACTCTATTTTGTACAAGAAACCATTTTTACTTTGATAGAAAGAGGTAACAGAAATCTGTTACCTCTATTCAGCTACCAGTATGGACATATCCACTATGAGTATACAATCATCAAACTTATATAAGTATGTTGGCATCTTGGTTCCATCACTTACTAAGTCTTTGTGACCTTGAAGAAAATGGGGATAATGAAACCTACCTTGCAGGGTGGTATGAATTAAGTCAGATAGTATACGTGAAAATGCCAGTGGCAGCATTGAGTAGGTGCTCAATACATGGCAAATTTCTTGTCAAACCTGACTATCCTTTCCTGAATATTTAGTCTCTTAAGTTTCTTGAACGTGAAAGCACTCTTTTCTGTGCTTTGTACTTTCACCCTAATACAGTGGGATATATTCTCAGGAGTAATTGTGGAATGATGTTTACAAAGCTAGCAGGTCAAGGATAAAATTGAAGAAGATTTATGCAATAAATAGGTGGATGAGGAGAGATCATTCTTAGGGAATGCAAAAAAGGAATTTGATTCAGAGGCGGTGGCAAAGGTCTTTCTTTACATTTCCTCTTTCCATTCATTTACAATTTTATTTTGCCAAAAAGAGGGGACAGAAAGTCTAATCTTGATGAGTGTGAAGCTGCAGGATGATGTGCCAATACACCTGGTATTGGTTCACGCCAGCTGGGAAAGGAGCTTGGCTTCTCAGTGTTTTACTACTGTGGTTTCCTGGGCTGGGCAGCTGGGTGCCTAATAATGATAAAAACCATAATACTTCATAATTACGCACTGCCCTTTGCCAGAACTTGGATTTAATTATGACTATGACAGAACTGGCAACATCTTGCTCCCTATTGGGGTGCAATACCCAAGGGCCTGGAAATACAAAGTGAAGTGGCAACTGCACCCTTCTCCTGCAGGGCCTATCCTGGCAGTTCACCCAGGGTTCTCTGGGTTTGAAGCTCATCATCAGAAACAAAGAGTACTTTTAAATTGCTTGCATGTACTTGACACTGTCAAGTAAAGTAGCGTTTATGAAGCAACTACTGCCACACATGGGGCACAGGATCATGGAATCCCAGGCCCGGAAGGGACCAAAACAGGTGACATCATTCATAATTCTGTCCCCTGCCCTCAGGCATCACCGCCACTACACTCAAGTAGGCGAGTTCACTGACCTTTTCATTCTGATTTGGGCTGGATATACTTTTGTGGTAGCCTGTTTCAGGTGTCAGGGGGCTCACCAATTCATTCAACACTCGTTTTGTGAGCACCTATTCTGAGCTAAGGCACTGTGGGGGCACAAAGATGTGTAAGATATAATCCTTGACCTCAAATAGCTTATCATCTAGTTGAGGGATTTGTATTCAGGTAGCTGTAATATAAAAATATAAAGATAGAGGAAAGTCCTGGCTGATGAAAGGGCATGGAATCAACACACTAAGTGAAAGGATCAAGGCAATTTCTTCTTGGAGAGTAAGAAGAAAGCAGAAGGAAGGGGGAATGGACATCAGTGAAGAGCTGAGCAACAACTTGGGAAGTTCTTATCGGTTTCCCTGCTTTATTGTCTTCATAATACTTATCATTCCCTGAATTATCTCATTTATTTACTAATGTACTTTTACCATTTGTCTTGTCCCACTCAGGAACTTTGTCTGTTTTGTTCACCACTACATCCTGAGCATCTCAAACAATGCCTGGTGCATAGTAAGGTGCTCAGTTAAGTACTGGCCTAATAAATAAATGATGCAGGTGAGGCAGTGGCAGTGGCAGTAGAAGTGAACAGAAGAAAGCATTTAGTAAATATTACCAACACGATAAAGTTAGAAGAGGTAGGGAGATGTTAGAGCAGTGAGGAAGTGGCATGAAAGGTTACTTCAAGGTTCCTGGCTTGGGCAAATAAGTGGATGGTGGTTATCATCAAAAAAAGATAAGGAACAGATGAGAAGGAGGAGCAGGTTTTGTGAACCTCAGAGGGTATATGAGGTCCCATGTGGAGACATCATGGCTTGCAAGTGCAGATGCCCAAGAGGCACTTATACCTGCAGATCTGGACGTCATTAAACATACATTCAGCTGTTGAGCCATCAGAATGGTCAGATCACCCAGTGGGCAGAGAGAGAAACGACTGCATGCCCACTAAATAGAGGACTGAGGGTCAGATCCTTGGGCGTAGAGTCAACAGAGAACAGATTTAGAAAGGCTAACTGAACAGAAAGACAATCTGAGGGTTTAGGGTGTTAGAAAAGTGGGCTGAGGGGTACATCAGGGAAGAGAAAAAGGCTTCATGTAGTCCACAAAATCCACCGCAGGAGACCAAGCAGGATGACTACAAATCGACCTTTGAACCCGGTCATACGGGTGTCACTGCGAGCCTTAACAGAAGCACTTTTTAGTGGATTAGTTGGGAGAATAACTTAGCCAGTACTTGAGGGATGAATTGAAATAAAGGATGAGAGCTAGACAGTCTCACAGGAGAGCTTTTTGGTTTATTAAGTTGAGGCGCTGGAACATGATCAAGGTTATGTCTAACACTTAAGAAGTGACCGGTACGTTTGTGAACGACGACAAGGTTTCTAAAACACTAGTGGGGCCGGGCATGGTGGTTCACGCCTGTAACCCCAGCACTTTGGGAGGGGAGGCCGGGGTAGGAGGATCCCTGGAACCCAGGAGTTCGAGATTAGCTTGGGCAACACAGGAAGACACTGTCTACCAAAAAAAAAAAAAAAAAAAAAGCCAGCGGGAAGAGCCCTTGCAGGCGTGAACTATGCTTCTCTTCCTCCACCCTTTCAGCCATTTCCAGGGAGGGGGCCCTTCCATATAAAATGCAGACAAAACGACGGAGACCGACACCCCTCCCTCCGATTTGTGAGTCATTTTTGTGGCAGCTGGGGGCGGGGATAGGAATACTTGAATTGCAGGAGGTGCCCGGTTTCCCGTGGATCTTGGAACTTGCTAACTGGGTGGCTCCATGCTGAAGGGCGCTGGAGAGACTCATTCACATTTTCCTACTCGGCACTCACGCCCTCCATTCAGCACTTTCCTCTCCTTCTCCCTAAGACTTGAAACCAGGGACAAAGCTTTCCCCCCACTCCTACTTCAGGTTCACCTTCCACCCACAAGCCCATCGCTTGCCCTTCTCCGACCACGTGACATTCCCCCTCAATCCCCGAGACTCCCCGCCGTCG
This sequence comes from Homo sapiens, assembly GCF_000001405.40. NCBI lineage: Eukaryota > Metazoa > Chordata > Mammalia > Primates > Hominidae > Homo > Homo sapiens. The sequence continues at coordinate 46,698,820 of NC_000002.12, forward strand.
ACCCCTCCCTTCGGGCCGCAGCCCGCTTTACCCCGCCTCTCAGGCCCACGTGACCGCCTCTCTCCCACCTGACTGGCTCCTCCCTTTCCCCGGCCGGACACGGCGCCCGTCGCAGCTGCCAGACTCCAAAATGGCAGCCGCGCAGAGCGCGCACCCAAGCGGCCGGACCTCCCCGACTCCCGGGCCGCCCCCGTCTCGCGCCCTGCCTCCCTCCTTCGGCCTTCACCTACCCGCCTCCGGATTGGCCGCTAGGAATCCCGCCCCTCTAAAGCCCTGCCTGCTATTGGTCACGGTAGGCTGCCCTTCAGAGAGGCGTGCCCCTGCCCGCCCCCCGCCCCCCGCCCCGGGAGGTATTTTCCATTCTGGTGGGGGTTGGGGGGAGGGGGGAGGGGAAACGGGTGAAGAAGGGGAGGCGGCAGGGAAGGGGGTGGGGGCCTGGCGGGGGCATCCGGCGGAGCTGGGGTCCCCGGGCTCCGTCCGGAGGAAGCGACGCTGCGCTCGCTGGGCAGTCGGAGGGGACGGGACGCACCGGAGGGCAGGCGGACTCGCCCTGTCGGTGACTGCGCCGTCCGGGCCCGTCCTGCCTGGCCGCAGGTGCCCTGGATGAGGCCGCCCCGCGCGCCCCAAACGGTGAGTGTCCCCGCGGTCGCGCCCGGCCCGCCGCCTGCTCCCCGGCCCCCGCGCCGTCGTCCGCGGCCGCCTCTCGGTGCCCCAGTGCCCGCGCCCGGCGCATTCCGCCCCCGGCTGTCGCCCCCGCACCGCGGCGGAGGCAGCGCCGGCCTCTGGCTGGGATGGGCTGGCCGGGAAAAGGACTGCTAGCCCGGGCCGCGAGCCCCGTGCAGACCACGCCGCTCACAGTGGGAGCTTGCGCTTAGTAGGCTCTCGATGCATTTCTGTGGAATTGTTTTTCTGGTTGGAGGAACGTGGGGTTCCTAAGGGGAAGGGGGTCGTCCGGGGCCAGTAGGAGGGCATCCGTGATCGGGGTCGTGGTGGGTCGCGGGGAGGCCACCGGAGACTGAAGCAGTTACACAGGCTGCAGGGAAGGGAGCACCGACCAAGTCACTTGGGGCTCCAAGAGCCCGATCTGGGGGTCTTCAAGGTCGAGGAGAAAAGATCCTCTTGGGGATGAGGGAGGGAACCAATGAGTACATATGTGGGAAATGAATTGAGTGCCCCGGGAGGTTTAACTAACCAAGGTGGGTAAGGGATGCGGAGGCGGGAGCTGGAAGACCCCTCTGCAACTACTTGGGCTCCTAAGAGTCTTTGATGTGGGGTTTGGGCATCCGAGTAGCAGAAGCGGAGTGATTTTTGTGGAGAGGGAATTGCATTTAAAGAAGGATGCTAAAAAAACAGTGTAAATACATCTTGGTTTGGTTCCGAACTTTGAAAGGCTTGAGGGATTGGAGTCACAAGGAAATTTTGACATTTTCTTGTGGCATTCCAACTAAAGGGTGCCTGGCTGCTGGACTTTGTCAGTTATCTTTTATTGAAAAATATATGTGTATGTTTGATGGTATTCTATCAGTCACAAGTTTTTCTGGAAATTATCATAACTACACCTTGAAATTCTTGTAGCAACCTCTCTATCCATAGTGGTGGCTTACTTCTTCCCTATTTAACGTTTAGAATGGATTGTGCTATTATGTACTACTGACTTTTATTCTAGAAGACTAATAAGTAATTCACATTCTTTCTTTTCCTTACTTTCGTTTCTCTACAAGATGATGCAAAATTGAACTACGGATTCTATATAAGTTTTAAAATATTTTAACTTGTGTTGACTGGGAAGGAGGTGGTAAGCTAGCAGCTCTATTAAGCAATACTAAAATCAGGTTGAGTTTCTTAACAATTGGTAATCTTAATGTCAGTTGTTTAGTTTAATTTTAATAATTTTTCCTTTATATAGCACTCTTGAGAACATAGAAAATGCACACCGGGTTTAGGCAGTGGTGGTCTCCAGAGTGCACCTCCATGGCAGTCCGTGGCGGTTCTTCATTTCACTGAGATCTTTAATCTTATGAATATTTTCTTAATTTTATATATGTTAGTAATTTTTTACATTTGTAGCGTACTTTACGGTTTACAAAATGAAAGCTGATTAGTACTTAAACATATTTTGGAAAAATTTGTATATCATATTTTGGCCCTTTTATCCATCAGAGAAAACATTTCTGCAAAAAGGTGTTAATATTTTCAGTTGGCACCTTCTTAGTTCTTGAATAACTAATGGATAATTATATATATTTTCTCCTTATTGTCCTTGAATTTTACTATTCGTCCTCAGGGAGAATGTACTGGCTTACAATACAGTAGCCTAAAATATTGAAACCTAACACCTTTTAACATTATAATAGCTTCTACATTATTCACCTTGAGAATCATCTATGGCAAACCAGTGATTAGGGAAGCTTTCCCCTATCACCTTTGTTTAGATTGGGCTGTTTTCTCCTTTTGTAGAACTAAGGAAAAGTAAGACTCACTGGCTGTGAAGTAGTAGTAATAGCTAAACAGAATGAGAATGGGAGGCTTGGAAAAAAGATGTATGTGTATGAGTCACGTTTCTTCTAGAGCTGGAAGGGTAGACCATGGAGATGATATTTTGCAGATTAGGAAACCAAGGCCCAGAGCAGTTGAAGGGATTAAATTGCTATTTAATGGTGGGGCCAGGATTGGTGGGCAGGTCTGTGGACTCCAGTCCAGAGATTGCTTTATCACTTTCACACTGTTTATTTCTAAAGCATTCTCGTGCCAACTGTTAATGGTTTTTGGATTATTTGTGATTTGTTCCCTTCTAAGGATGAAGAAGTTTGAGTTGACTACTTTTATCCATGAAATTTTGTAAAACTGGGTGAGCTTTTATTTAAAAGTTTAAAACAATATGCTGCATTGTTAGCGTTAGTGCTGATAGTTCCCTGTCATTGGAAAGAGACAAACTGTCATTTAGGTGAAAATATTAAATGAATGCCCTAGAGTAGTTTAGCATTCTATAATTTTTATGCTAAAATTAATTGCTTAAAAGATTTTCAAAATTCAGAAGGCTTCTATATTTTGAAAGTAAATTATGTGAACATTATTATTTTCAGTTAGTGTGGCGGTTTTGTTAAAATGGGTTTAGTACCTTTAAAAAGAGAGTAGAATTACATGATCATTATGAATACATCATTCCTATCATAGTTATAATAGAGAAAGACAGGATTTGTATCCCAGCCCCTTCACATGATCTTAGGCAAGTGATTTAACCACTGTGTACCTGAGTTTACTCGTTTGTAAAGGGAGGGTGTTAAAAGTACCTACCTCACAGCATAGTGGTGAGGTTTAACTGTGCCTACCTACTACATAGAAAGGGTACAGCAAATATTAGACATTATTCTCTGTGGTTCGTTAGATGTAAGCAGGCAGTTGTGTGCCCATTTATTTCCTTGCTGTACACGCACTTTCAAGTTACAAAAATTCCTAGAAAAATGCACGATCAAATCATACTCTTTGGTAAGGGGGTACTTGGTACAAATGATGCTCTGATTTTTGGTATTGCTCTCCTTCCTCTGCTTACCTTGGACCTTTAATTAGGTCTGCATATCAAATTAGAGTGAATGTGTTACTGTTTCTGAATGTCATTGGGAGATCCTTGTTGCAGTTTCATTATTCTAGAACAAAAATATTAATAATTGATTTGCAGATATTCCAGTGAAAATACAGTACTAGAGTACTAGAGACCTGCTGGGTACACTTAGGTGAGGAAGTCAGGAATTTATAAGGTCTATTATTGATCTCAGCTCTTCTCTGCCAGTGGAACCATGGGAAAATCATTGAACCCTGTTTTCTATTAAACGAATATTTTGATGACTTCATTCATTAAGCTGTGAGATTTTAGTGATAAAATGTGTGTGACTCCAATTTTATAACATATGGTTCTTTTTAATTTGCTGTAACCCAGGTCCAACTAGTGTCATGACCATGTGTTTTAGCAAATGTTTTTGACGGTGACAGTTTGAGTTATAAGTTATCTCAGAATCCTTCTTAATGGTGTATCACTTAAAGAATGGTGAATTTCTCTTGGTGTTCTGTGCTTCTGCCTTCTCAGGTTTTTCTGTTGCTTTTGTAACAGCCCTTCTTCCATTTGTGGTCCTTTCAACTTTGATTCTCATGCATCTTTGTGGTCTTTCCTTAAGCATCTTTGCCTTCTGTCACAATATGTAACTTCTTATCTGTCATGCAAGAGCTCTATTTTAATGAGTATGTTTTAACATTCATTTTCATTATTTTTTCAATGTATCTCACATAATGTCTTTTAATTGCCCTTATTTGTAGAGTTTCATTGAAGTGAGTATTTTACAGGTGAGGGATTAAAATTAGAAACAAGCTATAGCTCGAAAGCAATGTTACTGTACTAGTAATAGTCTTGCTATTGTTTTAGATCTCAGGCAGGCATGCTGTTGGTGGTACTTCAGATGATAAATACCTGGGCCAGCTATTGAGTCCAAAGTGATGCTAGCAGGGCTAAGAAAGCCACATGTAGCCATCACAAGTTTTCACAGTTTTTTTTTTTTCACTGATGCAGAATTTTAGTGTTTGAAGAGTGACCAATTTCTAATATTCTTTTGGTTAACTCTCATAATAAGGATTATGAAGTTACCACAATTTATTGGACATTTATTGCATTCATGACATACTTTTAGGAATTTCATAGGTACTCTCTTCAAGTCTATTACATAATCTAATCATGTGAATAAATTAGTTAAATATGGTTTTAGAAGGCATGTCATGTTAAAATATAACCAACCATTGCTCATTTTTTCATTAGGTTGGAGTTTTCTTTATACATTTAAAGATAATTATGCCATTGTGAATGGACTGTTATTCATATTTAAAATTCATGGTTATGTGAACTGAGTAGGTGTAGACTGTACAAATTACTTTCTTAGTTTCAGTGCAGTTGTTAGAGAATGAAAGAGGGAAAATATGAATTATTTGCATTGTCCATCTTAACAAATTCTTCATCTGAGTCAGCCAGCTATCCTACTTTCAAGGGGAGTGGGGAGGGCTTTTGAATCTGGTTAGAGCAGAAGTAATCTTGAAAGGGTAATTAGGCTGGATTGTTGACTCATGTTAATATTGGATAAATTTGCATCTTAGTGACCTGAAAATTAGTTGCCTGCCTTTACATGTAGGTGAAAAATTGTAGGGAATGATTTCAGAGAGACCATACTGTATTATGAAATATAATATAGCAAGAATATATTTTCACAGATTCATATGCTGCTTAACACCAAAATTAAATTTACCTTACTCTGATGAGCTTTCATACAGTAATCTTTTTATCAAAGCTAGTAAGAGGAAGCAGTGATGAAGATAATTTTTTTAAAATTGTATTTGAAATGGGCTTATGTGCTCTGGGATTGTCTTTAAATTGACTTCCTTATTTTATTTGAAGATGACCATAAACAGGAACAATGTCCAGTCTTCCTATTCTGAGCAGTATCCTTGAGTTAGAAGTATTTCAAGCAATTTTAAAGGGTGGAAGCTTATTTAAATAATAGATATAGGGAAAATGGAACAATGAGAACTCCAATGATGGAATGGAAATGATACGGGAACTGCAGGTTAGACCTGCGTATATGGTAGGTAGTTGGAGGAAGGGGAGTTAGGATGAGAATCGGAGGCTGGGTAGAGAAAAGTGTTGAGGTAAACTGAATTTTGTAGGAATTTAGCCCTAGTGTAAATCCTGAATACCACAGGTTGGCACGTCTTTGTATCAGGATGTAATACTATTATGTACTGTATACAGTTTGCTTTTCGGTGGTGGTTCCTGGCTCAACACAGGTCTTGTAAGCCTCATCATTTCTTAAGTGACTAGAGCAGAAAGAATATCTTTTGTTGAAGTAGTTGGCCTCTTATCCTTGGTTCCTGAAGCAGCTCTGAAACAGCTTCTGAGCAATAAAGGTGAAAGATAGTCTTTTGTTATTTACAACAAGCCCTTTCAAACACACCTGGGCATATGTTAATGAGGCTATTTTTGGAAAGTCCCTAGGTAAGCACTGTTTGGAGGTGTTGATACTCCAGGGAAATCAGCATTGGGCTCTGAGGGTTGGCACTTTCAACTCCACCTCCCAACCACTGGGGAGAAGAGAAGGGCCAGACATTTAGGGGCTTCCAGGAAGGTGAACAAGAACACATCCATGTGCTGGGAAGATGGCACACTCCAACACCATGGGGACAGAAGTTCCTGCACTCCAGACCTTGCTGTAATTGTCACTATTTCTGACTGTTTATTTGTATCCTTAAAATATGTTTTGTAATAACCAGCAAAAGTGTTTTAAAACACTTTTACTTACTTTACAGTGTTTCCCTGAGTTCTGTGAGCTGCTCTAGCAAATTAATCAAACTCAAGGAGAGGGCTGTAGGAGCCCCAGTTTATAGCCGGTTGGTCAGAAGCACAGGTAAAATAATTGAGCTTGGGATTGGCATCAGAAGTGGGGCTCAGTCTTTTGGGTCTGGGTCCTCAACCTGTGCAATCTCACGCTGTCTCTAGGTGTAGCTGGTGTCAGAATTGGTTTGAATTAGAGGGCAGCCAGTTGGTAGCTGCTTTAGAATTGATTGCTTGCTTTTCGGTAGAGAGAAATCCCTACACATATGTTTTGAGGTCACAAAAGTCTTCTGTGTTGATTGTTGAAGGACAGTGTGAAGAAACTGAGTTTGTTTTTTCCTAGATTACCAGACAGGAAAGCGCCTGAAATATGCTTAACGCTAAAGGATAAACCCACTGAATGTTAAATATAATCTGTTAAGGAGAAGCTCAAGCACTTTCTTATGGGTTAAAATATGCATGTGGCCAAAGGGGTGCTCATTTATCTAATTATTTAGTTTTTGACATTGGCTATTTACATGAGAACAGCAGTCCAACCCCATTATCCTTCAGGTGATCAGTACTGGGATGAGTTTTATTTAACATTTTTATAAATGATTTAAAAGACGGACTGGCAGTGACAGTTGCCAGATTTGCAGCTGACTCCATGTGCTGTTCCAGGTAGTTAAAAGCCAAGCCAGCAAGGAGAAGCTACAGGAATATCCTCTGATGAGTTTTCATGTGGCACAGAACAAGATAATGCATTTAGGGGAAGATATTCCAAATTATATTTATAGGACCTGAATTGTGACCCAGGAAGGGGATCCAGAAGTTATGTAGATGACTTCCTTGAAGGCATTTATTGTGGTTGTTGCCGGGCCAGAAAGTCCAAGAATATGTTAAACATTGTTGGGCATGGTTCTGAAAACAAAAATGATGTTATATAAAAATTATAAAGGGGTTATCATATTTTGACTGTTTATTATGTTCCAGGCTAAGTGATTTATTATGACTGCTCTTTCATTTAATTCTCTTAGTTCAGAAAGGTAGGTGGCATTATCCCATTTTATAGAAGAGCAAGTTTGACACGGGAAGGTTAAGTGACTTTCCCAAGTCAGCCCATGTGTGGTAGAGTTGGGACTAATGTGCTAGTCTTTTGATTGTTAATCCTAGACATTTCCCAGGATATTAGGAGGCAGCACTTAAAACTTGTAATAATTTAATTTAGGGTTTGTGAAGTGCTCTTTTACTCTTTGCTATGGTCGGCTTTGGTTGTCATTTTACCACAAGGATGGTATCTAAATACTTTGAGAGGATTTAGAGACATTCCTTAAATTCTTGATTTTTAAGGAAAGCTAGGAATGTCTTGGTGTACAGTTTTAGTCACCTCTGGTGACCCCTGACATTTCTCCCCTTGACTTTATAAAATGCTGAATGGTTACATTAATAAAAGGAACATTAATTAACAAGGAAAATATCGTTTAATAGAAAAGTCACCAGAATAGGAGTCCAGAGACCTGGATTGTTCTAGTGCTATAAAGTAGTAATGTGAAAAACATTAGGATGGCATGGAAATAAGCATAACATTCTTCTTGCCCTGGAGGTAGAGGAAAGCTTGAACTGTCTTGAGAGATCAGCCGGTGAAGAGGGGTTGTGGATTGCAGGCAGAGGGAATAGTAGTATATTAGATGAGTCACTGAACTTCTTTGAACTTCAGTTTCCTCAAAATTGAGATAAAATATAAGAAAGTACCAACGGCAGCATTTGATTTTGGAATCTCAGAGTGAGATTATAAGGATCACGTGAGTAAGTATATGTAAAAATGCTTTAAAAATTTTTAAATGCTGTACAAATGAGGATGGAGGAATACTGATGTTCCTTTGAAGAGTGGACAAAGAGGATGCAGTGAAAATTTAGGTGGCAGGACTAGCACAGAAGGTAGAGGAGGAGAAGTGGGGAAGGGAGGTGTTAAAGATGAGAGGAAAAGGACAAATGTGGAGAAAGTTGAATTATGGTTCTCTTTGTGCCTGTCAGTCAAAAGGTGGGTATTACATCTATAACGGAAGAATTTTAACATCAATTTACTGTAAAGTGGAAGCTCAGGAGATAGTTGAAACGTTTTAATCATTTTCATTTAGTCTGTATTGACCATGTTAATAAGGCTATGAAAATAAGCTAATTGAGAGTTGGTGTGTTGTCTGATTGTTTCTTCACTCATTACTTCTGTATAGGTTTAGCTAATGATTGTAAATAGTATAAGAGCGCTCATAAAATGAAATAAGCTGGACTGAGTTACTATTTATTGTAGATGATTAGAAATGAAAGGACATAGAGTGTTTAAGGAGGAAGATGCTATTTGATTTTTCTAAACTAGTGCAAAAGAAAATTAGGAAATCAGACTAGGACCGAGGCAGGAGGGGAACAAATTGTGAAGGGTTTTGTATGTAGCCATATAGGAGTTTGGATTTTTATTTAGTTTTATAGATGGGAAGTAACACAAACACTTTTGTGTTTTAGAAAATTGATCATAGCAGTCATAAAGAGAATAGTCTGGAGGAGAAAAGATTGGAGACATTTACCAAATAATTACTGAGCAAATACAAATGCTCCTCGACTTACAATGGGGTTAGTCCTGATAAACCCATCCTAAGTTGAAAATATCATTAGGTCAGAAATGCATTTAATATGCCTAACCTACCAAACAACATAGCTTAGCCTAGCCTACCTTAAATGTGCTCAGAGCACTTGCATTAGCCTATAGTTGGGCAAAATCATCTAACACGAAGTCTGTTTTATAATAAAGTGTTGAATATCTTATATAATTTAATGAATACTGTACTGAAAATGAAAAATAGAATGGTTGTGAGTTTAACCAAATTGTAAGTCAGAGACTGTTTGTAATACACATGGCAAGGTGAGTGAATGAAGCAATTCTCTTTGGCTTGTGGTAGATAGATGACAGTCAAGGATGACATTTAAGGCTCTGCTCTAGTTCAAGAAAGAGACTAATTATATGATGGTCTGAATTAAGGAATTTGTAGTGGGGTTGGAAACAAGAGCACTGCTGATTTCAGAGATACTTAAAAGTTTGAGTCCTCCAGATTTTGTTAATGTTAGAAGGTGTTAGAAGTTGAGTATGAGTCTAAGGTTCCTGGCTTGGCAATAGAATAATATATGCAAGTTTGGGAGAGAGAGAATACTGAGTTTAATTTCAGATAAGTAATAATGCTTTTTAGGTAAGTAATGATACCACAATATCAGTTGGAAATACGGGTCTGGATCAGGAGCGTGGTCAGGATTATAGATATGATTTTGAAGGCATATATTTTGTAGCTGAAAATTATGAAAATAGATGAGTAATGCCCATAATATCTAAATGATAATGCGTTCAGAACAAAAAGTAACTGCCATTGCTGGTACTTAGTTCAAGAGTTTCATAATATTTACCTATTACCCATTGCCACCCCAAACTCTGTTACAAAAAATGTAGAAAAATATTTGCTGCCAGAAAGCCAGAAATATTTGAGTGTCCTTGAAACACTGTACCAGTTGGGATCTTTCTTCCTGCCTTCGGAATCCTGGCTAGCCATCCAGTACAACACAGGATTCTTAGGCAAATGCACTTCCTTATCCCTCAACTAGAGTTTCTTTTTGGAATCCATGTTTGCTTCTTTGGGCTGGTGAAGTGGTCTCTGAACAGATACTGAATCCTGAAGCCTTTTTTTTTTTTTTTTTTTTTTTTTGAGATAGGGTCTCGCTCTGTTGCCAGGCTGGTATGCAGTGGTGCCATCTCGGCTCACTGCAACCTCCACCTCCCAGGTTCAACAGATTCTCCTGCCTCAGCCTCCCAAGTAGCGGGGACTACAGGCATGCACCACCACGCCTGGCTAATTTTTGTATTTTTAGTAGAGATGAGGTTTCACCGTGTTGGCCAGACGGTCTCAATTTCTTGACCTCGCGATCCGCCCGCCTTGGCCTCCCAAAGTGCTGCGATTACAGGCTTTCACCTTCTTTACTATCTATTCCAGAGCATCCCTAAGCAACTAGCACTTTGCCTCTTTGCCTCTTTACCTTTCCAGCCCCTTAGAGCAACTCAAAGAGGGAAAAATAAAAACAGCTTGAGAGAAGAGGCTGTAATCTTTTCAGTTCTCCCCCAAAGGTTCTGCTTTCTAAGCAAAGGATGGAGTTAATTTGTCATAAAGATGAGGTGTCCAATTTCAGTAAAATAAATGTGTCTGTTAGGAGGAAGATCTTCAAGTGCTGAAGGGAATTTGGAAAGAATCTGACTTAGGTGGTGTTTAGCACTTAGTGGAAAAGATGAGTTTTGGGTTTGGTTTTAGAGGAGGTAGAAAGACAAGGCTGTGCAGAGAAAAGTAGGAATAACACTATTAGGAGTTGGGAAAAACAGTACCAAGAAAGTAATAGAACATTAAGGGTGGAGCAGCAGGGGGAAGTGAAGGACCTGGTGAACAAGATTTCCTATCTAAAATGCCTATTTTGAGTTGGGATTAATGAGAAATTTGGGTAGTTAGATGATTCAAGACTAAAATTTGGAATTGCAACTCCCTAAAGCACTGAGTAGAAAATTGAACATGAACAGAGGATACTATAACATAATTTAAATAGCAATTTAGGACTTCAGTGACAACTGTTATAGTTTATGATGTTTGTAGCACTGATTACTTAATTTACATACTATTTTAAAATCCCTTGTATCTTTTTGTTTTCTCCTTACATACTTCTATAACAGCAATTCTTAAACTTTCCTAGACATGAGAATTACCTGGGGCTCTTTTTTAAAATACAGATTTCCAGTCTCCACCCCCCATGCTTGAATTCTGGTTCAGTAAAAGTTAAGGCAAGGGTTCAAGTGATTCTGATATATGTAGTCCTCAGACCAAAGTTTAGGAGATACTGTTCTAGAGGGTGGGCAAAGAGTAAGGAGATAGAATTTCAGTTTTTGGTGGTTGTTTTCCTTTATTTTATTTATTTATTTATTTTTTATGTAGCATCTCGCTCTGTTGCCCACGCTGGAGTGCAGTGGCGCAATCTCGGCTCACTGCAACCTGCACCTCCCAGGTTCAAGCAATTCTCCTGCCTCAGCCTCCTGAGTAACTGGGATTACAGGTGTGTGCCACCACTCCCAGCTAATTTTTGTATTTTTAGTAGAGATGGGGTTTCACCACGTTGGTTAGGCTGGTCTCAAACTGCTGACCTCGTGATCCACCCACCTCAGCCTCCCAAAGTGTTGGGATTACAGGTGTGAGCCGCAGTGCCTGGCCTCCTTTAATTTTTTTAAAAAGTGGAAGTGTAATTTACATATAGTGAAATACACAGATATTAAGTGTATGTACAGTTGCATACACCAAATATCTTTAATAACCTTAAGAAATTTAAATGTCCACTTGTGAAAAAAAACTCTAAGCAAACTAAATATAGAAGAGAACTTCTTCAGTCTGATAAAGGGCATCTATTAAAAACCTATAGCTAACATCATATTCAGTGGTGAAAGACTGAGTTCTTTCTACACTAAAAAAGAAAATTTAAAGATCTAAATAGGGATATACCAGGTTCAAGATGTACCTAAGTTCAAGATTAGTTTTGACAATTAATACATCTTTGTAATTTATGATTTCTGTCATCCAGAAAGAGCCCCTGTGCTCTCTTCCCATTGAGTCCTTGCTGTTTCTCCTTTTCCGTGGCTGCAGTCACTGTTCTGATTTATTTCACTGAAGATTAACTTTGTTCTAGAATTTTTTATAAATGGAGTCATGCAGTATGTACTCTTTTGAGTCTGGCTTCTTTTTATCAGCATGTTTTTGAGGTTCATCCATGTTACATATAAGAATTGTTCCTTTTAGTTGTAGAGTAGTATTCCATTATATGAATATTATTATTGTGGGAAAGATTGTTTCCAGTTTTCAACTGTTAATGAATAAAGCTACCATGAACATTCTTGTATAAGTCTTTTTGTGACATGTTTTCTTTTCTCTTGGGTCAATACATGAAGTGGAATTGCTGGGTTTTAAAATAGGTCTATGTTTAGCATTATGAGAAACTTGCAGAACAATTTAATTTCTGAGATAGTTTTACCATTTTACATTCCCACTAGCAATCTATGAGAGTTCTGTTTCTTATTATCATCAATATTTGGTTTAGTCATCTTACTGGGATATCTCACTGTGGTTTGAATTTGCATTTTCCTTGTGAGTATCGATGTCATGCATTTTGTCATGTGCTTATAGGCTATTTTGCATATCATCCTTAGTGATATGTCTGTTCAAGGCATTAACCAGTTACCAATTTTATGTCATTTTACTGTTAAGTTTTAGGATTTGTATATTAATTGGATGCAACTTCTTTGACACATAAATGTGTTAGAGATTTTTCTTCCAGTCTGTGGCTTGACTGTTCATTGTTTTGGTGGCATCTTTCGATGAACAAAAGTTTTGAATTTAGTGGTCTATTTTATCAATATTTCCTCTTATGCTAGTGTTTTTCTGGGTCCTGTCTAAGAATCTTTGCCACCCCCACAGTTGTGAAGATATTATCCTGTTTTCTTCCAGATGCTTTATGGTGATAATTTTTGTGTATTGAGGTGATAATTTTGTGTATTGTGTATTGGTTAAGATTAGATTTTTGCCCCCATATAGATAGCTAATTGTTCCAACACAGTATACTTCCCTTTCCGCATTAATTGCTTTGGCACCTTGTTAAAGCGCAGTTAATGGAGTAAGTGTGGATCTGTCTCTAAACTCTATTCTGTTCATCTGTTTGTCTTTCTGCCACTATGACACTGTCTTGATTTACCATAGCATTAAGTCTTGAAATAAGGTAATAGAACTTCTCCAGTTTAGTTCTTATTTTTCAAGATTGTTTAGACTTTTTTTAGGTATTGTACATTTGCACATAAATTTTGTAATCAGCTTATCAATATCTACAAAAAAGCCTTTTGGAATTTTTATTAGGGTTGCATTTGAATCTATGAATTGGAGAAAATTAACATCTTAACATGAACATAATATAGCTCTATTTAGATCTTCTTTTTTAGTGTAGAGAGAACTCTTTCACCATTGTATATGTTAGCTATACATTTTTCATAGATGCCCTTTATCAGATTGAAGAAGTTCTCTTTGCTTAGAGCTTTTTTTTTTCCCACAAGTGGATGTTTAGCTTTTTTTTTTTTTTTTTTTTTTTTTGAGACACAGTCTCGCTCTGTTGCCCAGGCTGGAGTGCAGTGGCGCTATCTTGGCTCACTGCAACCCCCGCCTCCTGGGTTCAAGCGATTCTTCTGCCTCAGCCTCCCAAGTAGCTGGGACTATAGGCGCGTGCCACCACGCCCAGATAATTTTTGTATTTTTAGTAAAGACAGGGTTTCACCATATTGGCCAGGCTGGTCTCGAATTCCTGACCTCGTGATCCGCCTGCCTCGGCCTCCCAAAGTGCTGGGATTACAGGCGTGAGCCACTGTGCCCGGCCTGTTCAGCTTTCTTAAAAAATGAGTCTGCACTATTGAGACGCTTATGTGGTATTTCTTCTTTATTCTATTAAGATGGTGAATTACATTGATTGGTATTTGATTATTAAACCAACCTTGCATTCTTGAGATAAACTTGGTTGAGATGTATTGTCGTTTTTTTGTTTTTGTTTTTGCTTTTTGTTTTGTTTCCTCTAGATTCAATGAGGGATTATTCTTGGTCTATAGTTTTTTGTTTGTTTTGGTATCAGAGTTATGCTGACTTTTTTTATGAATTAGGAGGTGTTTCCTCTTATTTTGTGGAAGAGTTTGGATAAAATTGATGTTCTTCGTTAAATGTTTGATGGAATTTATCAATGAAGCCATCTGGACCTGTAGTTTTCTTTGTGGAAAGTTCTTAATTAAGGAATTTAATTTATAAAAGAATGAATATAGGCCCAGCATGGTGGCTCATGCCTGTAATCCCAGCATTTTGGGAGACTGAGGTGGAAGGATCACTTGAGCCCAGAAGTTTGAGACCAGCTTGGGCAACATAGGCAGACCCCATCTCTACCAAAAATTTAAAAACTAGCCAGGCCTGGTGGCGCACACCTGTAGTTTCAGCTACTCAGGAGGTTGAGGCAGGAAGATCCTTTGAGCCTGGGAGGTTGAGGCTCCAGTGAGCTGTGATCATGCCACTGCACTCCAGGGTGGGTGACAGAGTGAGTCTCTGGGTCTAAAACAAATGTAAGACTACTCAGATTTTCTTTTTCTTTTTTATGTCTGTTTTGGTAATTTGCATTTTGGAGAATCTGTTGAATTTATCAGCATGAAAATAAATTATAAATTTTATGAAACAATATTTCCTTTTTATGTCAGTAGGATCTATTCCTTCTTTTATTCTTGAGATTGGATGTCTTTTTCCTTTTTTCCCCTTGATTAATCTAACTTGAGAAAGGAATATCAATTTCATAAATCCTTTCAAAGAACCAACTTTTGACATTGCTTTTTCTCTGTGGTTTATCTGTTTTCTGTTTCATGATTTGAGCTCTTTAATTCCTTCCCTTCTCCTTACTTTGGGTTTAATTTGCTCTTTTTTCCCTAGTTTTAAGTGAAAGCTTAGATCATTGATTTTCGAAACTCCTTTTAAAAAACAATTATTAACATTTAAAGCTATAAGTTTCCCTGTAAGCATTCTTTAGCTGCATCCCACAGATATTGATATGATTTAATTATTATTCCATTCAAAATATTTTTAAATTCCTCTTGGAATTTATTTGACCCATGGGTTGTTTGAAAGAATGTTTCCAAATAATTTTCAAATATTTGGTATTTTTCAGGTATCCTTTTGTTACTGTGTTTTCATTTAATGCCGTGGTGATCAGAGAACATACATACTCTTAATAACTTCAACCAATATAAACTTTTTGATTGTTTTATGGCCCAACATATGGTATGTCTTGGTGAACGTTCAATGTATACTTGAAAAGAATGGTTATTTTCCTGTTACTAGGTGGGGTGTTCTATAGATGCCAATTAGGTTAGTCTGATCTTCTTATATCTTACATCTTTACTGATTTTCTGTCTGTGGTTCTGTCAACTATTGTGAGAGGAGGGTTGAAGTTTCCAACTGCAGTTTTGGATTTGTCTGTTTCTTCTTTCAGTTCCAATAAGTTTTGTTTCCTATTTCAAGCATAGTTTACAGCATTGTTGAGTGCATGCACATTGGAGATTAAGTGTTGTTGATGAATTGACCCCTCTGTCATCATGAAATGGTCCCCTTTATCCCAGGTAGTTTCCGTTGTTCTGAAGTCTCTGTCTGATACAAACTTTTCTTTTGATTAGTATTTACATGATATATCTTTTTCATCCTTTTACTTTTAACCTATTTATATCATTATACTTGAAGTGGATTTCTTGTAGAGAATGTGTAGTTGGGTCTCACTTTTTTTATCTAGTCTGATAATCTCTCCTTTAATTGATGTGTTTAGATCAGGGTTGGCAAACTATGGCTGGCAGGTTAAATCTGGCCTGCCACCTGTTTATGTAAATAAAATTTTATTGGAACACAGCCATGCCCCCATGCCAACCAGTGGTTTAGACCATTTGCACTTAATGTAATTTTGATATAGTTGAATGAAACTGTGCCATCTTACTATTTGTTTTCTGTTGGCTGGTGTTGTTTCTTTTTTCCTTGATTATCTGCCTGTTTTTGGATGGATTATTTTTTATGATTCTATTTTATCTTTCCTGTTGGTTTGTAACTTAGATCTCTTTCAATTTTTTTTTATTGGCGGCCTTAATTAGTTAATCGTGATTTGCCTTCAACTAATATTTTACCACTTAATGTGTAGTTCAAGAATCATAATAGTTACTTCCATTTCTTCTTTTCCATATTTCGTGCTTTTGTTGTCATGCATTTTGAGTTGAAGTGTTCTTTCTGCTTTGTCAGGCAGTTACCTTTTCAAGCAATTAAAAGTGACAAAAATACTGTAATCCCAGCACTTTGGGAGGCTGAGGTGGGTGGATTGCTTGAACCCAGGAGTTCAAGACCAGCCTGAGCAACATAGTAGGACACAGTATCTATAAAAAAATAACAAAAATTAGCCAGACATGGTGGCTCGTGCCTGTAATTCCAGCTACTCTGGAAGCTTAGGTGGGAGGTATTGCTTGAGCCTGGGCTGTCGAGGCTGCAGTGAGCCTAGATCATGCCACTGTGCTTGAGCCTGGGTGACAGAGAGTAACACCCTGTCAAAAAAAAAAAAAAGAAAAGAAAAAAGAAAAATGTCTTTAATATTTACCTTCATTTAACCATTTTTTAGATCTTTATTTCTTTGTATCCATCCAAGTTTGTGTCTAGTATATTCCCTTTGCTTAAAAAACTTCCTGTTACATTTCCTGTAGTTCAACATTCCTCTCATTTTGTTTTCACTTTTGAAAGTTGTTGGTGTGGATATGGAATTCTAGGTTTTTAGGATCCCCTCCGCCCACCATCTTAAAGATATTCCACTATCTTCTTGTTTGTATAGTTTCTGACAAGAAGTTTGTTGTAATTCTTGTATTTGTTTCTCTGTATATAATATGTTTTTTTCCTTTGGCTGCTTTTAAGATTTCGTTTGTATCACTGATTGACAGCAACTTTATTATGTTGAGCCTTTGTGTGGCTTTTTGGAAGTTTATTGAGTTTCGTGGATCTGTGGGTGTATTGTATTCATCACATTTGTAAAATTTTTAGCCATCTATCTTGAAGTTTTTTTTCTTCTCAGGTGTCTTTCTCCTACAGACTCTAATCCCACATATGTTCAACCACTTAATATTAACTTGCAGTTTACTGAGGCCCTGTCCATTTTTCTTCCAATCTGTTTCTTTTTCCTTTAGTTTGGAAATTTTCTGCTGCCCTGTCTTCAGGGTAACTGATTTTTTTGTTAATAGCTTCTTTGTCTAATTTGCTGTTATGCCTGTCCAGTCAATTTTTCATGTCAGACACCCCCCCTTTTTTTTTTTTTTAGTTCTAGAAGTTCTCTTACACATGTTTGGTTTCCACTTCTCTATGAGGTATTTCCTTTTTTCTTCATTGTGTTGATGTTTTTCTTTAGGTCTTTAAACTCTTTTCTAATAGCTGTTATAAGGTCTTTTACTCAAATGTCCTTTACTTACCCCAGCCATTTCTTGGTCCTTATTGTAGTTTATTATTTATTTTTCATAGGCCTGGTAATTTTTAATGGATTTCATGATGTTGAGTGTCTTCATTTTTTTTTTTTTTTTTTTTTTTTTTTTTGCATATAGTGTTTCTTGATTGTTGAGTTTTGTCCTGGCAGGCAGTTTATTTATGGATCAACTTTTAAACATTTTTATTTAATTAACTAATTAATTAATTAAGACAGGGCTTCACTTTTTCACCCCAGCTAGAGTGCAGTGGTGCAAACATGGCGCACTGCAGCCTTGAATTCCTGGGCTCAAGACATCCTCCTGCTTTAGCTTGCTGTGTAGCTGGAACCATAGGTGCACACCACCACACCCAGCTAATATTTTGACTTTTTTGTGCAGATAGGGCCTCTCTATGTTGCTCAGGCTAGTCTTGAACTTCTATCAAGCAGTCCTTCTGCCCCAGCCTCCCCAAATGCTGGGATTACAGGCATGAGCTACTGTGCTTGGCCAATTTTATGAATCAACTTGAACTTTCAAGTTTTGTTTTCAGGGTTTTTTGTTTGGGGAATTTTTGTTTGTTTCCAGACAGATACGGAATAGCTTTTAGTTTAGGGCCTGTTTGGGCCCACCACTGAGGTGTGCACTTTTTTGTGTCTCCTTTAATTTCCCCATGTATTCATCAAGGTTTATTCATCCCAGCTGGTTATTGATCCTGGCCCTGTGTGAACTCTAAATCGTTGGAGAGTGTCCCAGTATTTGTTATTTTCTTGGACGTTTTTCTTTGTGTAGCCTCATGGAGTTACACACCACATGTATGCAGATTGGTATTTGGCCAGAAACTCGAGAAGACCCCTTTTGCATGTTTTTGGAGCACTTTCTCTGTGTAACTTCTTCCTTTGTGGTTCGATGCCCTGCAAATTCTAGCTGTCTCAGACTTTACAAATTCTGAGCTCTGTCACGTCAGCTTAGTGAGACTACTGACTCTATTTGGCTTCCTCTCCCTGTGTTTTGGTTCTAGGCAGAAAGCTGGAGCAATCACAGGGCTCCCCTTGCTTGTTTTCCTTCTTTAGGGGATCATGTTTTCATATTGCCTCTTATCTCGTGTGAAAACTATTGTTTGGTATTTTGTCTAGTTTTCTACTTGTTTGTAACTGCAGGACAATTCTAGACTTTGCTTCTGGCTCATGACTAGAATTCAGAAGTCTTCTGCCTTCATTTTTTAAGGATATTCATGCCAGATAAACAATTTCGGGTTAACGGTTTTTTTTTCTTTCAACATTTTAAGGTCATCATTTCGTAATCTTCCGGTTTATATTATTTCTGATGAGAAGTCAGTGGTATTTCTTATAATTGCTCACTTAATGCAGTATGTATTTTTTTCTCATCCCACTGCTCTAAAGATTTCTCTTTTTATCTTTGGTTTTATGCAATTTTGTAAATTTTAGGGTTAGGTTACCTCTAATATAGAGGCATGCCTTTTCAGAGTCTGTGTTGAAAGCATGGGGTATTCAACAAGGTCTTTTCACTCTAGCTTAGCTGCTAGGAATTTTAATGTCTCCCGGACCTGTGCTTACAAGCTTAGGTAGTTGTTTGGTTCATACTGTTTAGTTGCTCTTTCCCTAGATGTTATTCTTTCACTGGTCTGATGGAGTATTGCGTGCACATGTGCAGCTTAGTCTCTAGGCAAAGATTCCGGAGATCTCTCTAAAGATTTCTGAAACTTTGTCTCCACAGCTCCCTTCTTCTAGTTTTGCTGCTCAAATTCCAGCAACCTTAGTAGCCTCAAACTTCAAGCTCTATTTCCTCAACTCAGTGAGATTCTTGTGTTTTGTGTGTGTGTGTGTGTGTGTGTTTCCCCTGTATGGGGTATAAGCAGAAAGCCAGGGCATTTGTGAGTCTTTGTTTCTCTTTTCTCAGGAATCACAATCCTGTGCTGCCTCTTGTCCAATATCTGAAAATAATATTTCATGTATATTGCCGAGTTTTATAGTTGTTTACCGAAGATCTAGCCCAATACAGTTTACTCCATCATAATTGAAAGTGGAAGTTTAGGAGTTTACTTTTTCTTCTTTTTAAAAACTCTTTACAGTTTTTGGTATATTATACTTTTTAGACTATGGCTTTATTTTTAAAAATCATGTCAGCTCATATTTTAATTTTCAAGTGATACAGAGAGTTACAGAAGAAATTTTTTAAAAAAGGAAAAATAACTCAATATCCCCAAACCCAAAGTTTACCAGTTATATGAACATCATTTTGGGTATCTTTTATTGCACATCTACTCAGAAGGATAATTATTTTATTTTTAAAATGCCATTCATACTATTTCTGATATAAGGCATTTAAGTTTAATTAACAGAGCTAAATTTGTTAAATAAAAGCAATATGGGAAAAACTGCTCAACCACAGATAAATATTTACTACCAGAGATAATACTTTCTAAAAGATTTTTCTCTAGGCTTAAGAAATAAGATTACAGAAAAAGCCGAAGAGCTTAGAGTTATGATATCAATAATTGTGTGCTCCAATAGGTCTCTCACATAGAAAAGAATAAAGTATTGGCAAATATCTTGCTGGTAGGAACATACAGTGATACAGCTTTCTAAATGGCAGTTTGGCAATATTCAGAATCCTTAAAATGTTCATACCCTTTGCCCAAGTTTAATTTTTAGGAATTTATTATAAGGAAATAAGAGATGCACACAAATGTGTATGTTACTTATTCATTACAATGGTATTTATAATGTTGAAAAATTGGAAGCCTCAAATGATTAGGTTATGCTATAGTTGTGTAACCAAATACCATAAAACTATTACAAATCATGTTCTTTAAAATTTTTATTTAGTGTACTGTTCTGATTATAATAAAAATAACTGGCAGGAGATGGAAAATTAAGAGCTTTTGGATTTTGAGGGTTATAAGAAACTGTTCACAATATAGTGAATGATAAAAGCAGGATGATACATGTCCAATCCTTTTTTCCATTTTTGCAGATACTTTAGCTTGAGCTTTGTTGAGCTTTATAACTAGATTTAATGAAAGGAACACTTATTCTTACACTGTACGTGTAATATGTATCCTAAACTTTTTCCAAACTAAGGCAGTCTCTCATGTTTCATAGTTTAAAATTATGAGTTTCTATCAAACAGTTCTTTATGCACTTGAATAAATTTAATATTACTATCTTTCCTTTTTTCTTTTTTTCTAGAGCTGGTTTTAAAGAAGTTTTGATCTTGCTTTCTCAGCCAGTGTTCCTGCCCACTTCCTTGCAGGTGTGGATGTCCTTATGTTAAAGAAAGAATGGACGTCATAGTCTTCGTTTTCTCAGTAAAATATTATGTTTGACGTCTGTATCCCTGGCATCTTAAGCATATGGACCTGGTGCTCTTTAGGAACTCACTGTAGTGACTCAGCTCCACATATTTTGCTATATATAGAACATGTTGGAAACCCATAGCAGAAAATTAATAATTAAAAGTCAAAGCATTGTTGTGGTGAATGAACAAAGAAATAGGTGTGTCCTTCAGGGAAGCATCATTCATACCAGACCTGAAAGAAGAATGACCTTAACCTAAGTGGTCTAGAGGCTATTCCTCGGCAGTCGCAGATCCAGAAACTCAGTTTGGTCAGGGCACTGATTCTATTCTAAACAGATTTATGGAAAACTGATAAAGAAAGCAAAGGTAATTTAAAAAATTTATATTAAGAAACAATATCAAGCTATGATAGTCTGATGGCCCACCTTTTCATTGTAGGGTTATATCTGCTGAAAGGATGTGAGTGATTGGGTTCACTGATCAGAGCATGTTGTTCTGAAGTCTTATTATTTAACCTGAGTCTCAATGTTCTCATCATTAAAACTGTGATAAAAACTTGTACCTCATAGGATTATTGTGAGAACTAAAGATAATCCAAGTAAAGTGATTAGTACAATTCCTTGCACATCCTTGCTGTTCAGTAATTAAGATTGTTTTCTTGTACATCTGAATTTGAAGTCTTGAACTTAAAGGTTCACTTGATCTTGATTCCTGCAGACATTGCTGGGAACTGTACTGCTCTTGGTGTCATAGGATACTAACATTACTTCATTTACAAGAATATTTTTGTTCTGAATGGTAAAACTTTAATAACAAACTGTGATGAGTTTTTGCATAGATTATGTCTTACTGTGAGATCTGGCTATTTTACTACTTTGTGTCTATGGTAAGAATCTCTTAAAGAATTCAGCAGTATTTGCTTTTCCAATTTGGCATTTCTAAAACAGCTTGGTATTTTTTATAAAACCAGAAGTAAAATCCAGGTAGCAAATTTAGTAAGCTGTTTTTACTAATAACTGATAAATTTGTAAGATTAGTGTTCTGTGGTTAGTGTTTGTAATTCATTGTATTTGTAGATTGTGGTATTGTAAGGGATCTGGTCCAATTCCCTGTTTTTCAGATGAGTTTACAGAGAACCAGAGTGAAACTAAGCTAGACAGCTGATGCATCATAGGGGGTCCCTGGGACTGTGAGGTACCAGTGCAGCTGGGTGCAGGACAGTGAGGCCCTTAATATAAGTGTGTGTACTCTGGAGGAGGCAAGGAGAGGAGCCAAGTCTTCCTTTTGGGTGTCAGCATCCTTTCTTTCACACGGTTCTGAGAAAGCAGTATTGAATTAAGCAGCAAGCTTGCTGTCCCGAGGTGCAGACATCCTGAGTGAGTCCGTTCTGCTCCTGCCTGCTCCTGCTTTCTTGATTAGTCAAATCCAAATCAGAGGTGAATGAACAAATGTCCTTTTTGTGTCAGGTGTCATGTCTACTACCTAGACATTACAGCAGTTGAGACTTATCTAAGAGCATTTTCATGGCAGAGCTGAGACTCCTTTGTATTGCAGTGCCTCTCTACTTTAAATGAATTTATTTTCTCTTCCATGGAAGAGATTTATATGGGAGACTTATTAAAGAATGTTTTGACATCTATTTAGATGTTATTCCCTAACTGTACTCCATAGTACTTTATTATGCACAGTCTTGGTGTCTAATTATCTCAGATCTGCATTGTCTCCTTTGCCAAGTCTCTGAGGCCCTGTATCATTTTGATCTCTCTTTTGTATGACCCTTAGGGCATGGGATATTTTAAGCATTCAATAATTAACTTGACTAGTAGGTAAATATTTGTTATCAGTTTTTTAATTGCACCAAATTTTACATTTTAGCATAATGGAAAACATGAAGAGCTGGATTTGCTACTTAAAGCTCATATCCTCAGAAGGTTTAAGATAGAGAAGTTATCTAGTGCTGTTGTCATTTAAAAGGAGCCTAGTGCTTCCACATTAGACTT
The DNA here is from genome assembly GCF_000001405.40 of Homo sapiens. Lineage (NCBI taxonomy): Eukaryota > Metazoa > Chordata > Mammalia > Primates > Hominidae > Homo > Homo sapiens. The sequence goes on from NC_000002.12 coordinate 46,721,585, forward strand.
ATATTTAATACGTTAAGAATTAAAATTAGGAAGAGTGAGATAGGTCACTTACTTAAATAGTTTTTAGTCATCTGGTTAGTCTACTAACTTTTATGGCATCATCCCAAAATATATGTAGTTACAAATAATGAATAGCTGTCTTCTTTGAATTATAATCCTCTGTGTGTTTTGTTGTACTGATTTGCTGTGGGTTTATCTTGGAGGAAAAAGAAATATTTCATGCCTTCTTAGGATGGTTTTACAGAGGGGTGCAACTGTGACCAGTCTAAGTACTTGATCCCAGTCCGCATTCAAAGTGCATGTTTTTGGTGTCAGAGGGAATTAGGTGAAAAAAATATGGATAGATTAGTATAAATCTGTAACTGCTATTAGAAAAAACAGGCACATTCCATATTAATAATGGACAGTATTGTCATTTCTATTTCAAGGACCCAATGAATATCTAGTATGAATATATAATCTTTATTTAAACTTCTATTTGATTGTATATACTCTGTTTGCTTTGTCTTAAATTCTCTTTTTTACATGGTGATATTAAATATTTGTGTTTAGTTGATATTAAGTGTTAATAGCCTCTATGGGTGGTTGAAAGATATGCTTGTTTCTCAGTCTAAAGTTTATACCCATGTCATATCTTTGTAAGTAATTTTTTAAAGTCTCCTTCCAGCTGTCTTCATTCTCCTGTTTCACTGATGCACACATGCTCAAAGGATTTAAGACATTTTGTATACATTTGCCAGTCAAGGGGGAAAAAAATCTGTCAACCACGTCTCCAGAGTCTGCTTTTTCAATTAGTCTGTCATTCACATTTAACTTGAGGTATATGTAGGCCAGTAGGTTAGATTAGTGAGTATATTCAAGCTGGCTTCTTTTATTCATCGTAATGTCTTTGAAAATCAGCCAGGTTGTTGTATGTATCAATGGTTGATTCCATTTTGTTGCTCAAGAGTATTCCTTTGTATAGCTGCACTAACAGTTTGTTTATCCATTCACCTGTTGAAGGACATATGGGTTATTTCCAGTTTGGAGCAATTGTGAATAGAACTGTTATAAACATTTATATATGGGTTTTTGTGTGAACACAGTTTTCATTTCTCTAGGATAAATACCAAGGGTTGGGATTGCTGGGTCATATGGCATATGTATGTTTAACTTTATCAAGAGTTGCCAAACTGTTTTCAAGAATAGCTGAAAACAGCCCCACTCACAATGTTATGAGAGTTCTAGTTGCTTTGCATCCTTGTCAGCATTTTGTGTTACCACCACTTTTTATTTTATTTGTTCTTATGTCATTTTGGCTTTAATTTGGATTTCTCTAATGTCTAATAACGTTGAATATTTTTATGTACTCAGTTGCCTTCCATCTGTTCTTTTCAGTGAACTCTGTTCAAGTCTTTTGCCCATTTTTAATGGCTGTTATATGCTTTCTTAATGTTGAATTTTGAGAGTTCCTTACATATCCAGGATACAGATCCTGTGTCAGATATGTCATTTGCCAATATTTTCTCCCAGTCTATACTTTGCTTTTCATACTCTTCACATTGTCTTTCATGGAACAAAAGTTTTTAATTTGGTGAAGTCCAGTTCATAATTTTTTTTTCTTTTATGGGTGGTACTTTCGGTGTCATGTCTAAAAATTCTTTGCTTCACTCCATGTCCCAATGATTTTATCTCATGTTCTGAAAGTTTTATAGGTTGGCATTCTACAAAACATTAGATCTGTGATCCATTTTGAGTTATTGTGTAAGGTCTTCTGAAGTTTAGGTTAAGGTTCATGTATTTTGTCACAATGATTTTATCTCATGTTCTGAAAGTTTTATAGGTTTGCATTCTACAAAACATTAGATCTGTGATCCATTTTGAGTTATTGTATAAGGTGTGAAGTTTAGGTTAAGGTTCATGTATTTTGGTATATGGGTGTCCAATTGTTACAACACCTATTGTTTAGGGAAAGACTACCCTTTCTCCCTTGAGTCATCTTGCACTGTTGTCAGAAATCAATTGGTCACATTTGTGTGGGTCTCTTTCTCAGCTCTATTCTGTTTCGTGTATCTGTCCTTTCCCTATATTACAGAATGTTTTAATTACTGTTGGTTTTTATGATGTTTTTAAACCTTATGATTTATGATTCTTTCAGTTTTATTCCTCATCAAAATTATTTGGCTATTCTAGTTCCTTTGCCTTTGGTTTCAGAATCAGTTTGTCTGTATCAGTGCAAAATATCCTGGGGAGGGGTTGATTAGAATTGTGTTAAATCTGTAGATCAGATGAGAAGAATTGACATCTTTACTGTGTTGAGTCTTCCAGGCCTTGAATGTGGTAGCTCTCTGCTTATTTACATCTTTTCTTATTTCTTTCATTGTGTTATTAGTTGTACTAAAGAAGCTCTTGTACATGTTTTGTTAGATTTCATATTTCATTATTTCAGAGCTATTATGATTGGTTTTTAAAATTTTTAGTTTCTGACTGTTCATTGGTAATATATAAAAATATGATTGACTTTTGTGTGTTGACCTGTATCCTGTGACCTTGTAATCTTACTCTTTAGTTGTAAGAGGTTTGCTTGGTAGATTCTTTGGGATTTCTGTGTAAATAAATATGTCTGCAAATGGAGATAGTTTTATTTCTTTCTAATTTGTCTGCTTTTTTTTTTTTCTTCTTGCTTCCTTTCACTGGCTAGGATGTCAAATACAATGTTGACTAGAAGTGACAAGAGTAAATATCATTGATTCCAATTATAGAGGGGAAAGCATTTTTCCCAACTATAGAGTGAAAGCATTCAGGCTTTCACCATTAAGCATGACGTTAGCTGTAGGCATGTCCTTTTATGTGATTTGGGTTTGTTTTGCTCTTTTTTTCTTCTAGCTTCTTAAGGTGGACAGTTAGATTACTGATTTGATAAGTTTCTTTTTTGTTAATATAAGTATTTAATGCCATACATTTTCCTCTGAGCATTGCTTAACTACATCATACAAATGATGTATTTTTATTTCCTTTTCAGTTCGAGATATTTTCTAACTTCATTTGAGACTTCCTTTTTGACTTGTGGATTACTTATAAGTACATCACTAAATATCTAGATTTTTGGAGATTATTTCTGTTATTTATTTGTAATTTAGGTTCATTATGGTCAAACAACATATTTTATGTTGCTTCAGTTCTTTTAAATTTGTTAAGATTTGTTTTATGGCCTAGGATGTGATCTGTCTTGGTGAACATTTTGCATGTACTTGAAAAGAAAGTGTATTTTGTTTGCTCTTCCTGGGTAGAATGTTTTGTAGATGTCAACTAGATACAGTTGGTTGATGGTGTTCTATCTTCTGGTTGATATTTTTGTCTATTAGATTTTTGTTGCATAGTTTTTTGAGAGGAGGGTGTTGAAATCTCCAACTGTCATTGTAGATTTGTCTGTTTCTCCTTCCAGTTCTGTCTGTTTTTGCTTCATATATTTTGAAGTTCTGTTGTTAGGTGCATACACATTTAGGATTATATTTTCTTGGTGAATTGGCCTTTTCATTATTATGTTGTGGCTCTTTTTATTCCTGATAATTTTCTTTGCTTTGAAATGTACCTATTTGATAATGATATAGCCAGTTCAGGTTTCTTCTTATTAATAGTTCTATGTTATATCTTTTTTCATCCTTTTACTTCTAACCTACTTATCTCATCATATTTGAAATAAATTTCTTGTAGGTGGCATACAATTGGGTCATCCTTTTCAAAAAAATCTAATAATTTTGTCTTTTATTGGTATTTTTAGGTTATTTACATTTAATATAATTACTGATACGTTTAGATTTGGCTCTGCTGTTTTATTATTTGCTTTCTGTTTGTTCTCTTTGTTTATTGTTCCTCTTTTCCCCCTTCCTGCTGTCTTTTGAGTTATTTAAACAGTTTTTAGTACTCTATTTTAACATAAGTATTTTTCCACCTAAGTGAGTTGTAGAAATCTTAACACCATATGTATTTCTCTGCCTTCTTTCTTGTTTGTTGTATTGTCTTTTATATTACATCTACATACATATAAAACCCCATCAGACAATTACATAGTTTCTGCTTTGAACCCAATGGGTACTGTTTTTTTGTTTTTTGTTTTTTTAAACCTCAGCATTCATTGGATGGTTACCATTTCTTTGTTCTTCCTTAATTATAGATAATACATTTTTTCCCTTGATATCATTTCTCTTCTATCCTTTAGTAACTCCTTCAGAGTGGATCTGCTGGTAATGAATTCTCATAATTTTACCTTTATTCAAAAGTGTCCTCATTTTACTTACTTCCCTAGAGTCTGAGTTGACAATTATTTTCTTTCAACCCTTTAAAAATGTGCTGTTTCCTTTCGAACTGCATTGTTTCTGGTTAGAAATTTATAGGCAGTCAAATTACTATTCCCCTATAAGTAATGCGTCACTTTTTTTTTTCTTGCTACTGTCAAAATTTTTCGTTTTTATTTTTTACCTGTTTGACTATGATATGTCTGGGCATGGATTTCTTTGGGTTTATTTAAAAATTTATTTATTTATTTTTTTGTAGACGGAGTCTCGCTCTGTCGCCCAGGCTGGAGTGCAGTGGTGCAATCTCAGCTCACTGCAACCTCTGCCTCTCCGGTTCAAGCAATTCTTCTGCCTCAGCCTCCTGAGTAGTTGGGATTACAGGCGTGCACCACCATGCTCGGCTAATTTTTTGTATTTTTAGTAGAGACGTGGTTTCACCATACTGGCCAGACTGATCTAAAACTCCTAACCTTGTGATCCACCCGCCTCGACCTCCCAAAGTGCTGGAATTACAAGGCATGAGCCACTGTGCCTGGCCCTCTTTGGGTTTATTCTACTTGGTTTCTCTGTGCTTCTAGAATCTGATATACACTGTATCTTTTACTAACTTTGTTAAAGTTTTCAGCCGTTATTTCCTCAAATATTTTTCTCCATTGCTGTCTTTCACTCTCCTTTCAGGATACCAGTGACACGAATGTCAGACCTTTTGATATCCCAAAGGTTCTTATGGCTCTCTGTTCACTATTTTTCTCTTTGTTGTTCAGACTAGATCATTTCTACCAGTCTATCTTCAAGTTCACTGACTTTCCTATGTCATCTCCATTTTGCTTATTAAGCCCATCCAGTGATTAATTTCAGTTACAGTATTTTTCAGTTCTAAATTATTATTATTATTATTATTATTATTATTATTTTGCAATGGAGTTTCGCTCTTGTTGCCCAGGCTGGAGTGCAATGGCGCGATCTTGGCTCACTGTAACCTCTGCCTCCTGGGTTCAAGCGATTCTCCTGCCTCAGCCTCACGAATAGCTGGAATTACAGGTGCCTGCCACCATGCCCGGCTAATTTTATATTTTTATTAGAGACGGGGTTTCTCCATGTTGGTCAGGCTGGTCTCGAACTCCCGATCTCAGGTGATCCGCCCACCTCAGCCTCCCAAAGTTCTGGGATTACAGGCATGAGCCATTGTGCCCAGCCTAAAATTTTCATTCTGTTCTATTTAATGGCTTCTACTTATTTGTTGAGACCAATTTGTTTCAAGAGTGTTTTCCCTTGTTGGAGCCTTCTTTTTTTTTTTTTTTTTTTTTTGAAACGGAGTCTTGCTCTGTAGCCCAGGCTGGAGTGCAGTGGCACGATCTCAGCTCACTGCAAGCTCCGCCTCCCGGGTTCACGCCATTCTCCTGCCTCAGCCTCCCGAGTAGCGGAGCATTTTTATAATAGCTGCTTTAAAGTCTTTGTCAGATAATTCAAATACTGTGTCATCTCAGTGTTGGTGTCTGTTTATTGTCCCATGCAAGTTGATATTTTCTGGGTCCTTCATATTCTAAGTAATTTTAGATTGCATCCTGGGCATCTTCAATATTACATTATAAGACTCTGGATCTTACTTAAATTCCATGGAGAATGTTGCTATTTGTGTTTTAGCAGTCAGTTGAGTCTGTTGGGTTCAACCTTCAAGTTGCAGCCAGCTTTCTGTGGGTGGTGATTTCAATGTCAGTTTGTTTTCAAAGCCTGTAGTGCTTCGCTGTTTGGGTCTGTCCTATATGCAGTATCAGTCTGATACTGTTCCAGTCAGTTCGAGATAGGTGGTAATCTCTCTCTTAGTTCAGTTCTCATAGTTTTTGGTTTGCTGTTTAGGTTGAGATCCATGCCATGTTCAGCTCTGGGATGAAGCCAGGAGTTTATAATCAACTTTATGGATTCACTTTGCTGTGAGTTCCTCCCTCTCAGCAATTTCCTTTATACTTTCTGCTGCCGACCTCTTTTCAGTCCTTGAGAGGAAAAGCTGGGTCTTTTTCTACTCTGCTCACTTCCTGTGATTGCACCCACATCCAGGGCTAAGTGGTAGGAGTACAGAGAGGAAAAAAAAGTTGATGGAGAGAGGTTGCCTACTCTCTTGAAACAACAGCTTCTGGGATAGTGGAGGAATGTTTCCCTCCCTCAGAGTTTTAGGTACCTGTGGGCGCCTAACTGTTAACTGCCAGGATCCTTTTCCCAGTTTCTTAAGCCTGAACTGGAGGGCTTCTCCTGGATCTCTGCATTGATTTCCACTTCCAGGTTTCCCCCAAGTCCAGGTGGCAGGATACAAGAGGAGAAAAAAGTAAACTTACCACTGGTTCCATGCTACCATTGAATTTTGATATTTTGCCATCTACCTCCCACCATTTACTTTTCAGAATCTTTAAATAGCTGCTCCAAGCATTCTGGGGTTTTATAGCTATATTCAGTAGGAGAGACAGGATGGAGTGTTTTTACTCTATCTTGGTTTGCATTGAAGCAATGTGTACTGTTAAGTATGATATTCATTTATTCATAAGCCAGCACACGTAGCTATCATTTGAGTGCTTACTATGTATTGGGCACTTATTACATATATTATTTGTTTAATTCTCCAATAATTTTCCTCATTTTAGGCATGAGGAAATTTAAGGGTAAAACTGTTTACCTGTGTCCATAGATGTTAAATACAAGCAGGGATTTTTATTTCTTCCTTTTCAAGATAGAATCTTGCTCTGTCACCTAGGCTGGAGTGCAATGCTGCTATCTCAGTCACTGCGACCTCCACCTCCTGGGTTCAAACCATTCTCCTGCCTCAGCCTCCCGAATAGCTGGGACTACAAGTGTGTGCCACCATGCCCGGCTAATTTTTGTATTCTTAGTAGAGATGGGGCTTCTCCATGTTGGCCAGACTGGTCTTGAACTCCTGACCTCAAAGTGATTCGTCCATCTTGGCCTCCCAAAGTGCTGGGATTATAGGCATGAGCCACCACGCTGGCCAGCGATTTGTATTTCTGACCCCCAAAGCTTTTCCATTTGCCTCTAAGCCAGTGGTTCTCAAAGTGTGGTACCAGGGCTAGCATCGTCAGAATCAACCTGGGAACTTGTTAGACACACAAAATTTCTGGCTCTACCTCAGATCTACTGAATCAGAAATTCTGGGAGTGAGACCCCATAATTCGTTTTGACAAGCCGTCTGTTATCCTGATACATGCTTAATTTGAGAACCATTTATCTGTGCTGTATAACTTCACAAGCACTATGTGTGGTTTAGTTTCTTAGCAAAACCTTAATATAAGAAACTAGTTTTTCACCATTGTTTGAGACATATGCTATATGCTAAAATCTAATTTTTTACTAACATCACTGACATATAGCTTGAAATTCACACTGTGTTACTCAAGATAACAGTAGTTAAAATATAAATACTGTGACTTAAAAAATTTAAATGTATGCATATAATAGGGGATCCAAAAGTAGCCATAGTTGCTTAACAACAGGGATACGTTCTGGGAAGTATGTCATTAAGCGATTTCATTGTTCGACCATCATAGACAAGACTCACACAAACCTAGATGGTATAGCGTACTATACACCTAGGCCGTATAGCGTAGCCTGTTGCTCGTAGGCTACAAACCTGTATAGCCTGTTACTGTACTGAATACTCTAGACAGTTGTATCACAATGGTAAGTATTTATGTATCTAAACATCTATACACAAAGGGTACAGTAAAAATACAGTATAAAATATTTTTAAATGGCACACCTGTATAGGGCACTTGTTTTGAATGGAGCTTGCAGGACTGGAAGTTGCCGTGGGTGAGTGAGTGAGTGAGTGGTGTGTGAATGTGAAGGCCTAGAACATTACTGTATTGTAGACCTTATAAACACTGTACAGTTAGTCTACACTAAATTTACTTAAAAATCTCTTTCTTCAATAACAAATTGACCTTTAGCTTCCTTTAACTTTTTTACTTTGTAGACTTTTTAATTCTTTATAACTTTTTGCCTATTTTGTAGTAGTACTTGTTTTAAAACACAAACATATACAGCTGTACAAAAATGTTTTTTCTTTATATCCTTATTCTATAAGCTTTTTTCTGTTTTTAAATTTTTAGCTTTTTTGTTAAAGACTAAGATACAAACACACACATTGTCCTGAGCATACACTTGGTTAGGATCATCTAGACATCATTAGAATAGGAGTTTTTCAGCTCTGTTATGATCTTAAAGGACCACCATCATATATGCCGTCTCTCATTGACCCAAACATCATTATGCAGCACATGACTGTATATGTAAAGAAATCAATCTTAGATACGGATTTTGGCCAACAAATCACTTCACATCTGGTAACTACTATGCCATGTAATGCTCGGTATTTTAAGTTTCAGGATATTAATACTGTTTGTCCTAGATTTCAGGGTAAAACTTTTGAGATTGGCTTAGATTAAGATTAGGTTGGCCAGGCATGGTGGCTCACGTCTGTAATCCCGGCACTTTGGGAGGCCGAGGCGGGCGGATTGCTTGAGGCCAGGAGTTTGAGACCAGCCTGGCCAACATGGTGAAACCCCGTCTCTACTAAAAATACAAAATTAGCCAGGCATGGTGGTGGGCGCCTGTAATCCCAGCCACTTTGGAGGCTGAGGCAGGCGAATCGCTTGAACTCAGGAGGCGGAGGTTGCAGTGAGCCAAGATTGTGCCACTGCAGTCCAGCCTGGGCGACAGAGTGAGACTCTGTCTCAAAAAGATTGAATGGCCCATATTTGGAGAATGGGTCCTATTTCATACAATTTTTTCCCATGAAATATTAAATGTATAACTAAATTTAATTTGCATATTCCTAGAAGACATTTTATATACACTTGCTAATTGATGGGAAAAAATCTATCAATCACATTTCCGGAGTCTGCTTTATTAATCAGTCTATAATTCTCATTTACCTTGAAGTATATGTAGGCTAGGATATCGGATTAGTAGGTATATTCAGATATGAAGGTTAATTATGGACCATTGTCTCTTTTGTGTTACATTTTGGGGTCAGAAACACTTGTGTTTAAGTCCGAGCTCTCCTTTTACTAATAAGGTTGGTGGGGGTTTGGAGCACAGCAGGTGTTACTAATTCTCCATTGTAGAAGTAGGCTTTATAGCCATTCTTTTTATATTCGATTTTAAGTCCATTACTCCATTGTGTCTGCATTAGCAAGATGCGTACCATCTGCTGGATACTCTTCAAGGAGTATCAGTACTAAGGTGGAAAGGGCTGCTGTAGACTGAATGTTCGTATTCCCCCCAAAATTCATATGTTGAAACCTAATCCCCAGTGTGATTATATAAGGAGGTGGAGCCTTTGAGAGGTGATTAAGTTATGAGGATGATACCCTCATGAATGGGATTCGTGCCTTTGTACGGAGCTGAAAAGATGAGAGTTCTCCTTCCACCATGTGAGGTTACAGTGAGAAGATGGCCATCTCTGAACCAGGAAGCAGGTCCTCACCAGACACCAAATCTGCCAGTGCTGTGATGATCTTAGACTTTCAGCCTCCAGAACTATGAGAAATACATTTCTTTTGTGTATAAACCACCCTGTTTATGGTGTTTTCGTTATGACAGCCAGAAAATACTAATACTAAGACAAGGACCCTGCCCTCAAGGAGTTTACTGTCTATTGAAATAAACAGGAAAGGACTTACGCAAAAATGTGATTCTTATGACACAGATATGTACAAAGGACTGTGGATGTGGTATGTTGGAGCCAGGTTTGGCCAGTAGAACTGAACTGTTGTTGGTACATATACCACAGAAACCAGCAAAATACTGCGTCCAGTCAGTTCTGCTATAATGAGATGTATACATTCTTAAAAATCACCAAGTGTAGGGAGAAATAAGATTGAGGCACAACCCATAAAAGTTTCATCAGTAACACATTTTTAAAAGAAATAGGAACCTAATAAAAATGATAGCACCATTTTAACAGTTTTACATAAGAGAAACATAAAAACTACAATAAATATGGCACTTTACCTTAAAAAAGACCTGAAGTTTGCATGTGAAGGTAGTCATGGGAAAAGTTGCCTCTTGTGAGATACTGTGAAATGGTGGAAGGACAGTTGCCTAAAATCTGAGGAAAAGTTAACACCAGATGTGGATGGCTGTGGCTGGTAACTTAAGAGATGTACTGAGGTAGCTAGGAGATGTTTGAGGTATATGTGTTGTGTATTCCTATGTTCAGGCTCTGTGGCTGGATGCAGTTTTATTTCATTCATCTAGTGTTAAATGGCACATAAGAAAATGGGATTCATGTGTTCATGTTGTGCCCTAGTGTAACCAGCACATTGAAACAAATTGTAGTTTTCAAAACAAACATTATAGTAGAACTGACTGTATCAGGGCTTTTATTCCATTCCGAGAGCACACCACTGGAAGGAGCTGTCAGTCAGCCTGGAGGAGTCTTGGATGCCTTTACAGGGAAGATGATGAGTGAACTGAGACTTGCCGAATGAGTGTAGTAATGTTTTTGCTAGGTATAGTGTAAGTAGAGGGAGGGCATTCCAAGCAGAGGGAACAGCAGCTTGTGGAATAGCATGCAGAAGGAAGCCTGGTGTCTCCAGAAAACTCCTATGTAGTTTGAACTTGGAAAGAAAAAGAAACACTGTTAATGAAACTTAGTGGTTAGGCAGGAGCCAAATTCATCATGGCCCAATGTGCCACTTGAAAGAATTTACATTTTATCCTTCAAGGGGTAGAGACCACTGAAGAATTTTGAACAGAAACTATTTCCCAGTGCTGATTTATGTAACACTCCTGGAGACAGTATGGAAGATAGTTTGAAGCAGGCCCAGCTGGGCTCTGAGAATCTGGAGGTAAGGAAGAACCAATGTGTATCTTTAATAGGCTTGACCCCTTTGAGAATATTATAAAAGCTATAGATGCTCACTGGCAACTGTGTCCTTTCTTTGTTCCTAGAAATCATTATCACTGTAATTTCATCTCTTGATATTAAGGGCCAGGGCCATGCGAGTTAGTCTTTTATATGGTGATGAGTTAGGTGAATTTATAATCAACTTTCACAATAGCTGGTTTCACTGTTAGCTTTATTCTTACAATGTTTAAAAATCGTGTGGTGAATCATAATTGGAGAGATTTTAACATCTTAATGTGTATCCACTGGCAAATAATTACGTGGGTCAAAGGCCTGTTTACATACTAGATTCCTATTTTTGCCCAAATTATTTTTATTTTATTTATTTATTTTTTGAGGCAGAGTCTCGTTTTATTGCTCAGCCTGGAGTGCAGTGGCGCGATCTCAGCTCACTGCCATCTCCGCCTCCCGGGTTCAAGTGATGCTCCTGTCTCAGCATCCTGAGTAGCTGGGATTACAGGCGCATGCCACTATGCCCAGCTAAGTTTTATATTTTTAGTAGAGATGGGGTTTCACCATGTTAGCCATCCTGGTCTTGAACTCCTGGCCTCAGGTGATCCACCCATCTCAGCCTCCCAAAGTGTTGGTATTATAGGCGTGAGCCACCATGCCCAGCCAGTCCCAGATTATTTTATAATAAAGAATAACTAGTTGGGTGTGGGGCCCATGCCTGTAATTCCAGCACTTTGGGAAACTGAAGTGGGGGGATCACATGAGTCCAGGAGGTCGAGGCTGCAGTGATCCTGGATTGCACCAGCCTAGGTGACACAGTGAAACTGAGACCCTGTCTCAAAAAAAAAAAAGAAAAAAAAAAAAAAAGGAATAACCATTGTAAGGGATGAATAAATAATAAGCAAGTAAAATTCAAGGTTAAAAAAAGCTATAACATTCTTTCAAGCAAAAGTTACAAATAGATACGAATGATTTGAATAACATCTAAATGAAGAAAGCCATGTATCTCACTCTTTAAAAAATCAGTATTTTCCCACAGTGCTCCTTAGCAAGTGTTTTGGTGCCTGTTACAGAGTAAGGTGCTGAGAAAACTCATAATCTGGTTGAAGATACTAATGACACACCAAGAGTAATTGAAAGCAGGAATATCAGGTTAAAACATAAAAACCATGTCCTACAGTTTTCTAGTTAATAAACTGTCCCACACTCCATTTAGGATGTAATCAGTATGCAGTAACTATTTATTAAAAGACTGAAATGTAGTACTTAACGGAGAGTTAGAAAGAAATAATGGAAACGTTGTGGGACTTCTTGGAATTTTCTGATCTTTGACACTTTGGACAGTATAATTAATGGATTATGGATTCACAGAGGCCATATACCCTTTCAGTAATTTGTCTCTGATACTTCTGTGGAGCAATAGTTGGTGCTGTTTTTTATTTTCTTAATAGGACACTGGTGGTTTTTTTTAATTAGAAAACTAAAATTTACAAAAATATTATACAGTCATTGCAGAAAATGAATGCCACTTGTATGAATAAAAATTAAAGCTCTTAATAACCTTTAAAAGCACTGATTTTTCTTTATAACCCTTTGAGAGGGGTCAGATCATCAAATACCAAGTTTCTGGTACTGTTCAGCTATCACTTACTAACCTATGACAGCCATTTGTGAAAGGAAACCTGCATACAGGTATAGGCATATAATAAAAAGGAATTTTATTATTGATAGATGGTTACAGTTATACAATAATTCATTGGCCTTAGTTCACTTTAATAGGCAGATATTTGAATCCTTACTTAATCTAGCCATTACCGAAGTATACATTTATCCATATTCTTCTCCCTTAACTCTCAGAATCATAATCTTTTCTTCATGTCATATTTCTTCTAGTCCTCAATATTTACTAAAATAATAATGTACCCTTCTCTTACAGAAATAAGATTTTTTTTTTCCTGAACCCCTGTCCTCATCATACCCAATCCATACTGCTTTGATTGTCTTCCAGCTGAGCCATTTGGTTCTTCTAGCATATGCAGAGAAATGAAGTCTTAGTCATTGAATAAGACCACATCCAGGAATAAAAGCACCTTTTAAACATGGCATGGAAGACGCTTGAGAGTCTCTCTCTTCCCCACTTTTCAGGTTGCTTTGTCTTTTACTTGACATCATCCGCCCCATACATCAGCCATCTGAATCATTTTCCATCTTTTGGAGAGCCAGGCCCTTTCCGGAGTCCATGCCTTTGCGGTATCTGCCTGAAATTCCATTTTCCACTTGGCACATAGCTATTCAGTCATTAAAACCTAGCTCATGATCACCTTTTCTGCGAAGCCTTTCCTGATCCCCTGCATTAGTTAGGATTAGTTGGGTACGGTAGCAAGTAACAGAGACTTCAAAATAAGGATGGCCTAAAAATGAGAATTTATTTCCTATCAAAGTTCAGAGTTTGCAGTGTAGGGCTAAAATGACAGCTCTGCTCCACGAAGTAATTTTCAGCTCATGGCTTTGGAAGCTCTCAGATTTGACCCTTGTCCTTATGGTTCAAAATTGAGGTGTCTTTGTTTTAAGCAGCAGTATGGAAGAAAAAAGAGACAAAGGGCATACACCAGCTGTTTCTTTAAAAAGCTTCCCTAAAGCCTCCCACACCATGTATCTGGTTGCATCTCATTGGCCAGAACTTAGTCCATGGCCACAAGGAAGGTTATATTATTATGGAAGAAAAGAGAACAGGTATGGGGACAATTGGCAGTCTGCCACATTACTCCAACTAGAGGTAGTTGCTTTGCACTTTGTGTTCCCAGAGCACTCTAATTATTTCACATTTAGGCTATATTGTCATTTGCCTTCTCTGCTTGATTCTGGACTTAACAGAGACTGTGTTTTTCATCTTTTTATCTCTAGCACTTTACATAAAGCTTAGCACATAGTCCATGTTCATACTTGTTGAATGAATGGATAAAGACATTTGGGAAGAGTACAGCAAAAATATCAGACATAAGCAGATGGCAGTATTTAAATACCCATGTGTACAAAGATAATTGCTTATGTAGACATTGATGTCTTTTCTTATACTTAATTTTTTTCCTATTTTCTCCATTATGTGAAAAGAATAGACACAGTCAATAGTAGAGGGCATGCCTCAAAATTGACCACACAGAACATAGAGTTATTTAAAAAGTAATATGATTCTCTGTGTTATACTTTATTATTGTAGTAAAATATACAAAACATAAAATTTGCCATTTTAACCATTTCTCTCTCTCCCCCATTCCCCTTCCCTTCCCTCCCCTTCTGTACCTCTCTTTCCCCCTCTCTCCCTCCCTCTTTTGAGACAGTCTCTCTCTCTGGCTCAGGCTGAAGTGCGGTGGTGCCATCATAGCTCACTGCAGCCTCGACTTTCTGGGCCCAATTTTGTCCTCCTGCCTTGACTTCCCAAGTAGCTGGGATTGTAGGTGTGTGCCACCATGCCCAGCTAATTTTTAACTTTTTTTGTAAAGGTGAGGCCTCACTATATTACCCAGGCTGGCCTTGAACTCCTGGGCCCAAGCGATCCTCCTGCCTTGGCCTCCCAAAGTGCTGGGATGACAGATGTGAGTCACCACACCTGGCTCATTTTAACCATTTTTAAGTGTATAGTTCAGTGGCATTAAGCACATTCACATTCTTGTGCAACCATCATCACCATCTATCTGCAGAACTTTTTCATCTTCCCCAACTGAGACTCTGTACTCATTAAAAACTAACCTCATTTCCTCCTCTCCGCAGCCCCTGGAAACTACCATTCTACTGTCTGTCTCTATGAATTTATTACTCTAGGAACCTCATGAGAAGAATCATCAGTATTTGCCCTTTTATGACTGGTTTATTCCACTTAGCACAATGTCTTCAAGGTACATCCATGTTGTAGCATGTGTTAGAATATCCTTCCTATTTAAGGCTGAATAATATTCCATTACGTATGTAGCACATTTGGTTTGTCCATGCATATGTTGATGGACGCTTGGGTTGTTGTGCTACCCCTAAACACCTATTACCCACAAACACAAGCCACATACAGGTTGGTATCCCTTACCTGAAATGCTTGGGACCAGAAGTGTTTTGGATTTCAGATTTTTTTTTTTTTAATATTTGCATTATGTTTACTAGTTGGGCATCCCTAATGTGGAAATTCGAAATGTTCCAGTGAACATTTCCTTTGAGCATTATGTAGGCACTCAAAAAGTTTCAGAGTTTGGACCATTTTGAATTTCAGATTTTTGGATTTAGGGATGCTCAACCTGTACTCACATAGCTTCTTGAAAGGAAATTTAAGAAAAGTACACTCACCTATATTAAGAACTTATTTTTCTAGCAAGTAATTTATCACCTCTCCCAATCTTAGCTTCTGAAATGTAAACTAAGAAAGTTATGAAGAACATTATCCAGGTGTTAAATCTTAAAAGTAGATCCAAGAGTGGAATTAGAGAAATACAGTGGCCTTTCACAATAAAAGACTAGATTTTAAGAGTCTCTTAATTATTTGGTGAGAGACACAGGACAGTACAATCTGTGAATTTCTATTCTTTTGAACTATGGAGATTTTATCATGACTGGACAATGAGAAGAAATGTTATAGCTGTAGCTTGATGGTTTTGCTTTTATAAAATTCTTCTGGTATTGAAGAGAAAAAGATTATTAATGGGTAAAGTAAGAAAAATTAACTCCATTCCTACTGGGTGACTTTTATTATCAGATAGCAATCTGATAACTGATTATTATTAGTTTGGTGACAATAATTATTTTTGGATGCTTGGTTGCTAATAATTTGCCTGATGCCTAGAAAATTCTGATTTGGGGTCTGTATTCTAGTGGGCATATAGCCCAAATTAGCAATCAGATTCTTCTACTAAAATTATCTGATCAAGCTTTCAGATAATTCATGCATTTACATAGAATACATATCAGTGGTTTAAACAGAATTTCACAGACGCTTTCCCATTGAAGCTGATTGTTTGGCAAAATGGTGAGTCATGCTTTACTGGCCAACTCACACACCAGTTGTTGATATAATCAGTTACCTGAGCCAAGATCAAAGCAGCAGAATAGAAGATAGTACCTTGGCTCTGATACCTTTCTGTCCTTTCTAAAAAAAAAAAAAATTGGGATGTAAATTTCCATCCCTCTCCTATGTGCTTTGGGTTTTAAGAAGCAATATAAGACCATTTTTTATCTTTAGAATCTTACAGTTGTAGAGATAAAATTGATATGCTTGAAATGATCTGAAAAGGTGAGAACAAATTGTGGTGTTAACTATAAACCCTTTTAGAGAAATCAACAGGGAGACATTTGAACTTGATGTAGATGTTAAAATTAGAATTGAATGGTAGAGGGCCAACTAAGGGAGGTATTTCAGAGTAAGGAGAAATTAGTTTGGATAAAGCAGGGCCTGATTATGGGTGGTAATGAGTGAATGTGAGGCGCAAGATGCTCAAACTGTTGAATGTTCCTAAAAGAAACAGAATCTGGCAGTATAATGAGTCCAGGAAGACAGGAGAGAGACTAAGGTGTTGTAGAAATCTAGGAATGAGACAAAAATCTGGACAAAGTTACTGGCAGTGAAAGTAGACAGAAAAGGTACACTGGAGGGACATCTTGAAAAAAGAAACTGTTGAACTAGGTAACATTAAATATGGTGGTATTAAGTGGAGGAAGAGCAAGATACTCTAAGATTTTCCCAAGAAATCAAGTACAATCCTGGTAAATAACATTTCAAGTACAAACCTGGGGAGACATATTGTTAATTTTGGATATAGTTAATTTGAGGTCCGATGGAGAATAGCCAGATTGGGACAGACTTTTAGGCTGTTAGTGGACTGAAGAGTGTGTGTTGAATGTGTGGACCCAAGTGTGTTTCCCATACACATCCAGTTGTATTTGAGGAGGTGAAAATTGGTCCTAGAGAATATTTGTTTATAACTGTAAAGGTAGGAACATATGTTCTCATAGCTTCTATGTATGTGTTAAAAAATCTTTAAGTCAAATAAAATTTTTTTCCCATTAGCATCATTTCACTTGAAGGAACTAGGTTGGTTAAATAGATGAAGTTCATCAATCACATCCAGGAAACTGAAGTTTTTTCCCATACAGTCAAATAAGAGAGCTAGTAAGCTGCATTTTGCTAGCAGTAAGTAAGATGCAGAACCAGGATAAGAACGCAGATTCTTTAAGGAACATCTTGGAATAAACATTGTGGCTGAATAATGTCATATCAATGAGCATTATATTCTTAAATATTGTAAATTATTGAACTATTTAACACGTTTAATTTTTACACCATTTGAAGTAATGTACCAGTAGAAAGTGGATGCTTCATGTTTTTCTTTGGTAGAATATTTAATTGGGTCGACTGTGCCAAATTTTATTTGTGGCTTTCTCTCTCAGAATGGCTCTTTTTGTTAATAGCAAAACATACATAACCATATGGAGTCAAAGAGAAAAAAAACTTGGCAGAAGACTATATCCATTGTTATTGGATTGTAAATTGTCATAAGATGTAATATCTTACAGGAATGATAGTTCGAAAGGTAATATAATTAGAGAAATAATAGTCTTGTGTAGGGGTGAACTATTATTGGAGTTTCACTGAAGGATACCTGAGGTGGTTGTTAGTAGCACTTTGCGAGTGCCTCCAAGTACAAGTACAGTACTGCTTTCTGCTTTCTTTGTTGTCTGTCTTGCGTATGCTGCTTTTTGGTTATTCTCCTTTTCTGTAGTAAAATGTAACCCATATATAAAAGAATAAATACATTATAAAGATACAGTTTAATGAGTAATTATAAAGCATATTTGCTACCCAGATTAAGAAATAGAATATTGCCAGTGAACCAGAAGCCTGCTGTGTGCCCTTTCCCAGTCATACTCCATCTGTCCCCACCCCATCGCATCCCCCAGAAGTAACCATATTCTTACTTTTGTGAACGTCATTTTTTCTTTCTCTTTAAACTTTTACCATCTATATATGCATCCCTAAATGGTATAGTTTAGTTTTGCCTCTTTTGTACACATGTCTACACACATATGTATACATGTCAGTATTCGTGTGTATATTTTTATTTCTCTAATCCATTGTGCATATACTATTCCATTGTATCAATATACTATAAGATATTTATTCTGCTCTACTTTATAATATTGAAAAACGCAGCTGTGACCAGTTTAGGAAATAATGCCCAGGAGGATCTCCTCTCTCAGAGAACTAAGGTATTAACGTATTCAAACGGAAGCCTTTATCTGTAGAATACTTGTTAATATCATGTGGTATACTAGAATTCTAGGGAACATGAGTTATGAAATACTGGATAAGACCTTTTGTTATTACATTTTGTCACTGAGTAATTTCAGTGCCTGCTATTCCTACAATCATGTCTAAGGAGAACATTCACTGAGGGAGTAAACTAAGGTAGCTGTGCTTTCAATCGTGAATGACCTTACCTTACCTGGCCATAGGTGATTGGACTGGCATGGGTATCCAAATTAAAGTCACCAGTGATTGGTCGGCCACTGCCCAACCAGGTGGAAGCACAGAAAGTTGTCTCCACATGGGAATGAGCTTAACCAATCAGGTTCTGACAGGCCTTACAATTGGCTATATTTGGTTAAAGAAATACAGCTTTTGCTTTTAATTTTCTGTCTGGATGTACTCCAGATAGACAAGGTGGAGTACTGGTTACTGTAAGGATACACATGATGTGTATCATAAAACTCACAAAAAGAAATAGAGATTGGCAGTTAAGTATTGGAAGCAGAATTTGAAAAATCAAGAGAGAGATAGGAGGGGCCTGTGATAGATCAAGAATTAGCAAAAGGTATGAGAAAGTGGCACCTGTGAGGAAGAAGAAGAATACAGAGTCTAGAAGCAGAGATACCAGCTGGTGGCTGGAGGTAAATCACATATCTAAAGCTGATACCCAGGGAGTTGCTGGGTCCCAGTAAGAACCAGAGTTCTAGAATGAGGATCTGCCACTGCCTACTGCTCCTCTTGCTGCTTCCTAGGGAAGCTCTGGAACCAGACCCTTCTCAGTCCCAGTATCCTTGAGGCCCAGACCCACTTGTGTCACTGATTTTGTTCTTGGACTTCTGACCTGTTTTCCTTATCAAATCCGTGCTTATTAATCAGGATCCTTCCTCAGCCATACACACCCACATTTGAGTATGTCAGAACCTTGCAACCAGAAGAGACTCATAAATGAGTTGAAATTCATTAGTGATATTACTTACCACTAATTCCTAATACTGTTTGAGAAAGTCACGCTGGCTTGAGTGGAGACCTGTATTTGCGATTCCTTTCTCCATTGATTGTGTTCTCTGCCCCTGTAACCCACCATTTATTTGTGTCTCTTCCCTTCCTCACCGTTGCTTCATCTTTAAAAAGTTTTTAAAATATTTCATTATTCATTTCTTCTGCATTTTGCATATATCTTTGAGTTTATAATATGAAATTAGATTGATCTTTTTCAAGATCGACTTCCTTTTTCTTTTATTTATTTGAAACGGAGTCTCGCTCTACCACTCAGGCTGGAGTGCAGTGGTGCGATCTCAGCTCGCTGCAACCTCCACCTCCCAGGTTCAAGTGATTCTTTTACCTCAATGTCCAAGTAGCTGGGATTACAAGCGTGCGCCACCATGCCGGGCTAATTTTTGTATTTTTACAAATCCCAAAGTGTTGGGATTACAGGCGTGAGCCACTGCACCTGGCCCCAAGATCTACTTCCTTTTTAAATAACATTTTAAAAATATTGAATCTAATATTTTGGAAAGTACAACAAAGAAAAAAAATGAAATTACAATAAATAGAAACTATCCAGAAATAACCACAGTGATATTTCCTAACTATATTTTTTAAAAAATGTTTGTGATATAGATGTGTGTTGAGGTCTGTTTAGTTGTACTATTTTATAACCATTTTTATTTAATATCATGAACATTACCAGAATATTAAATGCCCCAGAAACATGGTTTTTTATGTCTATTATTTCAGCATGTAAAGGCACCAGAATTTATTTAACCATTCTTCTATTCACTGAGCAATATGATTATTGCCAATTTTTTCCTAATATAACTAATGCTATGATGAATATTTCCTGCATATAAATCTCCATCCTTATCTGATTATGTTCTTGGAATAAATTTCTAATTGGGAAGCCTTAGATAGAAAGATGTGCATAGTTTTCAAGCTTTAGTACATAATATACAATTTCCTTTCTGAAACGTCATGTGGATCTATGTTCTCACATTAGTGTGTGACAATGCTACTTTCTCAATACCCATGCTAGATAGTACCATTAAAATGTAAAAGAAATAAAAACAAACTTTGACAGGTTGATAAGTGATAAATTTGTATCACATTTTAATTTGGATGTCTTTGACAAATTCCAAGAATGACCTTTATTGGCCAAGTATACATCTGATTTGTGATTATTCTAGAGATATCCTTTGCTGTTTTTTAATTGAGTTGTTGTGTTTTACCATTTTCTTTGTCTTCTTTTCTTTTTTAAATAGAGACAGGTCTTGCTTTGTTGCCTAGGCTGGACTTTGAGGTCCTGGGCTCAAGCAAGCATCCTCTCCATACCCCCACCCCCACCCCCACCTTCTTAGTAGCTGGTCTGTAGACGCACACCACTGTGTCTGGCATATCTTTTTCTTATAAAATATATATATTAATTTTCAACATATGACAACATTGTCATGTATCATGTCGTTTCCATATGTCATATGTTGAAAATGTTTTATTCAGCTTATCATTTACCTTTGTTTATGACATTTTTTGATATACAGAAATCTTAAATTTTATGTCATTTAGTCTTTTGATCATTGCCTTTTGGTTTATTGCTTCAGCATTTTGCTTAAGTACACCTTCCCATCTTTTATTTGAGAAGTCATAAGTTTTTTTATGTTTACTACTTCTTTTTTTTTGAGACAGAGTCTCGCTCTGTCACCCAGGCTGGAGTGCAATGGCGCGATCTCGGCTCACTGCATCCTCTGCCTCCCAGGTTTAAGCGATCCTTCTGCCTCAGCCTCCCGAGTAGCTCACATTACAGGCACATACCACTATACCTGGCTAATTTTTGTATTTTTAGTAGAGACGGGGTTTCACCATGATGGCCAGGCTAGTCTAGAACTCCTGACCTTGTGACCTGCCCACCTTGGCCTCCCAAAGTGCTGGGATTACAGGCATGAGGTTCCACGCCTGGCCTGTTTACTACTTTTTTAATGGAAGGTTTATGTTTTTACAATCCGATGAAATTCTTACCCATTCATCTTATGGGAACATTTGAGATTACTCAATTTTAGGCCCCAAAGTATAGTTTTTTAGTTTCAGAAAACTTGACTGTTAACTTTTTATGAGTTTTTCATCTACTTCCTCCCTCCTTCCACTGCATATATGTATTATATTCAACATGTTACAGGAAAGGGGTCCCGATCCAGACCCCCAAGAGAAAGTTCTTGAGTCTTGCGCAAGAAAGAATTCAGGGTGAGTCCATAGAGTAAAGTGAAAGCAAGTTTATTAATAAGTTAAAGGAATAAAAGAATGGCTCTTCCATAGAGCGGCCCCGTGGGCTGCTGGTTGCCCATTTTTATGGTTATTTCTTAATGATATGCTAAACAAGGGGTGGATTATTCATGCCTCCCTTTTTAGACCATATGGGGTAACTTCCTGACATTGCCATGGCATTTGTAACCTGTCATGGCACTGGTGGGAGTGTAACAGTGAGGATGACCAGAGATCACTCTTGTGGCCTTCTTGGTTTTGGTGGGTTTTGGTTGGCTTCTGTCATGCAGCCTGTTTTCTCAGCAAGGTCATTATGACCTGTATTTTGTGCTGACCTCCTATCTCATCCTGTGACTTAGAATGCCTTAACCATTTAGGAATACAGCCCAGTAGGTCTCAGCCTCATTTTACCCAACCCCTACTCAGTATGGTTCACATGCCTCTGGCAAACATATGTATACTTGAACATTTAGTATAATGATAATTGATTAAGCGTCATACAAGGGACTGGGGGGCATCTCCAAATATGTCTGAAATTTAAACAAAGGCCTTCCATTTGTATTTTCTGTTGGTAATAGGAAAAAAGGAGACACACAATGAGTTATATTTTTCTCATTTTCTACATAAAGGAAGCATATCAGTTTTTTAAAGAGAAACCTTGGCAGTAAAGTCAAAGAAGAATTTTTTTGTGTGGGTCTTTATATCAGGGATGATGTCTTTTATACTATTTTCTTTCTTTTTTTTTTTGAGAAGGCATCTCACTCTGTCCACCAGGCTAGAGTGCAGTGGCGCAATCTCAGCTCACTGCAACCTCCCCCTCCTGGGTTCAAGCGATTCTCCTCCCTCAGCCTCCCTAGTAGCTGGGATTACAGGCATGTACCACCACACCTGGCTAATTTTTGTATTTTCAGTAGAGATGGGGTTTCACCGTGTTGGTCAGGCAGATTGTGAACTCTTGACCTCAAGTGATCCGCCTGCCTCGGCCTCCCAAAGTTCTGGGATTACAGGCATGAGCCACCACACCCAGCCCTTTGATACCATTTTTATAGAACGTGGAATAATATAAGACCACTTATTTGATAAACTCTTAAGAAGTTGAGAGCATAACATTAAGTTGTAATTCTGGTAAAGTATTTGTGTAGGGAGCCAAAATAATACAAACCACATATATATCTTTGTGGTGAAGTAATTTGATTACAGTTAGAACATAGAAAATCAGTGTGGGTGGTGAGATATTTCCAAACTAGTTCTTTCAAAATAATAAAGACTTTTTTTTTTTTTCTTGAGATGGAGTTTTGCTCTTGTTGCCCAAGCTGGAGTGCAATGGCACTATCTTGGCTCACTGCAACCTCTGCCTCCCAGGTTCAAGTGATTCTCCTGCCTCAGCCTCCTGAGTAGCTGGGATTACAGGCGCATGCCCCCATGCCCGCTAATTTTTTGTATTTTTAGTAGAAACGGGGTTTTACCATGTTAGCCAGGCTGGTTTCAAACTCCTGACCTCCGGTGATCCGCCCACCTCAGCCTCCCAAAGTGCAGGGCTCACATGCGTGAGCCACCGCGCCCGGCTGTAATCGAGATTTTTGACCCAATTTTATTTTATGTCTATTTGTGGTTTCTATTTAGTGCTTGGGAAATAGTTGTGGAATGGTTCATCCATACTAGATCTAAGTATTGCCCCTGGAAAGTTTTATATTTTATTGTGAAAATTAGAAAATCTGTATAACAAGATGTAGAATTATCCCATTTAAGTGGATTTCCAGGATTGACCTGCAAGCAATAACAAAGGATTTTTACCCACTATGCTTCAAACAATTATGATGCAAACTGTTTAATAGTAAGTCTTAATTCATTTCAGATTTCAGAGAATGTCTTAAGAATTTTGGGGATATTAATGTAGCACTACATCCTTATCAAAGAATATTGAGAATTCTGCTTTAAACTACCAGTTCATCTTTGAGACTGTTTAAACCTGCTTTTCTTTATCTGCAAAAGAAGTCTCAATTTTAAGCCATGTTTATGGGAAATGACTATACCTTAAACTGTGTAGAAGTTCTTTTAGGGGGAGACAGGAAAGGGAAAGTTTGTGTTGGAAGAATAGCATTTCTTTGATTACATATTTTTGTAGCTGACACTACATTTACATTGTTTAAATTGAACATAAAATTGTACCTGATCAAAAACATGTCTAGCTATGGAGTATGAGACTATTTAAATAACTCAGTATTATACATTAGGATTTTTCTTTTATTTAATTGGAGAGGAGTATGATCAGAATTAGTTGTAACTGTTGTGCTATGTTAGACCTTAAATAACTGGATTCCATTTGTGGAATGCTGTGCTTATTTTAAAAATTCTAATATTAAAAGAAAAATCACAGATCTTTGAGGTTAGCTAATTGAGTTGCTTGTAGAGGAAGGACTACCTGGGCTGGCTAGAGACAGAGGGTTGTTTATCCTCTTTAACATTTCCCATGAAAGACTCTGCACAAATCTCTTTCGATTGTTTATTTACCTTTTTAACCATTTGAAATTTAATTTTTTCCTGAGAGTTTCTTTGTCTTGGTCTTTAGAAGGATTGAAGAGCGGCCAGTCAGAATTCCCATTTTTAAAGAAAGGGTCTCTGTATATGTAAAAACAAACATTTGATCACCTTCATTCTCCAGATGGCATAATTCCAACTATATTATCTCAATATTCCTAAATTATAATACCGTTAACTGTTGTTTTGCTGTACTTTTTCTTCCCAGTTTTTAAAGGGTGGAGGAGGTAGCCAGACACGGAGCCCTTTGAGTTTTTTTTTTTTCTCTGATGCTTGAAATCCTGGGATCAATATTATGAAGGATGCTCCAGAAGGGAGTGAGGGTGGAGAAAGGTAGACTGTTTAGGCATCTGATTCATCCATGCAAATGATGAAGACTGAACCTGTTAGGGGGCAGTGGAGATGGAGAAGAGGGATAGGCCCAATATGGTTGTGAAGTAGGCTATAGACTCACATTCTTATTATTCACCACTCCCCAGAGTAAGTACAAAGGCAGTGGTAACTCTAGAATATCTAGCATGTTTTCTCTCCTGCCATTTGAATCTTCTCCTTTGGAGTATAGAAATATTCCATCAGGGCCGGGTGGCTCACGCCTGTAATCCCAGCACTTTGGGAGGCCGAGGTGGGTGGATTACAAGGTCAGGAGATTGAGACCATCCTGGCTAACACGGTGAAAACCCGTCTCTAGTAAAAATACAAAAAATTAGCCAGGCGTGGTGGCGGACATCTGTAGTCCCAGCTACTCGGGAGGCTGAGGCAGGAGAATGGTGTGAACCTGAGAGGTAGAGGTTGCAGTGAGCCGAGATTGCACCACTGCACTCCAGCCTGGGCGACAGAGACTCCATCTCAAAAAAAAAAAAAGATCCCATCAGCCTGTCTCCTTTAAGGTTATATATTTTTGTTACATCTCTTTTAATTTTGGTTTCTACATGTTTGTTGTTAGTACGGTATATAGTTATGTAATTGATCTTTGTGTGTTGATCTTGTATCCTGTGACCCTGCTAAACTCACTTAGTTTACTTTTCTTTCTTTTTTAAGATTCCTTAGGGTTTGCTATGTAGACAATCACATCATCAGAAAATGGAGTTTTATTTTCTCTTTTCCAATTTGCATGACTTTATTTCTTTTTTTTTTTTTTTTTTTTTGCCTTATTGAGCTGGCTGTTGCATCTCTTTTGATCTCTTGTTCTGGCCATCAGTGATTACATATCAAGGTTGCTAGACAGATTTGTTTCTTCTGCCTAGAACAGTTTGCATGGGCTGGTGTTTTCCTTGAGCAAAGATTTTAATTACTGATTCAAAGTCTTTAACGGCTACTGATTTTTAATTTCTTCTTGAGTCAGTTTTGGTAATTTATGTTTTTCTAAAAATCTAGTCATTTCTTCTTAGTTTTTAAATTTATTTGCTTACAGTTGTTCATAGTGGTCTCTTACTTTTTTTTGAGACAGGATTTTGCTCTGTTGGTCAGGCTGGAGTGTGATAGTGCAGTCACAGCTCACTGCAGCCTTTACCTCCTGGGCTCAAGTGATCCTCCCACCTCAGCCTCCAGAGTAACTGGAACCACAGGCGCACACCACCATACCTGGCTAACTTTTGTATATAGAGGCAGGGTTTTGCCTTGTTGCCCAGGCTGGTCTCAAACTCCTGGGCTCAAGCAGTCTGTCTGCCTTGGCCTCCCAAAGTGCTGAGATTACAGGCATGAGCCACTATGCCCGGCTAGTCTCTTTTAAATCTGTTTTATATCTCCATGTGTTCCCTTTTTTATGTCTTGCATAATGTGTCCATGTAGTCTGTGGCCCTGGGCTGTTACACTTTTTAAGGTTTCTTTGTTCTTCTCTTCCTGTGGTCATTGTACTTACACGTAGTACTCCTCTATAACCACATCCCCAACCCTTCTAATTTGCAGTTTCTAAGCTGCTATGCCCTTGGTGTCTAGCAAATAAAGTTTGCTTAAATTGAAGGTCAATTTAGAGTAAATAGGCATAGAGAAAGAGCTTTAAATATTTACATCTGAGAGCTTGAACTTTATCGTCATATTGTCCACATGTGGTACTCAGCAAATGTTAAAATGAATATTTAAAAAATCTTTTCAGATTCTGAGCTTTTGATAGGTTAGGTTTAATTTTAGTTGTTAATAAACTAAAGATTTCTTGATTGTCCTATTTCTAAAAACTAAATTTGTATGTTACATGCTAATTGGTAAAACCAAAACTAAGCTGTATTACTTGGAGTTTCTAGTTGATGATTTTGTTCAACATGCTTCTCTACATTTGTTTTCTTACGTGATTAAAAGTTATCCTTATTTGCCTTTACTTCTCCCGATACCCTTCTCAAATATCCTGCTAAAGACTAATTTTAAGATGTTTCCATTGTCTTTTCTCTTTTCTTTTTCTTTTTTTTTTTTTTTTGACACAGTCTCACTCTGTCACCCAGGCTGGAGTGCAGTGGTACGAACTTGGCTCACTGCAGCCTCAGCCTCCCAGGTTCCAGCAATCCTCCCACCTCAGCCTCATGAGTCGCTGGGACCACAGATGCATGCCACTTGGCCTGGCTAATTTTAGAAAATCTTATTGTAGAGACAGGGTCTGTCTGTTGCTCAGGCTGGTCTCAAACTCCTGGGCTCAAGCGATCCTCCTGCCTCAGCCTCCAAAAGTGTTGGGATTATAAGCATGAGCCACTGTGTCTGGACAAATTTTCCTTTTTCTTATGGTGTCAGGGAGGGTAGATCCAAAAAGGGGCACGCATTGTCCTGATCAGTTTCTTTCTTTGTTTCTTTCTTGGATTCATTACAAGTTGTCAAATTATTTTCCATTAGTTTTTTTTAGAGCTAAAATTTGGCATAGGAGACAGTAGTATCTTTTAAGTTTGTTAAAGATTAGTAAATGTATTCTAAGCAGTTTTAGATAAAAAGTAAAAAAGTTGTTATTATCAAAACATTATTTTATTTATTTTAGTCCTTAGAGTCTTCATATTTCTTGTGATACTTGATCTAAACTGCTGGGGTTATAAAGTGGTTATCCTCCCTAGAGAAGGAAATGGTGCAGATTCCATTTGCTCACTTACCATTGGTAACTGAATATTATTTGTAAATTATTAGCAGAATCATAATGAGCTCACTGTTAAGTAGTTCCCCTAATCAGAGACTCTTTTCTGGATTAAGCTGTCTGCTAAATTCCTCAACTGAGAGTTGTTTTACTTTGTTGGTATTTTTGTTTATATTTAACCACCTTTTATATTAAGGGAGATTTGTGGGAAGCATTGATGCCCTGTGCTCTAGTAAGCATGATCAGTAGAGGCAGTGCTGACAGTACTAGTCACATGTGGTTATAATGCTGAGTAAAATGTTATTTACTTTACTAAGTTGGTTTGCCTAACGGAAGTAGTCTCCCTGGAGATGGGATATCAATGCAGAACTGACTCAGCAATAATCTCTCCCTAGTCATAAAACAGCCTTACTTTTTGTTACTGTCACTAACATGAACTAACATGCTTTGGATTGGTTGTATATCAGAAGCTATGATTTTTGTCGCCCTATTATATACTTAGTTGTTTTTACCTTATGTCATGTTATCCTGGAAAGGCCGAGACTTAGGTCTCTAACACAGCTAGTGGGAGCTTGAATTTGATTTTAGGTCCTGCTAAATCTAAGGCTTATGTTGTTTGTGTTATACCACAGTCTGCCAATAATGCTGGCCAAATAAGAAACATTTTGATGAATCGTGTATTTGTTAGTATATTACATAAGATATTTTCCCCATAAGAAAATGAAGCATAACCTCTTAGGATTTTAGGCTTCTCTAGTGTACAGTATCTATAGAGCAAAATTTAAATTGTGGTAGTGTTTTATAGACTAAAAAAGAATCAGAAGCCCCTCCAAATGAATAAGGACTGTGTTCCCGGACCTTACCCAGTACTGTACAGATTAGCTATCCTTAGTTTTTGTAGATGAGCTGTAGAGTCAATGGCTTAGGAACATTGAAATGTCCATAGTGTTTCTTAGGATATAATATGGAAGTTGGAGTCATGGATAGAACTTTCACTCTGGCAGATACTGTACATAGGAAAGTGACATTTGTGGCATGACCCAGAAGAACTGAAAGAAAGAAGTATTTTTTAAAAGAGAGAAAAGCTAAAGATGCTAGATAATACTGGTAACATTTTTAAAACCTCTCTGTCTTTTGAATATCTCCTATGAGCCATTTTATGTATATTATTTCTATCATCACATCCAACCCATAAGGTAGATATTATCGTCATTGTACCAAGGGGCTAATTTAGGTTCAGAAATATGAAGAAAGACATTCAAGGTTATAGGATTCTTAAATGGTAATGCTGGAATTCATCCTTTCTGCTCCTGCCTCCCAAATGTTTGATTGTTTTATTGCCTATCCGCTTTTCATTCTGGTGCCCTAAGCAAAGCATAGGCAGTATCTGTACGTGAGATTTGGGCTTAAGAATAAGATTTCTGCTAGGCTCGGCGTGCCCTCCTACGTGATACCAGAAGTTAGAATTGTGTGGATAAAACTTAGGAACTGGAAATGTAAAATTAAATACTTACTTTTTTTTTAATTAGAAAAAGAAATAGCCCTAAAATTGTCTTTTTTGGAGAGTAGGATTGCAGGGACTGTATCACACATGACTCTTAATTTGGTTCTGTGTCTTCTTTTTTCTTCTTTTTAAAAATGGACCACTATATTAATGTACAGAGAAAAATACAAGAACTTATTAAACTCCATCCCTTGAAATTAGGCATCTGATTACAAAATACATTCTTAACTGACCATATAATTAAAAGTAGTATTCAGAGAAGCAGTAGAACTTACTAATATAGAACCATTTGTTACAATAATACCAGAACATTTCTGAGCGGTATACAGGCCTACACAAGGGTCATGGGTTTAATAGTTGATAGGCATTTAAAGTACAGATACCGAAACATTGTTGGTAGGCCCATGAATATACTTGAGATTCTTTTGGTCAGAGTATTGTTTCATTACAATTAAAATAGAATAGGCTAGAAATTTTCTTTTGAGTATGCATGTGCTACCTCTGTCAACTTTTCATGTTGGAGTGATGCTGAGTTTGTATAATAATTTGAGATATATTCCATCTTTTTATGTTCTCCAATAATTCAAAATATGGATATGATGTATCCTCTGAAGTTTTAAAGAACTTAATGACACTATTGTACTTGGACTTAGAATAATTAATATACTGTTCTAAAATTGACTCAAAAAGAGGTAGAGAAGCTGAATAGACCAAATAATAATAGAAGAAATTGAAGTCCAAGTTGTTATTAATCTCTCAGATATATCGGTTTCTACATCTATAAAATTAAGATAATTATTACTCGTAGGGTTGTTGGGAGAAGTAAAATGCTTATGTCAGAGCCTGGTACATTGTTAGCCCCCAATAATGTAAATTGTCATCACAGCCATTACTGTCAAGATTATTACTCTTTTTTCAAGATTCAGCTTTTTTCCAGAGTTTTATTTCTTTGATTACTCACTTCAAAGAATCTTAGATTTACTGTTAAAAAATGTAATTGCCAGAGGTTTTTCTCTTTTGCTAGTCTGATTCCATCTCTGACATAGTTTACTTAAAAAAAAATACACTTTATAAGAAATAAAAAGGAATGTAGACACAGACATGCAAGTGTTTTTTTTTATTATAAGAGAAGATTATGTACAGGTTTTGCATAAAAGAAAACATGTGGAAAGATACTCACCAGAATATTAACAGTGATTATCTCTAGGTGGTGGGACTTCAAGTGAGGGTTAGATTTTTTAAAATATTTCTGGAGTATTTTAATTATTCTGTGTGTATATTATTTTTCTAAGAAAGTTTTCTATTTTATAACTTCATGCTCTAGTGATCATCCATTTACTTAATGCACTTAAGATGATAATCTTAGAGTATTGATCTTCAAACTGTTCCATAGAATGACTGTTAGATTTGGTAAACATAATCTTAAATGTTTTATGTAGTACATCAGGGGTTGGCAAACTATGGCGTATGGGCAAAATCTGGCCCACCACTGGTTGTTGTATAGCCCACCATGAACTAAGAATGGATTTTATGTTTTTAAATGGTTAATGAAAATCAGAAGAATAATATTTTGTGACAAGGGAAAATTATATGAAATTTAAGTATCACTGACCATAAATAAGGTTATATTGGCATGCAGCTATGCTTATTTACTTGCATGTTGCCTATGGCTGCATTCAGGCTACAGTGGCAGAGTTCAGTAGTTGCCATAGAGACTGTACGGCCCACAAAACCTAAAACATTTACTGCCTGGCCTTTTGGAGAAAATGTTTGCTGAACCCTGTACCACATTAGAGAAACCTATTTAGTTCAGTGTTTTGTTCTTTTTTTTTTTTTTCGGCGAGTATTACCACCTGAGCTCTACCTCCTGTCTAGTCAGCGGCAGCATTAGATGCTCATAGGATTCAGCCCTGTTGTGAACTGCGCACAGGGGATCTAGGTTGCGTGTTCCTTATGAGACTCTTAACTAATGCCTGATGATATAAGGTGGAACAGTTTCATCCTAAAACCTTCCATGAAACCAGTCCCTGGTGCCAAAAAGGTTGGGGACTGCTGTTTTAGAAGTCTCTGAGTGCCTCTTCTAATTCTCTACCCTTCCCCATAATAGGCAACCATTATCCTAACTTTGCTGACATCCCCTTGCTTTTGTATCTTTATTATATATGTATGTATACCTAAACAATATATTTGGGGGTTTGCTTGTTTAAAAGGTAAATTGTTTCATAATGGATATATTCATCTCTTATAATTTCTTTCTCTAAGCATTATGTTTTGAGTGTTACATTTTATATTGATACAAGTAGCTATAGTTGATCATTTCTGCTATATAGTGCTCCACTGTATGAATGTATACTAATGGACTAATTATCATTTACTTACATATCTCCATGACAGCCACAACAGCAACATTTTAAAAATTCAATTTGTTGACTGTCTTCAAACCCCTACCTGACAAAACTGTTTTATTTCGTGTTTTCTCTCTGAAACAGCATCTCTATTCATGCATTTGCCTAAGCAAGACTCCTAGTGTCATTTTCAATACCACTCTCTCCTCATTTCCCATTTTCAATTGATCTTCAATCCTATAGATTTGACATCTGAACATCTCATAGCCATCTCTCCTATCACCATCCTAGTCAGGTGCTTGCTTGGACTCCTGCAGTAGTCTTCAGTGCCATATCAGCATCCACCCTTGCTCTCTTATCATGGATTATGAGGCTTACCTCTCCAACTTCATCTTGACACACTTCCCTTCACTCACTGGGTTGTGTTAACTTCAGCCATTGTTCATGTCATGCTCATTTCTGCTTCAGGACTTTTGCAAATGCTGTTCCCTCTGCCTATAGTACATTGTCCTGATTCATTTCTTCTTATCCTTCAGGATAAAATTTTGAAACATCACCTCCTCAGAAAAGTCTTCCTTGCTCCCCAACCCCGAAACTAGGTCACGTTTCCCTGTTATCTTTAGGACTTTGTTACTTGCTACTCAATCCTGGTACTACTACAAATTTTAATTATGATTGTTAAGGAAGGCTTATCTGATTCAGTCAGAACCAGTTGTCTGTAAAGTCTAATAAAGCAATACATCATAGAAGGGATACATACCTTAAGTAGTTTATTCTAATTTTAAGAATATAACTATGTTCATTTGCCAGTCTTTTGATTAAGAAGCTGTTATCAGAAAGGGGTTCGATCCAGACCCCAAGAGAGGGTTCTTGGACCTTGCGCAACAAAGAATTCAGGGTGAGTCAATACAGAAAAGAGAAAGCAAGTTTATTAAGAAAGCACAGGAATAAAATAATGGTTACTCCATAGGCAGAGCAGCAGCATGGACTGCTTGACTGAGTATACTTATGGTATTTCTTGATTATATGCTAAACAAGGGGTGGGTTATTCATGAGTTTTCCGGGAAAGGGGTGGGCAATTCCTGGAACTGAAGGTTCCTCCCCTTTTCAGACCATGTAAGGTAACTTCCTGACATTGCTGTGGCATTTATAAGCTGTCATGGTGCTGGTGGGAGTGTCTTTTAACATCCTAATGCATTATAATTAATGTATAATGAGCAGTGAGGACGACCAGAGGTCACTTCGGTTGTCATCTGGTTTTGGTGGGTTTTAACTGGCTTCTTTAACACAATCTGTGTTTTATCAAGGGTCTTTGTGACCTGTATCTTGTGCCAACCTCCTGTCTCATCCTGTGACTTAGAATGCCTAACCCCCTAGGAATGCAGCCCAGTAGGTCTCAGCCTTATTTTTCCCAGCCCCTATTCAAGATGGGGTTGCTCTGGTTCAAACACCTCTGAAAGAGCCAAGGCCTTTTCTTTCAGAGTAGGTCTACTAGTTATAGATCCATATTGTCTGTATTGGGGAAGCCATGCCCATAATGTATCATGTAAGATTCCAGTTTGGGTTTTTTAAGTAGAACAAGAATTTAGGCTCTTCAGATGAATTCTTAGCTTAAAATCCTTATAGATCTTTACAATATTTTTTCCATTTCTTTGAACTATTTTCTTGGCCTCTACCTAATTCAGCAGCAGAAGTATTTCACTTTTATTGAGTATTTCAGAGTCATTCAACTTTATAAAACTCCCCACTCTTCCATACTTCATTAGGTTAGTTGACATTTAATTAAATCACATAGTTACACTAATATAAATGGCATGAACAGGTTTGGAACCTAACATAACTAAAAGTGTAACTCACTGCTGGGAACTGGAAGTGTCTGGGTATACTAGATTAGAGGACTGCACCTCTTTTTGAGTGTACATGGTCTACTGTATTAATATATCATGTACACTGTAATAGTGTAACTCTAAGGTTGAATTATATGTTTATTTTTTACCCACAAAATAGCAATTTTATATGGTTCAACCTAATATTAAATAACAGTATAAAGGATAAATGGCCATCCAATTAGATAATAATAGATCCTGTCACAATATGACGTGTAAATAACAATTAAAAATAAATCATTTTTAAAAGGCCAGAGGATTCTTAGATTATTTTAAGAAGCTGTAGTTATGACAGCCACACATTCCTGAAATTCTGGGTCAGTTTTACTGTCAAACGTATTATCTTTTTCTAAAAATTATTGAAATGCCACCAAAATATCAATCAAAACTTGTCTCCTAAACTGCCTCTTGTGCCTGAATTTGATACAGAAATACTTTTAATCAGTCTACCTGTCCCAATTTTTGTTACTGTAACTGAAGGACTTTCTATTGGAAAGGTGTTACAGCTGAGAAGTCTAGATAGACTGAAGAAGAGGAAGGATTTGAGTTGTCACATTCTTCGTCTTTATGGCATTCAGCATTAAGAATATAACTGTTATGTTATAACTGTATATTTTAACAATATAACATAATTAGGTAAGTATAATAGTTCTCTCTCAATGTATTCTTAAAACATGTTAAACTTAATTTATTTCTCATAAAGCATGGGTTAAGTCCCATTGAAATAAACTCCTGGGAATTATTTCAATTATTTTGTTTTGTGTAAATTTTGTAATAGATACTAGTTGGCATTAAGAAGGACCATTGACTGTACTATTTCATTTTTATATATGTAAACTTATGTAGTGATAGAATTTGACCTAATTTTCCATAATTCTAATTTGTAGCTTATCCAGTTAAATATAATTTTTCAACAAAAGCTATTTAACTTCCAAAAGCATTATAAAATCAGTTTTAAATTATTATTCCTTCGAGGAAAGAATAACTTTTTAGAAATTTGCTTTGGATAGTTTTAAGAACAGCTAAGCATGTGTAGAAATGTAAGAGATTGTAATGGATGATAAACTTTTATTCTAGAATCAATGCAATTGAAATTTAACGCTTTTTTTAGCCCTGTATAATTTCATATAAAACCATAAAGTAGTAGAGTTGTAATTTAGATCTCAAAGGGTTTCAGCTCTATCTTAAAAACATTTCTAAAAATTTAACAAAACAAACAAAAGAACTTCGAATCTGACATTGTTAATACCAAGATAGTTGAAATGCCTTCCTGATTGTTATGTCGACTAGTCTGTGAATTACTGTCCGTATTTTTTCCTTCCTAATATTAAAGCTGCCCACATCACATTTCACATGTCAAGAAAAATCAACTATCTTTCTCCATGGAGTAAGATGCAGTCTGATAACATGCTCCAGAATAAGAATAGAGAAATAACTAAATTTCATGCTCTGTGAAACTGAACCAGGGGGTTCAGTGTTAGAAACTGCATTTTGTGCCCTGGCAAGTACAAATGTTTTCTGCATATCACACTAATTCATACAACTTATAAAGAACTATATAAGGAGATGAGTGGTTTTAGGTTAGGTCACTTTTTAAAAGTTATTTTTTGGGTATAATTTGCATGTCAGAGAAGTATCTTTAGATAGCTACAAAATTTATAAACACGGAGAAGAGAGTTAAATTCTTGGACTTCTTGAATATGGCTCTTCTAGTGTCTAGAGTGATGTGGTTTATCTTAAATAGGTGGATTAGGGTCAGTAAACTTTTTCTGAAAGGGGCTAGATAGAAAATATTTTAGGCTTTGCAGACTACATGTGGTCTCTGTCAGATGTTCTTCGTGTGTGTATGTTTAAATGTAAAAATTTTTCTGAGCTGGGATCCCTTCAAAAAACAGGCCACAGGCCAGATTTGGCCTTCAGGCTTTGGTTTGCTGGCCCTTGCTCTACATCAGTAATGTTCAATACAAATATAACCTGAATCACATATGTTACTTTTAAATTTTCTAGTAGCCACATGGTGGGTGGTGCTGTTTTTTGTTAAGAGTCTTGTAGTGACATTTGACCTTGAAACTACAAATATATGAATTAGGTAAAAATAAAAACTAATTTTAAAATAAATGAGAAGAAACTAGGCTAGAAAGGGGCTAGGATATTGGAAGAGAACATCTACAAAGATAATGGAGTCACCAAGAATACGGCAGGAATTCGACTGTATTAACAGGACTATGGGCAAGGAACGGAAATCTTAATTTAAGAAGAAGAATAAATGATAACAAGGCACGTGAAGTTCAAATGGCGTAAACCTCATAAAAAATGCTTACGAGAGAGATTTTTGCAAGACAGAGGAGGCCGTGTTCTAAAATAGACTTTACTGAGATTTAACAGTTCTGTCTAATACATTTTATTCTAATATATACCAACTACTGTACAAACTTCCTATGTGCCTGACAGTGTGCTTTTAATAAAGAATTAAATCATCTGAAAGTACATTTTATAATATCATGGACATTAATTTTCTGTGTTGTGTTTCCATTAGTCCAAGAGCCTTTTCTGTGAGAAACTAATGGGAAGACCTATAATTCATTCTAAGAAAGTTTATTCTCTGTTATTCTCTTATTCCTAGTTAACTTCTTGAAAATATAAGCGTTTATGACAAAAATAATTAGTTGAAGTTATGGCAAGATCAGCTAAAGTTTTCTGCTATCATAATGTGACAAAACCAATTGAATTTTAAGTTTAGGTTTTTCCATTTCTTCTAATGTTGACTTTTAGCTACTGAACTAGACAGTGTGCCTGTTGATACTGTAGTCTTAAAAGAATTTATTTGTAAAGTATCATACACTGCTTTAGATTTTTTTTTAAGGAACAAGAATAAAGATGCCAAATTGTATGTTTTTGGTTTTTGTTTTTGCGAGTACTACAGTATCATAGCCTTTCTCTATTACTTTATTACAGTTTCCCAACTCTTCCAGGATTAAAGAATTGGGAAGTTTAAAGACACCTTTCCTGGCCGGGCATGGTGGCTCACACCTGTAATCCCAGCACTTTGGGAGGCCGAGGCCAGTGGATCACCTGAGGTCAGGAGTTTGAAACCAACCTGACCAACATGGTGAAACCCCGTCTCTACTAAAAATACAAAAATTAGCCGGGCGTGGTGGTACACGCCTGTAATCCCAGCTACTCAGAGGCTGAGGCAGGAGGATCATTTGAACCTGGGATGTGGAGGTTGCAGTGAGCCAAGATCTCACCATTGCACTCCAGCATGAACAACAGAGCGAGACTCCGTCTCAAAAAAAAAGAAAAAGGAAAAAAGACACCTTTCCTAAATATTACATTCTTTTTCTTTCTTTTCTACTCAAACTGCTTCTTCAAAATCATGGATAAATTTGATACATTATAGGGTGGGAGGGAAGATATGGGTTTTTTATAAGTGATGAACACACTGTAAACCTTAGAATTGCAAGGAACCAGTTAAGTAAAATTGGGAAGATTGCTACTAATGAAAGGTTTTTGAACTAATTTTAATGTGTTACACAAATGTTCTAGTTACAACTTTTGAAAAGTTGAATACAAATGTGTTTCAACAATATGGAACATATTTTGCCTTTGTAATATTCAAATTAAGGAAACAGGTTGAAGCACGGGAAAAAGAAACCAGAGTTTAAGAGCGTTTATTTTCTTTCACCTGAGTTCAGAATATTCTGCCTGAAAGGACTTGGGAAGTAATGACTGGCTTGAACAAGGTCAGTGCCTAAAAGGCCCGGTGGCCTTCCTGCTGCCCAACAGAACACACGGCCTCATCACTTCAGCAGGGCAGCGTAGGTGAACGCTTGGCCAGTATCACTGAAATTCTGGACGGGAAGGGGTGTGGGCACTGCCTTAGCTACCTTCACATGCTACTTTGATTAATTTATTTTTCTCTTTTTGCTGTTTTGTCTTTAGATTTTATAATCAATGGATAAAGTGGGAAAAATGTGGAATAACTTCAAATACAGGTGTCAGAATCTCTTCGGTCATGAGGGAGGAAGCCGTAGTGAAAATGTGGACATGAACTCCAACAGATGTTTGTCTGTCAAAGAGAAAAACATCAGCATAGGAGACTCAACTCCTCAGCAACAAAGCAGTCCCTTAAGAGAAAATATTGCCTTACAACTGGGATTAAGCCCTTCGAAGAATTCTTCAAGGAGAAATCAAAATTGTGCCACAGAAATCCCTCAAATTGTTGAAATAAGCATCGAAAAGGATAATGATTCTTGTGTTACCCCAGGAACAAGACTTGCACGAAGAGATTCCTACTCTCGACATGCTCCATGGGGTGGGAAGAAAAAACATTCCTGTTCTACAAAGACCCAGAGTTCATTGGATGCTGATAAAAAGTTTGGTAGAACTCGAAGTGGACTTCAAAGGAGAGAGAGGCGCTACGGCGTAAGTTCTGTACACGACATGGACAGTGTTTCCAGCAGAACTGTAGGAAGTCGCTCTCTAAGACAGAGGTTGCAGGATACTGTGGGCTTGTGTTTTCCCATGAGAACTTACAGCAAGCAGTCAAAGCCTCTCTTTTCCAATAAAAGAAAAATCCATCTCTCTGAATTAATGCTTGAGAAATGCCCTTTTCCTGCTGGCTCAGATTTAGCCCAAAAATGGCATTTGATTAAACAGCATACAGCTCCTGTGAGCCCACATTCAACATTTTTTGATACATTTGATCCATCTTTGGTTTCTACAGAAGATGAAGAAGATAGGCTTAGAGAGAGAAGGCGGCTTAGTATTGAAGAAGGGGTTGATCCCCCTCCCAATGCACAAATACATACATTTGAAGCTACTGCACAGGTTAATCCATTATATAAACTGGGACCAAAATTAGCTCCTGGAATGACTGAAATAAGTGGGGACAGTTCTGCAATTCCACAAGCTAATTGTGACTCGGAAGAGGATACAACCACCCTGTGTTTGCAGTCACGGAGGCAGAAGCAGCGTCAGATATCTGGAGACAGCCATACCCATGTTAGCAGACAGGGAGCTTGGAAAGTCCACACACAGATTGATTACATACACTGCCTCGTGCCTGATTTGCTTCAAATTACAGGGAATCCCTGTTACTGGGGAGTGATGGACCGTTATGAAGCAGAAGCCCTTCTCGAAGGGAAACCTGAAGGCACGTTTTTGCTCAGGGACTCTGCGCAAGAGGACTACCTCTTCTCTGTGAGCTTCCGCCGCTACAACAGATCCCTGCATGCCCGAATTGAGCAGTGGAATCACAACTTTAGTTTCGACGCCCATGACCCGTGTGTATTTCACTCCTCCACTGTAACGGGACTTTTAGAACATTATAAAGATCCCAGTTCGTGCATGTTTTTTGAACCATTGCTTACTATATCACTAAATAGGACTTTCCCTTTTAGCCTGCAGTATATCTGTCGCGCGGTAATCTGCAGGTGCACTACGTATGATGGAATTGATGGGCTCCCTCTACCCTCAATGTTACAGGATTTTTTAAAAGAGTATCATTATAAACAAA
This sequence comes from Homo sapiens, assembly GCF_000001405.40. Lineage (NCBI taxonomy): Eukaryota > Metazoa > Chordata > Mammalia > Primates > Hominidae > Homo > Homo sapiens. The sequence goes on from NC_000002.12 coordinate 46,760,095, forward strand.
AAGTTAGAGTTCGCTGGTTGGAACGAGAACCAGTCAAGGCAAAGTAAACTCTCCGGTCCCCAAAGGTTGTTAACTAGGTCCGCTTTCATGTGCATCAGACAGTACACCTATAGCAAGCACACGTAGCAGTGTTAGGCTTTTTCATACAGTATGTAAGCTTAGTGTTAGTATCTGTCAGATGCTACCTGCTGTTACTTATTCAGATAAACATGGTGCCTATTGGAACAATAGCGGATAGAGCTACAGGTGTTCAGTAAGACTACAAAAACATTTTGCCTATTTCGCTAACAGTTTGGTTTTTAATGGCTGTGGTATTTGAGTGAGGCAACTCTGGGGCATTTGTTATGAAGAATTCTATTTCTTACTGAAGAACAAATTATTAATATTGGATGAGTATTTCAACAGTGTGACTAATGTTTGAAATTATTTTTTCTAAGAGTTTTTCTATAACCTTCCAAAAGTCGTGATGTTTGTAGTTACTATAAATCAAGCTTTGGAAGTCCAAAAAGAATAAAAGACTGCCTTCCTTTTAGAAAAAAATGCAATTTTCTGGCCACAAGGGCATAGTGCAGTTCACTTACGTGTTGATGTAGTTTATAATCAGACGCCTTTTCTCTTCTGCAAAAGGTACTGTTAAGTAAACCAGATTTTCTAAATAGGCATTCTTAAAATTTCAGACTTACAAAGCTAGTAGTAGAATTTTATTGAAAGGCCTAGGTATTAATTTTTTAAATGAGTGCTTTAACTTAAAACAGGCGTTTGGAATAGCTGCTGCAATGTAGTCTTGTGTGTGATTTTTTTTTAAGTTGATGTGCAGTCTAATTGTTGTTTCATAAAAGTTGGATCTGTTCCTATGCCCAGGATGATTTTGTGAACCGTGAAGTACGTGAGACTAGAAGACGCCCAAACAAGTCAGATAATAGTAACTACAATGGTTGCTGATGTTGAGATTATTGTTGAACTATAATTAATAATTTGGATGGCAGAATTTATCTCTTTTTTGTAAACTCTCATAACTGAATTGCTTAAGTATAATTTATAGAATTTCAGTGCAGTTCATTCTTAATGGAAAATCTGAAACCTAAATTGCAGATTTAAAAGGTACTGTACAACCATTATATCTGTAAATAACTTAGCACCTTTTTGTCACTTAGAATAATATGTACTACTACTTGAGTGAGCGCTTTTGGAAGTTATATCAAGTTCTAGTGTTTGCTTCTTAGTAACTGAACTGAATTTACAGTTCTGTCCTAGACATTTTGCACTAAAGTAGCCGAATCCACTCTCATGTCTTTTCGTTAATGTGCTCTGTACCACTGGTGAGTGCTCCATAGTTTCCTTACCTGCTGCTACAGAATGTTATTTTACATCCCTATGGCTATTGCCAAGGCTACAAAAAAGGAAAGCTATATTTGTATGCAACACTAACCTTTTGACTGCTAATGTATGTTTCTGCTTGCTGTGCCTTGTTATGGCTGCTTTTTTTGTGCTAATAAAGTATGTTTGGTGTTCTCCTTGTATATCTGCTGTTTTATACATTTGCAACAATTTCTCTTGTAAATGGAATGGTTTGGGGTTTTTAAATAAGCATTAACTAACAACCTTTCTATAGTTAATGCAGAGTTAATGAACAGTCTAATATTGACTTATCAGAATAAGCTAACTCTAAATTTAATGCTCTACATCTTATCAGTCATAATTATATATACTGTGGAACAGTATCTGTAGTTACTGCAAATTACTGTACAGTTTAGGTTATAACAGAAAACTGACAGAGAAGTAATAAACCTATTGATTTCTCTGCTTATAAATGAAAGATTGAAACTATCCAATGACATATTATAGTAAATGAGTATCTGTAACCTCCCACTGCATCAGAAGCAGGTTAAATGAAGTCTTGTGAATTTGTAATAGATCAGTACCATTTATTGGTTTGGGGACCATCTTAATTAAAAATAAATGCCCAAAATGTAGAACTTTAACCAAAGACTTGTCCCTTTTAAAGCAAAATGGGGATTGAAGGGACTTATAATTTCTGTTGTTTCTAATTAAAGTCCCTGAAGATCATATACCAAAGTGTTTGAGAACTTCATCCAAACCTACTTTAAAGCATTATGTGCAATTAAGTTGTTATGACATAATTATATTGCCTAATTGTTGGGTCTTTTTTCTTGAGCTTATAATGTACCTGGAAAATAAACCTCTTGAGAAAAAGAAAAGTTCATACTGATTATTGGAAAAGGACTATATATGTGAGCAAGATTGTGTTTTAGAGAGGAAACTTGAAACTCCAAGAAAGCACTTGATGTTTTTATATGCTTGTAGCAAATTGATGTTCTAACTGTAGTTTTATAGAAAGTATTAATGCTTTTATGTATTTCAAAACTTTCATATGTTAAATGGAAATTGTTTTAAATGTGTTTGAGTTTATGTAAGCATGTATACACTGTGCTAAAAGTCACATGTTTCAGTTTGTGTATAATATTAATATGCAATTTTTGGTTTAAATTTTTGTCTTAAAATATTAGTGGCTTACATTTTAAAAAAGAAAAATCACCAGCATGAACTTGCACCTAAGTCTATATTCACTGTGTCCTTTTCTGAATCCCATTGTAGCCTGTCAACTAAATTTGAGTGTTAACGGTCTTTTTAAAGTGCATTTAAATACAAACCAGGAATTTCTTTAGAAGTTGAGATACATCTTTATAGTTGAAATAATTAACCCAAGAAAAGGTTGCTTTGATTTGTACCCATTCTCATTCATTTTCTTCATTCCCTTACACACACACACACACCTCTCCCTTCCGCATACATATAAGTGTGTATTATATATTTATGTATGCACATATATACATTTATGTTGTTAATATTACTTTAGATGGCATTTCCACCTGATACAAAAACATTTAGAGATCTTATTCTATAGATATTACCTAAAGAGTATTCTTGTACTATTCGAATTTTATTATCTGCACTAAAAGTTTAGCCTTGCTACTTTAGCCTTGTTTATAATACAGTCACCTTACAAAGAGAAAGAGTTCATCTGTATTTTGTTTTCTGGCTAAACACAGTACAAAATATTTGAAGAAAAACAGCTTGGATTAAATAGTTACTAAGAGTTATAATTAAATTTATGTTTCTTAGACAAAACTTGAGCCCAAATAATCATTCTCCACACACCAGGCTGTTTTTAGCTCTTATGTTTACGTAAGATTTATAATGGCTAGAACCGTAAGAACTGATACTTGAATTTTAAGCTTCATTTGACAAAATCGAAAGCTTAAGAATTTTTTTATTTCACATTTTGATCTGGTTGCTATTTATGTTTATTTCAAAGCTTGCTTTTCTCTCTGGCACTGAACACTAATTTGGTGAGTTTTATTGAGACTGGTCTTAGATCTCTTATTTTTATAGCAAATACTGCTTTTTGGTAGAGCCAAAGAGCCTGTGAGTGAATCAGGACCCTCCTTTTTTTTTGTTTTTTTTTTTGTTTTGTTTTGTTTTTGCGACAAGAGTCTCACTCTTGTCACCCAGGCTGGAGTGCAGTGGCCCGATCTTGGCTTACTGCAACCTCTGCCTCCCAGGTTCAAGTGATTCTCCTGCCTCAGCCTCCTGAGTAGCTGGGATTACAGGCGCCCACCACCACGCCCGGCTAATTTTTGTATTTTTAGTAGTGACGGGGTTTCACCATGTCAGCCAGGCTGGTCTCGAACTCCTGACCGCAGGTGATCCACCCACAGCCTCCCAAAGTGCTAGGATTACAGGCATGAGCCACCGCGCCTGGCCATAGGACCCTCCTAAGAAGGATGCAGAGCCAGGTCTGTCTTTGAGAGTGTTAACATAGAGCAAATAGCACCAGTTTGTTTGCTTACCTGTACCCCAGCACATACAGTTTTACTTTGATGAAATTAGATAGAAATGCATAGCAAGGGCTGACTCAAGGGTGAGAAAGTTTCGAAAGAGGGCAATGCTGCTTGGCCCGTGTGCATACAAGCTACATATTTTTGAGGCTCTGGTTTTGTTTTATAATTTTGCAACAGCTGATCCAGAACATAGGCTTTTAAAATAGTATATTCTAAAGAGGTTTGGGGTGGAATTTTTGTGGGAGGTAGCTGGTTATTTGTGGGGGACGGGAGGAGAGGTTGCTATTGCAAAGTATAGATGAGTTGGAGCAACTGTTTTGTTTTCATGCCCTGGACGCTTGATTGAACATTGAGACTCTCTTCAGCCATGCAGTCAACAAATATTTATTGAAGACCCGTGTGCCACTCACTATTTTCAGTAATGGGTGTACATTGGGGTATAAGACAAAGCTTTACTGCCTTCCAGAGTTTATTGAATTCTAGTAGATAAGACAGCAATGAAATGGTAATTTCCGAAGCTATGAGTAAAATGAGGCAGAACATGGTGGTGGAGGGACTGGGGCACAATTTTATAGGGTCGTAACCTTGAATGATATAAGAAAATTAGACCAAGACCAAAGAACAAACGTTCGAGATGAAGAGAACAATAAAACTAGTCCCCAAAGCACATATGGAATTACTCGCTGAGAAAGAAAGAATGCCAGTAAGGTAAGTCCATTGAGTGTGGAGAATAGTAGGTGATGAGGTTTTAGAGATTGGCAAGGGCCTGACCATTTAGGGCTATAAGCCTATAGTGAGGGATTTAAGATGTTGTTTTGAGTGTGATGGGAAGCCATTGGAGAGTTTTAAGCAAAGGAGATGTGTGGTGTGTTGTAAATTTCTCTGGTCAGTGGAGAAAAGACTAGTGGAACAAGGTAAGGAAGACTTTTACAGTCATCCAGGTGAGAGATGGTGGGACCTTGGACTAGGGTGATAGTCATGGGGAGAAGTCAGAATTGGGGTATGTTTTAGTGGTAAAGCTGATAAGACTTGGCGATGGATTAGATGTGAACAAGAAGAAAAAGATCAAAAGATGACTCCAGTTTTTGGTGTGAGAAGGGTGATTGAGTTTTGAGATTCCTATTAATAATTCTAACAGAGACATTGCATAGTAGGCAGTTGGATATATGAGTGTAGTGTTAAGGGGAGAAAATTAAAATGTGGAATCACTAGGCCAGGCATGGTGGCTCACACCTGTAACCCCAGCACTTTTGGGAGGCCAAGGCAGAAGAATCACTTGAGCCCCGGATTTTGAGACCAGCTGGGGCAATGTAGCAAGACCCCATCTCTACAAAATAAAAATTAGCTGGGTGGGTTGGCATGCGCCTGTAGTCTCAGCTACTTGAGAGGCTGAGGCAGGAGGATCACTTGAGACAGAGCCAGTTCCTTCCTCTAAAAAAATACTAAAAATGAAATGGGGAGTCACTGTATTGATAGTATTTGAAGCCACAGAACAGTATGCAACAGCTAGGGATTTTGCATGGGATTAAGAATTTCTTTGGAGGAAATAATTACGACAACATTTCTCTTAGTTTGTCAGTTCAAGATTCTGTATCATTAGTTGTTTTTAAAAGCCATCTGCTTTCGATAGAGGACTTGTCTTCCAAAAACTTTTAAGATACTGGAATCAAACCTTGCGCTGAATCTTCATACTACCCACATCAAATTTGGTTGTCATGCTTTCCATGTCAAATTTGCTTGTGTATCTTTTTTAGTTTGAGTTTTTATATGATAAATCAAAGTTCATTATGGAATATTCAAGAAGTACTAAAGATTATAAAAGAACCTACGAAAAAATGTTCATACTGTTGACTGAATATTTAGACTCTGACCATTCATTCCACAAATATTAATTTGAAGACCCATGTGCCAGTCACAGTTTTAGGTAATGGGTATATATTGAGGTACATTACTACCACCAACACTACCCCTGCCCTTTCCAACTCCCGTTTTGAAATTTTCCAGAGGTAACTGCTATTAATATTTGGTACATTCTCTTTCATATTTTTTCATGTATTTTTGACAGTTAAAAAAAATCACATGAAAGATAAAGTTGTACATCTTGAGTCAGTTACTGAAGGGTTTTTTTGAAATAGGATTTCAGTAGAAGATTAAGACCCTTAGTTGACTAAGTTTATAAACTGGTGGGGATGTAGGCAATTATGTAAATGTATAGTTATGAGAATATGTGGAAATAAAGTAATTAAGTAAAAACTGGTTTCACTGGTGATAAGGAAAAAACAGAAAAGTGACCCAAGTGGAGTAGGGTTGATTGGGAAGGTATTGGGTTTCTTTTATCACGAGAATGAGAATTTCATTTAGCAGAAGATGATGGAGAGGCCAGGTGCAGAAGTAGAGTGGCAGGTAGCAACAGAAGAGGAGCAGGATTGAGGTGGAGGAATCAGGTGATTGTAGCATACACTGGACTGAACAGTGTGAAATTATCTAGGCTCTGCAGCAAGGAAGAATTAGAAATTATGGCAGCAGGTGTAAGATAGCGTATAACCAAGAGGGATTGGAGTTAGGAAGTCCTGTGAAATTTGCCTAGATCAGGTCGCTAGCACTGGAATCAAACAGGAGCACATGCAGAAGAAAAATCAGCATAATTTTCAGTAAGGAAAAACAAGCAGTTCGCATGCCTAGGAGACTTCTAGTTAAATATGTCATAGTTTCTCCAAATTTAAGCAAATCATAAGCCAACAGTAAAGTAAATCGTAAACTTACAGTAAAGTAAAACATGTATATTGGATATTATGGATATCCAATTATGGATAACATTTTAGAATACATTTTAATGCAAAAAATAAATATTTGATCAAATAAGGAAAACTTCATCACTACTAACTGCTTACATGGAGAAAATAGGATGACTTTTCTATGGATAACATTTTAATTATGGATAACTTTTTAAAAGGCACATTTTAATGCAAAAAATATAAGATTTGATCAAATAAGGAAAACTATCACTGCTAACTATGCTTACGTGAGAAAATAGGAACATAAAAAAAAAGCAACATCAAAAAAACTTTTACTTGACAAAAGTGCTGAGAAAAAGTGGCACAATCTTAAATCTTAAGAGAGAGTTACTGAATTTAATCCCCAAAACACTATTATAATTGTAGTTTTTCTCATTTCTCAATTTTACTAAGTATGAAAACTGCTTTGAATTTTTTTAAAATTTATTTTTATTTTTGTTTTTTTTTTTGGAGACAGAGTCTCCCTCTGTCACCCACACTGGAGCGCAGTGGCATGATCTCGGCTCACTGCAACCTTTGCCTCCCGGGTTCAAGCAATTCTCGTGCCTCAGCCTCCCGAGTAGCTGGGATTGCAGGTGTGCGCCACCACGCCCGACTAATTTTCGTATTTTTAGTAGAAATGGGGTTTCTCTATGTTGGCCAGGCTGGTCTTGAACTCCTGACCTCAGGTGACCCGCCCACTTTGGCCTCCCAAAGTGCTGGGATTACAGGTGTCAGCCACTGTGCCAGCCCTTATATTGTCTTTGTTACCTGGCTTAGAGGGGTTAGATAACTTGTCTAAGGCCATAGAGAATGTTAGACCTAGTTTTCAAACACTGGTCTGAGGCCAGAGCCTAAGTGCTGATCCACTATACTTTGCTCTTTGAATTCTAATTGTATCAACCAAATTAACATTTCTTTCAATGTTTTGTTCTCTTTTATTGTATTTCAAAACAATAGGCTATACATAACTGATAAAAAATGGATTCTAAACCATTGGTAAAAGAACTGAAAGAACTGGCCACTAGAATCTCCTTCATTCATCTTCTGCAGTTTATTTGGGGAGTGCCCCTGCCGATTTCTCCAACCTTAATCTAGTACAACTATCCCCCTTACTCACCACTCTCCTGACACTGGCCGCCTTTCAAAGCTCCCTCATTCCAGTATCTTTCCCACCTCAGGGCCTTTGCACATGCTACCCCTCTTGAAACTGTCATCTTCCCACTGTTCCTTGAAGCAAGGTAGATTCCTTTCATTCTTTACACCTAAGCTTAAGTGCCACCTCCTCAGAGAGAGAGACCTGCTCACGCCATTTAAAGGAGATTGCCCCCTATTCTCTTATCTCTGCCCTGCCTCTGTTTTCTTTATAGTCTGTATTACAAAGACTTGCACATATTTATTTGGGCTTTTGGGTTTTGACTGTCCCTCTTGAGAAACTCTGAGGACAGAGACCATATCTATCATTTGCTGTTTTATCCTCAGTGCCTAGGATAGTGCTTCATACAGAGCAGGTATTTATTAGATTGGTGCAACGTTGCAGCTTTGGCCATTACTTCTAATGTCAAAAACCAGAATTTTGCACCAACCCAATATTTGTTAAATGAATGAATAATTAATTCATTTGTATTTCTCCTGTCTACCCACAAAAGTCATGAAACCCTTATTGCTTGTCCTTCTAAAATCTAGATTGCTTCACATATTTCCACAATCTCCCACTTATTCTATGAAAAAAAAAGATTAACCTGACATGAATTATTCTTGGTGAACCCATGCTGGTTCCTGGAGATTACACTTTCTCCCCTAAATACTCACAGGCCCTACCTTTAATAATCCATTGCAGAATGCTGCCCAGGATGATGTCAAGTTCATCAGTCTGCAGGTTGTGGAACCACCTGACTCCCCTTATTTAAAGATAAGAATCACCTCTCTCTGGTCTTCCAGCCTGCCTTTCATTTGCCTCAGCACCTCTGATGACAACCTGCAGAGACTTTATTTGGAGACTCTTAGTTCTCTGGAAGAAACTAATCCAGGCCAGGATATTGTAACATACTTATAGTAACTGTGTTTTTTTCTAGAATCCCTTCACCCATTCAGACCGTTGATTCCTTCTTGCCAGCTTTTGTTCTGCCTTTTCCCAGAAAAAGTAGAAGTGTAATAGGAATTGGATAGCTGAGCTTTCCATCATTCATCAACATTATATCATTTACCATTTCCTTTACAGTCTGTCTCAGACATAACTAAAACCCTGTGTGTGTGTGTTTATTATCAAAATACTTTCCAAAGGTAGTAAGATCAGATATCTTTATAAGTGCATTTTAAAATGTGCCACAGCTGTCTAGCAAAAACAGGTAATTCTAAAATAGTTCCTCTGGAAAAGCCTGCATTTTAAGATAAAATACAATTTTGTAGCTGCTATAAGTACAACTAGATATTTAAAAGAATGCAAAGTGGTATTTTTCACTGAAGTTAGAAAATCGAAAATTTGCCACATCTGAAACTTTACAAAGTGTTTAGGAATAGGCCGGGCACAGTGCCTCACACCTGTAATCCCAGCACTTTGGGAGGCCAAGGCAAGCGGATCACCTGAGGTCAGGAGTTCAAGACCAGCCTGGCCAACATGGTGAAACCCCATCTCTACTAAAAATACAAAAATTAGCTGGACATGGTGGTGGGTGCCTGTAATCCCAGCTACTTGGGGGGCTGAGGCAGGAGAATTGCCTAAACCTGGGAGGCAGAGGCTGCTGTGAGCCAAGATTGTGCCACTGCACTCCAGCCTGGACGACAGAGCGAGACTCTCTCTCAAAAAAAAAAAAAAGAAAAAGAAAAAAAGTGTTTAGGAGGAGATTTCATATGAAAAAAAAATATCTAGATTGTGTTCTCTACCTGAATATCCAGAATACAGGGCCTGAAGAGTGATAAAATTAAATGGACAAATCTGTTTTTCCTTCTTCACCTGTTTCCTCAATCTTGTTTTCACACTCAAATATTTTTTCTCCTTTATACATTAAGTGATTCTTTTATGTATACATATTCTTTTTCAAATTTCTTTGGGTAATTTCTTGTGAATTCCAACACAAAGAGGGGTGTATGTGTATTATAAATACAAAAATAAAAAGTGATTGCTTTTATACTAGCACCTTAAAACCATTTAGAACTTCAGTAAAACCATGAAAAAGTGCTGCTTTGGAAATGGAGAAATATTCAAAAGTATGGTGTGATGTTTTCAAGTGGATTGTGATTATAGTCTCAATTTGTTGATCTTGACCTCTAGTGGACAGGTGCAGGCTTACTCTTTGTTCAGTCTTAGTAAATGAGGCTCAAGGGAACCCTGTGTTCACATCTGAATGGATGAAATGTAGGTATGGGTACTGTGTCCTCTCTTGCAGTATGGGCACAAAACTGTCTTTAAAAAAGAGACAAGTAGATAACTAACATGTCGATCTTCCTGTGATGAATGGAGAAGCCTGTGGATAATACACAGAACAAATGAACGCTGGAAAACACTAAGGCTCATGTAATTAGAGATAACCGTATCTGTGAAACTAACTACAGGTCCTAAGTTATATGATACTGAAAGTCGTTTATTTATTTTTTAATGAAAAACAATACCCTTGAATAAACCTTGGATGAAGTTTTATGAGATCTTTGGGAGTTGAGGTATGTTGGGGTTAGGCAAATTGGGCTGACTCAAGGTTTGGGGGCTGTCACCCCCATCATCTTGATCAGATCACAGTTTCCAATGACCTTTGTTTCTTCCTCTCATGAAGAAAACAATACCTGCCTACACCACTGAATTCTATTTGGAAATCATCTCAGATAAGAAATGACAGATAAAGTACCAGTGATTAGTTTTCAGAACTGTAGCACTTGGGGAAGAATGGACATTTTGTAACATATGTATATGAATTAATATAAGACAGAGCAGATTTACTTAAAATAATTTTTGAGCTGAGAAGCTGTTCTTTCGGTAACATTTTTCTTCTGAAGAGCTCAGATTTCATCCGTAGCTGTGGAACTGCTGTCAGACTGCCTGGCTTGTGCTCAGCCCAGCTACTTATTAACTGGTGGGTTTCTTAACTCTTCCCAGGCGTGGATTCTTCATCACCTACCTCATCGTGGTGTGGAAATGTAAACTGAATAATCTTTGAGAGATACGTAACCCAGGGCCCGGCATAGCATATGTGCTTGGTAAATGTTACCGTTTTCTTTGTGGTTACATCCATCTATGCATGCTAGTCCATTCGTGGAAATGCAGTCCTGGAATCCAAGGGTCCTGATGAAAATTGCAGTCTTTCTTTTTTCTGCCTAAGCCTTGGCTAAAATATATATTCAGCAGGTAATTCTCCTATATACTATTGGTTTACTGTGGAGTTTTATTGAAGGATGGAGGCAAAATGTTGAAACATTATCTCCAAATCTTCATAGGAAAAAAAAACATCTATGAAACATCTTACCCAGAAAATTACTAGGAAGCAGATAGTATAAAAGCAAACCATAATTCTATTCAAATTTTTATTTTAATACTCATAAAATGTTTTAGTTTTCCATCAAGTGAAAGAATTTATCTTTGGAATCAATAGAAATATAGTTATTATAAATTTAGTTTATGCTTTTACATCCTGGTAGAAATGTAGCAATACACATAAAAATAAAAGTTTCATTGATTTTTTTTCTCCAAATGCACCATCCTATTTTGTAACCTTGGCTATGTGTATAGGACCAGGAAACACACACACACACACACACACACACACACACACGACATGACCTGGGGCATGGCTACAGTAGCCATAAGAGCTCTTGTACCATCTTCTCCCACTAATACTAATCATCACAGGTGTGTCATCTGTGGGAAATCTACATTGTCTTCAGCTGCTGCCTAAGACTTTGAAAACCAGTGTGCTTCCTTTTACAACAGAAATTTCTGGGAAGATTCCCAAGTGTCCCTTTTCATCTAATTTCTGTTGGTCCCTCCTTCCTTTTACACACTTGCTAGTTGTTCCTGGGAGCTCCTTGAAGGCAGGGACCTTACCGTCCTGGCCCTTGCTGCATCCTGAGAGCCCAGCCCAGTGCTCGGCTTATGGTAGGCCCTCAGTAAATATTTGTTGAAAAATGAATTAATTTTCAAAAGTAATATTTAATTATCTACTGTATAAATATTTTAAAGGCATAAAACATGGTCTTTTGCCCTAAAACTAAATCGCTTCAATTCAAAATAATTGAAAGAATAAGATAATATTATCTGCTAGTTTTACCTTGCCTCATGTCAAAAATTTTAATTAAAAGTAATGCTTTGGCTGGGTGCAGTGGCTCACGCCTATAATCCCAGCACTTTGGGAGGCCAAATCACTTGAGGTCAGGAGTTCAAGACCAGCCTGGCCAACACGCGGAAACCCCACCCCTACTAAAAATACAAAAAAATTAGCTGGGCGTGGTGGTACGTGCCTGTAATCCCAGCTACTTAGGAGGTTGAGGCAGGAGAATCCTTGAACCTGGGAGGCAGAGGCTGCAGTGAGCTGAGATTGTGCCACTGTACTCCAGCCTGGATAACAGTGAGACTCTGTTGCAAAAAATTTAAAAAAAAAAGTAATGCTTTATTCTTTTATTCTAACTCTAGATTCAATCACCTGACTACCTTATAGTTAAAAGTCTTTTCTGACCTTATTAATTTTGAAATTGAGACCCAACCTTTTTAGGCCTTATTACTTCATTCTACTGGTTATATACCCCCTTTAAACCATAAGAAATGGGATTCACATCCTTTGATTCTATAACTGCTAGAAGTTAGAAGATCTGTTTTACTTTGAAATGCCTACCATTTGTTGAGAAGTGGGAACTGTTGTGTATCAGGAAATGAAGAAAAGTAGTTCTACCTATTAACAAAGTTTTCCCCCCAAAAAGACAAGAGACAGTGGGACATAGGTAAAAGTCCACATAGCTGTCACTCCTGGATGTTTCTGTTTACACCGGATGGATACCAGAATCATGCTTTCATTCTCTAAGGCAGCATGTTTAGAGTATTGGAATATTGTCCTTAGGACCTAGATGGAGAGGCTTCTAACAGGATGTCCTGAAAACTATATTACACTTATAAGAAATGCCTCCAAACACCCAAACACAGATCAAGTGAAACAAAGTGGTCTTTTGATTTTAATGGTTTGTGACTTCTAGTGCATGTTTGTCCTTAGGTCCTGGTGTGTCACAGGTGCATGCTATTCCATGCAGAGGCACGTATTTCTTCCTGGGCTTATGCTTGTAATCCCAAATTTAGGGAGGCTGAGGCCGGCAGATCACTTGAGGTCAGGAGTTCAAGACCAGCCTGGCCAACATAGCGAAACCCTGTCTCTACTAAAAATACAAAAATTAGCCAGGCATGGTGGTGCACGCCTGTAGTCCCAGCTACTTGGGAGGCTGAGGTGGGAGAATTGCTCAAACCTGGGAGGCAGAAGTTGCAGTGAGCCAAGATCGCGCCACTGCACTCCAGCCCGGGTGACAAAGTGAGACTCCGACTCAAAAAAAAAAAAAGGCCAGTTGTGGTGGTTCACGTCTGTAATCCCAGCACTTTGGGAGGCCTAGGTGGGCAGATCACCTGAGGTCAGGAGTTCAAGACCAGCCTTGTGAAACCCCGTCTCTACTAAAAATACAAAAAGTAGCCAGGCATAGTGGCGTGTGCCCGTCATCCCAGCTACTTGGGAGACTGGGGTAGGACAATCCCTTGAACCCGGGAGGCAGAGGTTGCAGAGAGCCGAGACCACACCACTGCACTCCAGCCTGGGTGACAGACTGAGACTCCATCTCAAAACAACAACAAGAAAGAAAACCAATGTCATGTGAGTTACACAATCAAATCAGAAAAATTTTGAGGAAAGAAGTAAATAATCTTAATCTCTTTATCTCTGATTCTCTGGCTCTTTGGGTGACTAGTTCTTTTAGGTTTAAAAACTTTATATAGTCTTTGATTCTGTGGTAATTTTATTCTGCTATCAAGTGAAAGGATAAAATCTAATGGCCCAAAATATACTTAATTTGAATTTTTTGGTTAAATATATTAAGTGGCTAAAAAAATATCATCCATCTGGAATTTCTGAACCTCACATCTCAGGAAAAGGATATCTCATGCTTGCCACCTCTATGTCCAGTAAATGACTCCTCCAAGAAAGAACTTGGCCCAACCCTTGAAAGCTCTGCTCTAGTCCCCACCATTTGTAACAAGAAACACATTCAGGTGTGGCAGTTACGTGGTCTTTGGCCTGTGCCTTTTTTCTCTTGTCTCTTTCTGGAATTAGGAGGACTCACTTCTTTCCTCTAACTGATACACACCTCAAGTCACTTGAGCCCACTTCTCAACATACCCTAGGTTCCCATCAGTTTAGAACAGTGCTTCTCAAACTCTTTGGTTTCAAGACCCCATTACATGCCATAAAATTATCGATGACCCCAAAACACTTTTATTTGTGGATTTACCTACCAATATTTATCATATTAAAAATTAAAACACAAATTAGAAATATATATTTGGTTATAAATAACAATAAGCCCAACATACATTAACACAAATAACATGTTTTTGGAAAATAACCATTTTGTAAAACAAATGAGAAAAACAGCATTGTTTTAATCTTTGCACATCCCTTTAATATCTGGCTTAGGCTGGGCACAGTGGCCTATGCCTGTAATCCCAGCACTTTGGGAAGCTGAAATGGGAGGATCACTTGAGCCCAGAAGTTGGAGACCAGCCTGGGCAACATGGCAAGACCCAGTCTCTACAAAAAATTAAAAAATTAGCTGGGCATGGTAGCATGAGGCTGTAGTCCCAGCTGCTACTTAGGAGGCTGAAGTGGGAGGATTGCTTGAGCCTGGGAGGTTGAGGCTGCAGTGAGCCATGATTGCACCATTGCACTCCAGCCTGGTCAACAGAGACACTGTCACACACACACACACACACACAAACACACACACACACATCTGACTCAATAGAAGACAGCTGGATATTCTTATCTGCCTCTGCATTCAATTTGTTCCAATACATTGCTTTGGTTAAAGAATATGAAGAAAATGTGGCTTCACATATATATGTAGTTGGAAAATGAGAGGCGTATTTTGATAGCCTTTTCAAATAATTGTGGGTATTCTTCAGTGATATTAGAGCAAAACTTGACAAATCATAGTTTCTTAAAGGCCAGTTGCAAAGTAGAATCTGAAACCCTATCACTGAACTGTGAAAATGTATTACATTAAAATGCACTGGTCTATCTTGTTCTCTGAGTGGATTTTGTAGCATCATGCATTGCATTGGTCATTTAGAAAATACTGGTTCACTGAGTCACACAGTTCTCCCAAATTTTCAGTCATTTCAGTATACAATATTTTTTTAAGTCCTATTTATTAATAGCACCACTGATCTCATCCTTAAGTACTGGGAAACTCATAATATTGGATACAAATTTCCCCCAAATTCCAATTTTTGGTTGAAAACTCAGATTTTATCATTAGCAACAAATACTGTCTATTGTTTTTCTTGACACAGAGTGGTTGGAGTGCAGTGGCATGATCAGCCTCAGTTTCCTGAGTAACCGGGGCTACAGGTGTGCGCCACCAAGCCTGGTTAATTTTTGAAATTTTTTGCAGAGACAGAGTCTCGCCATGTTACCCACGTTGGTCTGAAACTCCCGGCCTCAAGCAGTCCTCCAGCCTTGGCCTCCCAAAGTGCTGGGTTTACAGGCATGAACCATCATGCCTGGCCCCAGGATATTCTTGAGTGAAGCTGGCTTGCTTTTGCTTTTGCCAGGCCATAGCAGTAACAGTTAACTCCTAGTATACTGATTTCATTGATGCTAAGGCATGACTTTTGCTGACAATTGCTTTTGCACCATCCATGCACATTTCAACACAGTTGTATCAGGATAAATCATAAGATTCAAAAAGTTATTCAACACTTTGACTATTTCAGCACATGTGTTTGTTGCCAAGCATTTATGTAATATCTTCAATCATTAAGTGGGGCTGATAAGAACAAAAATAAGAAAAATAACAAATACAGTCATATCTGTAGATGTGTCCATTTTGAAAGTACAAGTGCAATTCTGCAGATGGTATATTAGTCTTCATGTTTATAGTGAAATCCGAAATTTGACAAGGTACCATGTTTTGGGGAAGTGGCACTGGTTTCTTTTACTAACTTGTCCTTCAGCAGGCATTGAGCAACGTCAACTGTGTAAGGCTTTGTCATTCAGCTAGTATATGTACTTTTCCAGCCAATGCAATATGATAACTCACCCTGTAGGATGCTTTGGTGTCTTTTTCATTTCTAGTTTGAAAACATGAAGAAATATTTAGCTTTTAAAAAGCTCATATTGTGTACATTAAAAATATTTTTCCTTTATACTCTTATCAGTCTCAAAATGACAATCTGAAATTGTTTTGTTGCATAAGACACAATAAGGGGAATTATTAGCATCCACAAAGGGAGGGGAAGATATCTTTCATTGTGTTTTCATTTCTTCATCCAGTTTTTTTTTTTTTTGAAGTTGATCCGCCCTTCCATGAGTCAGGGAACTCTGATATTTCAGGTTCAGGTATGTCAGCATCTTATATGTAGATGCTACATGTGGGAATTGAGAAAGCAAGCCTTCTCATCTTTTGTTTTTAAGCCAGTGATCTATCCTTAATGATAAGAAAAATATTGTATAAATAACTTTTCTCTTTATTTTAGAATATTGAACTCTAAAGCAATAACAGTTTTAGATGAATTTTTTAAAACTTATGAAGTTTTGAAAAAAATTTAAAATATTGCAAAACAACACAGTATATTATTTGTTGTTGAGTTTTCAAATAGATGCAAGGGAAATTCGGGATTTCAAAGCAACAATACATTGGACAATAATGAGGTCACAGAAATTATAGCAGGTATAATGAAAGATAGATACTGCAGTGAAAGTATTAAGAACAAACTGAGTTAATCTCCGAAAATGCACATATATATATTCTAAATCTACCACCTTAGAAAATTCTAAAAAACACAAGAATACAAAAAGCACTTGTTGCCAGAACAAAGTATCCTATGTCATGTAGCCTCTGGAAGCTCTACCATATTCTTGAGAAAGGATGAAAGTAAGAAAAACAAATGATGTCTTCATATTATTGTAAAATAGTTTCGACCTCACAGTCCTCCTGAAAAGATCTTAGCGCCCCCTGGAGTCCCCAGGCTACATCTGATGAATCACTGGTCTAGGGAGCCATCAGTTTTAAATGAGTTTAAATTGTCTTAAATATGCTTATTACACTTTCTTTATTTGATGCACCTTGTAGAACCTAAAATTAGATTTCAGGAGCTGCTGACGCTTTGAATGAAGTAAGAGATATCAGAGGTTAACAATTCAAGAGCCATGAATTCTCATTTTGATCCATTAAATCCTTCTACCTTTGCAGCATGAGTCTAGAAGCCCTGATTCAGTCCTTGTTAAAAAGCTGGAAATAGGCCGGGCGTGGTGGCTCACACTTGTAATTCCAACACTTTGGGAGGCCGAGGCGGGCAGATTACCTGAGGTCAGGAGTTCGAGACCAGCCTAGCCAACATGGTGAAACCCCGTCTCTACTAAAAATTAAGAAAAAAAAAATTAGCTGGGCATGGTGGCATACGCCTGGAATCCCAGCTACTCAGGAGGCTGTGGCAGGAGAATTGCTTGAGCCTGGGAGACGGAGTTTGCAGTGAGCTGAGATTGTACCACTGCCCTCTAGCCTGGCCAACAGAGCAAGACTCTATCTCAAAAAAAAAAAAAAAAAAAAAAAAGTTGGAAATAGCTGTTTTGCTGTTGATAAATGAATGGATTTAAATTTCCACATGTTGCTTCTCCAGATCATTTCATGATCATTCAAGTGGAAACCGCAGCAATTAGAAGTGTTGCATATGGTTGGAATGTAATCACTTTACATTTTGAGCGTTCCTTCTAAAAGCAATTTCTTTTGATTCAATGTAAAAATTCATAAGTACATATCAGGCACCCATACTATCCAGGTACTAAAGGGAATACAAAAGGTGCACATCCTACTCCTCAATTATTAATTTTTGCGGCTGGACGCGGTGACTCATACCTGTAATCTCAACACTTTGGGAGGCCGAGGTGGGCAGATCACCTGAGGTCAGGAGTTTGAGACCAGCCTGGCCAGCATGGTGAAACTCTGTCTCTACTAAAAATACAATAATTAGCTGGGTGTGGTGGCACGCACCTGTAATCCCAGCTACTGGGGAGGCTGAGGCAGGAGAATCTCATGAACCCAGGAGGCAGAGGTGGCGGTGAGCTGAGATTGCACCACTACACTCCAGACTGGGATTTAAGAAAATGTGTAGTTAAATATTGCCTAAAATGCTCGAATGTAGGTTATAAACAATGAGAATAGGGCCCATGAAGAGATTTTCGTTTTTCACAGAGGTGAGACTTAAAAAGGCCTTGAAGGATAAATAGAAATAGAAGCAGAGTAGAAGGGTTATTCCAGGAGAATATTAGTTTGGATGAGGGCACAGAGGCAGGAAGATGGAGCTTAGCTTGAGGGAATGGAGGTCACTGGTGCTGTGAATATTTGCAGACAGCCATATCCAGAGCTGAGAGGTGAAAGAACAGACTGGAATAGTTCTTTTCTTTTTCACTCTCCTACCTTATTTGCTTTTGGTTTAGCAAGGAGGATCGAAAGTAAACCAAGAGAAATGGTGGGGGGCAGCAGAGGGAGGTGGGAGGGAAACTCCAGGATGAGTTATGGTCAGCCAAAAGAAGCTGTTGAAATAAAATGACCAAGAGTTAATGCCTTTATAGACGCAGGGATGCACAGCCTAGATCCCCTTCCTCTAAAGGACTTGCTGCCCATCCACTGAAAGCTTGGTCAGCAGCCAGCCCCCAGCTATCGGCTCTTTCAGGGCCTGCCTTGTTGCAAAGGGCCGCCTCCCTGCAAAGAGCTGCCTTGCTCAAAGAGCTGCCTTGCACTAGGTCATGCTCTTCTGGTGGCAGCTTGCATCCTGTCACAGAGAGGCAGGGGTGTGAAAGCACAGCCATCTCATTTGCTCTGCAGGACAATATCCACTCCAGAGTTCCTGCTAGACTGGCCAAGACCTTGTTGCCATTCAACTTCTTTCCCATTCTACTCGCTCCCTCCTTCCTTCACAGGTGTTGAGCCCTAATAAAATTTTGCACCCGAAATTCTGCTTCATTATCTGTTTCTGGAGAACCCAACCTGTAACATTTTCCCAGCCAGGGCTGAATACACACACACACACACACACACACACACACACACGTGCTCTCTCTGTATATATGTTTCTGTGTATGTATATATGTATGTATATTTTTAATTACTTTTCTCCATTCAATAGTATACTGCCTATCAATTATTAGCAAATTGTATTTTCAACCTGTTGGCTTATTTATTCTAAATATAGCCATTTTCCTCTAAAGAGAAATCTTTGTTGCCAAAAGAATTTTATAATGGCAAAATCAGTCATTTTCCCCACTAATCGCAATGTAATTTTGCCCATTTTGAGATGGGCAAAAATCATATGTTCAGAACAGTAAGGTGAGACAGAATCAGCTAATTTACTGATAACTGTGGGCACTACCTGAACTGACGTATCATGCTGCTACGCACTTTAGTACCAGGCTCTCTGGTGGCCAGTTCTTTGCAGGATAACGTGGAATAATGCTTATGTAAAATATGACTTCCAAGACTAATTCTCAACTTCAGACTCCCCACTCCCAGCATTATTGCTTTGGCATTAGTAATGTTAGTCAGAAATATGAGTAATTCTTGGCAAGAATGGGAAGCATTCAACTTGTAACTTCAAAAAGACATTATCTGAAAGGTTGAAAGCCAGTTTCTAATAGTACCTGGTATCTTGGCTTCAGGGCTCACAGCAATCCTGTGGAGAAAGTATGAGTTTCCCATTTCAACAAAGAAGGTGAGGCTTAGAGGGAAAGGAAGTTGCTCAAGATTTGCTCTGGAACAGAGCCAGGATTCCCACTCAGATCTTCGACTCTGAATCCTGCAGGCCTTCACCTGTGCGAGCACTGAGCGCCTGGCTGCCAGCTCCAGAGCTCCTCTGGGGCCTTGGTCAGTGTGGTGTTGTTTATGTCCAGCACACTTTCCGTTGGTCTACTGGAGGACAGTTCCTGTACAGGCAGATGACTTCCTTCACCAAGGACCTGTGACTCTCTCCCTGAGGGCTTTCTCTGACATCATCTGCACATGGACAGCTTAGACTGAAAGTTTCAGGGGTTCGATGCCTTCCAGAGGCACCTCTCTAACAATAAGAGCCCAGATTGAGTGGAAATACCCCAGCTTCCTTACCACTCCAGCCTCCATGCCCTTAGTGGCATGATTCCGAGGTGCATCCTACACTGACTCTTGGTGGCTCCCTGGCCAGAGCTCATTCGCGTGGCCCTCAGCAGCTCTCCTCCTTCCCTGGCTGTCTTCCTCACCACCTCTCCGTGATTCCAGGAATCAGCTCCCGAATAAACGACTTGCACCCGAATCCTTGTCTCAGGGTCTGCTTCTGGGGGCACACCGAGGAAGACAGCAATCCCGTCCTAAGGTTTTGCACATCTGAGCCAGAGGGACCCCCTGGGACCGGGTCTCAGGGCTGAGTTTTGGAGGAGTGGGAGACACTCAGGGTGCGGCTTGAGGAGGGATGAGGTGAGACTTTGAGGTCGGCAGATGGCATTTCTGGCAGGCGCCTAGCATGGAAGGTGTGAGAGGAAGAGGGAGGTTGGGGACAGTGGACATCCTTGGGGGTGGTGG
The DNA here is from genome assembly GCF_000001405.40 of Homo sapiens. Lineage (NCBI taxonomy): Eukaryota > Metazoa > Chordata > Mammalia > Primates > Hominidae > Homo > Homo sapiens. The sequence goes on from NC_000002.12 coordinate 46,780,514, forward strand.
GGAAGGAATCAGGGCTGGGAACCTGCCTCTGTCAGCAAAGGGAACTGTGCCAGTGGGCCCCAGGACCAATGCCAGGGAGGCCACGTTCACCCAGCGGCTCAGCCAAGTCTTTTTAAGGAGTGGAATGGGAAATGCCGTTTACTGGCTTGCTGTTGGCCCAGTATTTATTGTTTTACATTTTTGCCCTGGAATTTCCATTGTCCTTACTCCTTAGAGGAGACTACACTTTTGCAGCTAATAAAATATGTTCTCCAGGTTAAATGGCATTTCAGCAAGTGCCATCATTACATTTTTCAGCACCCAGCCACTTACATAGCTCTTCCATTTTGTCCTGATAAAATCACCCTGTGCAGTGAGCAAGGCGAGGGTTATATGCCCGCCTCTGCGATGCTGGCTAATGTGCTCACAGCGCCCCAGCTATGAGTAGCATGGGTCGGGGGAGTGCACAGAGCCTGTCAATGTGGCTTCACTCCTGCGGCAGGCCCCAAGGGTGACAGCCCTCTGCTGGCGGACTCAGAGCTATTCCAGGAGTAGGCTGGGCTGGCCCCACGAGGGGCAGAAAGCCAGCGCCTATAGATGCAGCTCTCTTCTACCCATCTGTCCTCTCGAGCCCCCACTGCAGCCGGCTGGGCTTTCCAAGTCCTGTTTTTTTCCATTGATTCTAGGGATGGCAACGTTTGGATAGAACATCAGAGCTCGGTTGGTGCCTGGGCAGTCATGACCGTGGGCATGGGCAGGGCAGCATGGTGACGTGGGGCTGGGCTCAGGATCAAATGAGACAGGCCTGAAATCCATCAGAGCCTCTTAAAGCCTGGACAAGTGGCCAGTTCTTTGAAGGGTTTATATCTGTATTGCCTAGTGCAGCTTCCAGATGTGTGGTTTAGGATGTTGAAAGCACTTGTTATTGCTTGTGTTAATATGATGAAAGCAATACTAATAAAGTGTAGTCTCTGAGGCTGATGAATGTGATCTCTGAGGCTGCTTTCCCCAACCTTGGGGAGGTGGGCTGTTGGGTGGCCATGTCAGATTCAGTTCTGGCAGGATGCTGGGGGCCTTCCGGCAGCACCGATGCCCTGGCTCAGAACCTTTTGCTTGTTGCTCCCCAGGGGTGGTCAAGGCCAGGGAGCAGCTCCAAGCCTTCCTGGCAAGGCTAGCTGTGGAGCCGGAAGCGGGGACCCTGCCCCATCCATCCTCCACAGACTCCAAGTCCTTCCAGGCCTGGCCCCGCTGCTCAGTCCTGCTCAGTCCCATGTGGAGGGAAAACTCCGAATCCTAGAGTGGCCTGAAGTCTCCCAAGTGGGGAGCAAGGAGCAGGCAAATTGGTGCCCTTTCTACTGAAATATCTGCTTCTTTGTCACATCCAACAACTCCAGGGAATTATGACCTTTCTTGACCAGCATTTTCCTCTAACCTTTCCATCTTCCTCCCAGGAAAGTGAGGACTCAACAATACAAGTTACAAAACCCTTCTGCTGGAATCAGACCAAAAGGAAGCTCTCTAATAAGAATCTATTGTGAATGTTGTGCTGTTGTGCCTAGATCTCCACAAGGGCACAGATGACTGGGAATTCACATCTCTCGCTCCTTTTAAACCCTCAAGTCTGAGTCTAGCTGCTGCCATACAGAGACCGTTTCCCTGTGAAGCCTCTAGACTTGCCACTGAATTGACCTGCCCTGTAGAAAGGACATTTCTCTTCCCTTTGGATAGAGTATTGTGAGAAGGCTGTCTTTGAAGCCTCAGAAGAGTGGCTTTTGTCTCCTTTGTTCCCATAAGGAAAAAGATGTCAGATGAGAGGCCAATCTTTTGTCACCTTCCCAGAGACCACCCCCATAGGAATCTGCCCCTCCTCCCCTCTTAGCTGTAACTAGCTAGATCAGGGTGCGCTCTGACTTAAGGGTAGCCTCTCCCAAGGCCACTGAGTTGTGGCCTGGAAAAAGATGATCTGGGCCTCTTAAGATTCATCCTTCAGGACGTAAGTTTGGGAAACTGAGCGGCTGTTGACATTTGAAGTGAGAGCCAAAGCAGAAGGATTGTGGTGCAGAAAGCAGGGAAGCAAAGAGAAACAGGTCTTCTCCATGATGGTCATGTGCAGGTGAGGGCATGAAGTAGCCAGGAGCAGAGTCAGGAGAATGGAGTAGATGCTCAGAGAGCAGGGTCAATGCTCCACACGTTCCTGGAAAGGTGGGAATGTGGCCCTAGCCAACTCAGTCTCAGATCCCACGAGAGCCACCCAGGCCAAGGCTTCTGTTCTGAGACACCATCTCTTTAACATAGATCCCTGCACAAAACCCCTCTTTTCTGAGCCAGCCCAAGGAGGAGTCTCTGTTTCTGAACCTCCGCTTATCAAGGGCAGGTCTACTGGCTAGTTGAGGATAATGCTAGAAACCTGCCTTGTCCAGTGCAGTAGCCACGAGTTACACGTGGCTCTCAAGCACTTGTAGCACTATGGCTGGTCCAGACTGAGATGTGCTGTGAGTCTAAAATTCACACTGCACCCTGAAGACTTACGGCCAAAAAAAGAAGGCAAAATATCTCACTAATAATTTTTATATATTGATTATATTAAAATGAGAATATTTTGGATATATCAGTTTAAATAAAGATATTATTAAAGTTAATTTCACCTGTATCGTTTTACATTTTTAATGTGACCACTAGAAAATTTACAGTTACATATGTGGTTCACATTATATTAAATATTTCTATTGGATACCCTGCCTTATACTGAAATACCCCAGAAACAAGAACTGTAGATATTTTAGTAATTACATTAATTAGTTCCAATACTGAAATTGAAGTCTCAAGGAATCAACACACGTAATCTCCTGCCTCCAGGCATGCTGAGCCTCAACAAGTCCAGCTAAAATGGACCTTCTTCTAAAGCCCCTCTCCACCCCAGGGAAACCCTCTCACCTGCCCCCAACAATTCTCTTCATGCCCGTTGCAGCTGCCGTGCCATAGTTGCTGTTAGCCCTAGGTGAGATTAAGTATGTAATGTTTATCATTATAAAGACCCATCACAGATTTTATTATTAAATAACCTCACACTGAATTTACACAAGATGGAGATTAAAAAAAAGAAACAACCTGGGATGTGTCATAAGATCCAAGGACACAACCAGACTCTCAGCCATGGGATGGGGCTCTCTCCATCTTTTATCTGTGTACCTCTTAAAGCACCTGCTCCATTTGTCTCTCTGCCGACCAGCAGCCTCTGCTTCCCCAGGGCGGGAAATGTGGAGACTGCCCCCCATTTGACAGAGTTGACAGCTCACAGCTCCTTTTTTGCAGAGAGACACCAATGCTACTCTAGTTCCCACGTCCAGAGGTCCTGGGGAGGGATTCATGGCCCAGCTAGAGAGAACCACTATGGCCAGGAGCCAAGCCACATAAGAATATGACTGTCCCCCTCCCCCCGAAGCTGTGTAGTGAGAGGATGGGATGGTTCCCAGAAAGTAGGGTGGGGACCCCAAAGAAAATGAGAAGTTTCCATGATATCCATGATTATTAGTGTTTGCTTAATCTGGCCTTTGGTTAAAAAGAATTGTTCTTCCATCCACGGAGGGCTCCAGATGACACCTCCCACTCCTATATCCTCCTTAGAACTTTGCACACCTGCGTGAAAACTTTCACCTCCTCTCCAACTACTAAAATTTGATAATGAAACAATCTGTGAAATTCAACATGGACCTGAGCCATGCAGTCTGTGGGTGGATCACATGAGCAGCAAGGCAGCCATTTGGAAGAAAGCAGCCACTAAATCACAGACAATGAGAGGAGCCCCTCGGCAGTGATGCCACAGATGGTGATGTGGCATCTTCAGGTGCCACAGATGTTGATGCCTTCAGTTGATGATAGGGATGTTTTAGGGAGCCTTATTTAACCAGATTCATGGCAGCACCTGAGGAAAAATCCTGTGCGGGAATGAGTTCATCCATACCTACTGGCTATTTGTGTCCTCCCACAGCCATCTGGCCCTGGCTAAATCACACTGCTTTGGAGTTCATTTCAAAAGCCCAGTCATATGTATGTTAAAGAGGTTCACATATCACTGGCTCATAGAAAGAAAGCCAGTTTCCTGTGTGCTTTTCAAGACTGCCGGAGGGCACTCCCAGCTAACCTAAAGTCATTTCTCCCACTACTCCCTATGGACCCTTCCGCTGACACCCGGTCAGCCCAGATGCTGTCTTGCTCCTGAACACGCTATGTGCAGGTCACCTGAGAGTCTATTTCTGTAGCCTGAAGATGGTCTAAAAAGGTCTAAACCCAGCTCTGCCTGTGACCAGCTATGCCCTCCTTGGAAAGTTTCTTTTTCCTTGAATAAAATTCAAGTAATTATCACCACCTGGCAGGGTTGTTATAAAAATCAAAAAAGATTTAAAGCACTTAAGCTGTATCTGGAATACTTTTGTTCTTTGAAAAAAATTCTGAAGCACATATGGCAAATTTTAACATGTTCACTGGTTGACTTTTCTCCATATTTTTCTATGTGCTTGTAATTTTTCGTTTTCTTAAAAATGATAAATATTATTTTGGGGAAACAGGGACCAAACTTGCCTCCTACCATAACCAACTACAAAAATGGACAAATTATATACCACAACTGTGTTCAGGTATTAGACAACAGTCAGCCCAGGACTATATACATGAGAGAAGAAAAATTAATGAGGTGAACCCTCTAGTTGCCCCAGGTTTCTGCCTGGGGACAGTTTCTGGGACCATGTGGCAGGGAGTAGGACCCTGGGAGAGCATGGTGGTCTTACTGAGTTGAATTATCAGAGATCAGAGTTTGGGGAGGCTGAGTCAGCCAGACTTTGTGTGACAAAGTACTATGAAGAAGAGAGTTATGCTGAGAAAGCTTCCAGAATCTGCAGAGGGGTCCCCTTGAATCTGCTGCTGAACACTAAGCTGAACTTGAGTATGGTGAAACTCCATGAGACTGAGTAAAGAAGTACTAGGCAGATATAAGCTGAACAATTCCCAGCAGTCACACAGGGCTACAAGATACTTGTATTCAACCAGCCGGAATAGAAAGTCCACAATGAGCTCCAGAGTCATTCAATTAGAGACTACAAAAGAGTCACACCTTAGCAGAAGTGCTACCAAAGCTAAAAAACAATCCTCAAAAGGGTCAAGCTAATCTGCAAGTAACTTAACTGCCTGCCAGAGCAAAGATCAACATTCTTTAAAAGAACATAACAAAATCCAACATGGAACAAAATAAAATCCACAATGTCCAGCATCCAAAAGAATATTACAAGGCATGAAAGGAAGCAGGAAAATGTGACCCATAACCAGGAAGAAAATCAATAGATAAAAATTAAGAAATGACAGAGATGATGAAATTAGCACACAAAAACTTTAAAACAGCTATTATGAATAAGTTTATGTAGTCAAAGAAAAATAAATGTAATGAGAAAGAAATGGAAGATATGAAAAAGAACCAAATGGGATTTCAAGAGATGAAATGAAAATTTCACTGGATGAGACTAACAGCAGTGTATTTGACACTACAGAAGAAAATAACAGTGAATTTGAGGACATAGCAATATGAACTTATCTAAACCAAAGAAAAGAAAGAAAGAAAATTTGAGGCGGGAGTAGGGGGAGACAGCATAGCCTTAATGACCTGTGGGACAATATCAAGCAGTCCAGTACCCATGAAACTGGTGTGCCACAAAGAGAAGAGAGAGGAAGAAATAGAAAAAAGCTTCAAAATTTTATAGTGAATTTCCCCCTAAATTTGATGAGAAATATAAATCTATAGAGCCAAATGTCTTACACAAAGATGTTATTAATATATGACCAAATTTCTGAAAAACGGCTCCAAAGAAAACATCTTTAAAGCATCCAGAGACAAAAGAAACATTTTGTACAAAGGAGAAAAGATAAAACTTAATGCAGACTTCTCATCAGAAACAATGCAGTTCAGACGACAATGGAATGTATTTTAAAGTACGGAAAGGAAAAAAGCCAACCCAGAATTCTAAGTCCAGCAAAAATATAATTTAAAATGTTGCCAATAATAATTGTGAATGCCATTATCCTGAATGTCGAAATCCCAAAGATTAAAACCCGGCCTGGCATGGTGGCTCATGCCTGTAATCCCAGCACTTTGGGAGGCCAAGTCAGGCAGATCACTTGTGATCAGGAGTTCAAGACCACCCTGGCCAACATGGTAAAACCTCATCTCTATTAAAAAAAAAAATAAAAAATAAATAAAAATAAAATAAAAAAAATAAAAAAGCTTGGCATGGTGGCACTTGCTACTCCAGCCACTCCAGAGGCTGAGGCAGGATCACCCCTTGAACCCAGGAGGCAGAGGTTGCAGTGAGCTGAAATCGCACCACTGCACTCCAGCCTGGGTGACAGAGTAAGACTTTGTCTCAAAAAAAAAAAAAATTAAAAAAAAATAAAAAAGATTAAAATCCCTAATGTCTAAAATCCTGAAAAATCACAATCCTAAAAGATTAAAATCTCAAACTGAAATTCTGAAAGCCAAATTCTGGAGAAGGGATTAGTGCATCTTCAGTTGTACACAAGATAGTTGCATCATATTGGTTGCAGCATGTTAGGCAGAACTATTACCTTGTTATTGTCTTTATTTGGAAATTAAGTCTGGTGTAAAGAGATGCGTATATGTGCCAAATTGACAAGGGGACTTGTGCACTTAATTTTAGGTGTCAATTCAACTGGATTAAGGAATACCTAGAAACCTGGTAAAGCATGATTTCAGGTGGGTCTGTGAGGGTGTTTCCAGAGGAGATTGCTATGTGAGTCTGAGTGGACTAGGTGGGGAAGATCCGCCGTCGTTGTTGGTATGCACAATTCAGTCATCCAGGGATCCAGAGAGAACAGATACAGAAGGTGAATGAGTCTCTTCTGAGAGCTAGGACAGGCTTTTTTTCTACCACTTTGGACATAAGAGATCCAGACTTGACAGCCTCTAGACTCCAGGCCTTCCATCAGCAGCCCCCGCCTGGGTCCCAAGGCTTTCAGCCTTGGACTGAGAGTTACACCATTGGCTTCCCTGTCTCTGAGGCCTTCAGACTTGGACTGAACCACACTTCCCATATTCCAGTCTCCAGCTGGCAGATAGCCTGTTGTAGGACTTCTCAGCCACTATAATCACATGAGCCAATTCCCCTAATAAATTCCTCTCATATACCTATATACATATCCTATTGCTTCTGTCTCTCTGGAGAACACTGCCTAATACAGATTTGGTATTGGGGAAGCCAAATATCATTCCTTCTTACTGCATTCCTTACAGCACAATGGAAAAGAGCTGTGAAATTGTTTCCTTACAAAAAAAAAAAAAAAAGTGAAAAGTTGAAAGTGTACAAGGCTACTTAACAGTGAAAGGTACAAATTTAAAAGCTAATTTTAGGCCAGGAATGGTGGATCACACCTGCAATCCCAGGATTTTGGGAGGCTGAGACAGGAGGATCACCTGAACCCAGGAGTTTGAGACCAGCCTGGGAAACATGGCAGAGATCTCATCTCTACAAAAAATTTTAAAAATTAGCTGGGCCTGGTGGCGTAAGCCTGTAGTCCCAGTTGCTACTTGGGAGGCTAAGGTGGCAGGATCACTTGAGCCCAGGAGGTTGAGGCTGTAGTAAGCTGAGACTGTACCACTGCACTCCAGTCCTGGGTAATAGAGTGAGACCCTATCTCAAAAAAAAAAAAAAGAAAAAAAAAAAAGTTAACTATGGCCGGATGCAGTGGCTCACACCTGTAATCGCAACACTTTGGGAGGCTGAGGCGGGTGGATCACCAAAGATGAGGAGTTCGAGACCAACCTGGCCAACATGATGAAACCCCATCTCTACTAAAAATACAAAAAATGAGCCGAGCATGGTGGTGGGCACCTGTAATCCCAGCTACTCCGGAGGCTGAGGCAGGAGAATTGCTTGAACCCAGGAGGTGGAGGTTGCAGTGAGCCGAGATCGCGCCACTGCACTCCAGCCTGGGCAACTGAGTGAAACTCTGTCTCAGGGGAAAAAAAAAAAGAGAGAGAGAGAGAGACAATTATTTTTGACGCTGCAAAAACAGAAAATTGCTTAATTGCAACAGCCAAGCAATAACCAGAATTTCAAAAGGACATCATATACTTACAAAATTTGTACACCATAACCACTCTCCAAATGCAAGTTCAATGAGTGTTTCAAAGATCATAGAAGTGAAAATGCAGGCAAAAAAGACAAGAAATCTCCCCTGCTAAATTATTCAATTGTGTGTGATTTCTGCCCCTTCACACATAGCACCAATTTGCTATGCTATGTATTTCATCTTCACATCGTTTCCAGTACTAAGTATAAATTGTATAAAGACTTTTAGTGAGTTCTAATTTGTTTTATGACATTTTTGCAAATGTAATTTCACAAAAATGCATTATCACAGCATTGACTTCGTTGTATAAGTATTGCCCACGTATGTAAAATATTGAAACTTCCTCAGTAAATGAAAAGATGTTCTTTTTGTACATCTGCACTTGAGAAGGATAAAATGTCTCAAAATCTTAGCTCTTTGGGCCACTTCATATACAATGGTGACCCACCGAGGTTTTTGATTAATATCATCAAAAGACTTAGGTTGCCCATCATGTTATTTCAAATGACAGCAGTTATAAAGCTGGGTGCACACAATTACTGACCATACTGATATGCATTTATACATTTTGCTTTTTCACCTATTCCTTTATGAATGTGATTCATCTGCTTATAACTGTTATATCCGTGTGACTGCTGTTAGTATACCTGAGAGTTTATGCTTGTAAAAATATGTATGTTATGATTGCCTATTTTATTGGGTAAAGTATGAAGTGCTCTGTTATGTCTTTATATGTTTCTCAAGTAAATCTCTCTTTAAAAATGTAAATAAATGTCTTTAAAGAATTTTTTGAAATTAGTTTTCCCAAAATTAGATTTTCAGACTTTAATGTTTCAGCATTATGATTTTCAAGACTTTAGGGATTTTGATCTCTTGGAATTTTAACAGGATTATGGCATTTAGGATTATGTCTTTTAAGATTATGGCACAAACCCAATTTAAAAATGATGGTGAAATGATGACTTTTTCAGATAGACAAAAGATGAGAGCACTTGTTTCTAGTAGTACCTGACTTTAAAAAGTATGAAAGTTCTTCAGGCAATAGGAAAATGATGTCAAGTGGAAACTTGAATCAACACAAAGAACTGGAGAGACTAGGATATGGCAAATATGTGGATAAAAAGAAAAGGCCTTTTTTCCTTTTCCTTTATTTAAAATTAGTTTTTAAAACAGTGATTTAAAACAAAAGAATATATTGTGATGTTAATAACATACAGCAGTAAAGTAAGTGTATGACAACAATATAAAAATGAAAGTATATTTTTGGAAAGTTTTTATATTATATATGAATTAGTGTAATATTATTTGAAGGTAGAAGTGATATATTAATTATGTATATTTTAAACCCTATTGCAACTACTAAAAACAATAAAACAAGGTGATATATTTTGCAAGTCAATAGTGGAGATAAAGTAGAATACTAAAAAATGTACAATGAATGCAAAAGAAGACAAAAAGGAATAAAAAGGGAACAAAGAACAGATGGGACAAATAGAAAACAAGTAGCAAGATGGTAGATATATATCTGACTTAATCATCACATTAAGTGTAAATTATCTAAACACTATAATTCATAAACATAGATTGTCAGACTGGATATAAAAGCAAGACCCAACTATACACTCTTTAAAAAAAAAAAACCCTAAAATATAAAGATACAGTTATATTAAAGGAAAGGGATGGGAAAAGATATACCATGCAGTAATACCATGCACAACATTAATTGTTTAAAAAGCCAGTGTAACTATGTTAATATCAAAGTACACTTCAGAACAAAGAATACTGTAGTACTGTGGATAAAGAGAAACATTTCATAATGATAAAGGGGTCAATAGATCAAGAAGACAAAGCAATCCAAAATGTATATGTACCCAATATGAAAACTTTAAAATACATGAAGCAAAAAAATGACAGACCTGAAAGAAGAAACAGACAAATCCACAAAAGTAGCTGGAGATCCCAAAATTCCTCTCAGTAAGTGATAGAACAAATAATCAGAAAACAAATGAAGATGTAGAAGACTTAACACTATCAACTAACTTGACAGAAATGACATATATAATACACTTCACTTGACAATAACAGAAGACACACTTTTTCGAGTGCACATAGAACATTTACCAAAATAGACTATAGGCTGAGATGGAGAGTAAGTCTCAAAAAACTTACAATAATTTAAATAATCCAGAGTACTAATACTAATATGAATGGTCATACTAATTTGAAATTAAATTATAAGTCAGTAACAGAAAGATGCGGAAAATATGCAAATTCTTAGAAATGTAAAACTCACTTCTAATAAGCCACAGGTCAAAGAAGAAATCACAAAGGGGATGGAAACATATTTGAACCTAATGAAAATGACCATACAACATGTCAAAGCTTGTGAGATGCAGCTAAGCAGTGTTTGAAGGATATTTATAGCTTTAAATGCTTATATTAGAAAAGAAAATAGCTTTAAAATCAGTGATCTAAACTTCTAGCTTAAGAGTGTAGAAAAATTAGAGTACATTAAACCTAAAGTAAGTAGAACAAAAGAAACAATAAAGGCAGAAATCAATGAAATGGATTGAAATCAATGAAATGAACAAATAATAGAATAAAATCAATGAAAAAAGCTGTTTCTTCATAAATATCAATAAAAGTAATAAACTTCTAGCTACACTGATCAAGGAAAAAAAGAGGGAAAATATAGATTACCAGTATCAGGAATTCTTTATAAATTAAAAGATCTTATAAACAGAATAATAAGGAAATACTATGAACAATTTTAAATAAATTTGACAATGCAGAGAAAATGAATAAATTTCTTGAAAGATACAAATTACCGACATTGAATCAAGAAGAAATAGAAAATCTAAGTAGCCCTATATCTATTAAAAATTCAATTTTTGATTTACAAGTTTCCATAAAGAAAATATAGCCCCTGGCAGCTTCACTGGTGAAATTCTATCCATCATTTAAGGAAGAAACACAAATGTTACACAAACTCTTTCAGAAAATATAGGAGAAAGGAAAGCTTCTCAGTTCATTTTAGGAGTCCAGCATTACCAATACTAAAGCCAGGAAAATATGTTGTAAGATAATTACCAACCAATATTCCTGATAAACACAGACAAAAATTTCCTGCAAAACATTAGCATAAAGAATCCAGCAATATATAAAATAAATAATACATCATGACCAAATGGGGCTTATCTAAGGAATGAAGAGTTGATTTAACATTCAGAAATTAATCAATGTAGTTCATCATCTTTACAAAGTAAAAAATAAAAAGCTTACAGTTATCTCAGATGCAGAAAATATGTTTGACAAATTTCAGCATCATTTATTATAAAACTCTCACCAAACTGAAAATAAAAAGGAATCTCCTCAACCTGATAAAGAAAACCTAGGGAAAACCTATAGCTAATATCATCCATAATAGTAAAGACTGAATGCTTTCTTCCCAAGAATAAGAACAAGGCAAGGATATCAATTCTCACCACTCCTATTCAACATTGTACTGGAGGGCTAGTCAGTGTACTGGCTGGCTGTTTCTGTGAAGATTTCTTTTTGGATGAGATTAACATTTAAATCAGTGGACTTTGAGTAAAGTAGATTATACACTATAATGTGGGTGGGCCTAATACTATCAATTGAAGACTTTAATGGAACAAAGACTAACCTCCTCCAAGCAAGAAGGAATTTGGGCAGCAGATGGCCTTTGAACTCGAACTGCAACGTTGGCTCTTCTCTGGATCTCTAGCCTCCTAGGCTACTCTGCAGATTTTGGACTTGCCAGCCCCCATAATTGCATAAGTCAATTCCTTAGAATAAATCTCTCTGAATAAATATATGTATGCTATTGTCTAAATGTTGATTTCCCCAAAAAAATCATGTTAGAATTTAATTCTCAATGTGGTAGTATTAAGAGGTGTGGCTTTTAGGAGGTGATTAGGTCAGGAGGGCTCCACTCTCTTGAATGGGATTAGTGACCTTATAGAAGAAGCTATGAGGTCTTGTAGAAAAAGTTACCTTGTAGAAGAAGCTATGAGAAGCCTGTTTGTCCCTTACATCATGTGAGGATGCAGCAAGAAGGCACCATCTTTGAAGCAGAAAGCAAGCCCTCACCAGACACTGAATCTTTTGGCACCTTGTTCTTGGACTTCCCAGCCTCCAGCAATACATTTATGTTGTTTATAAATTACCCAGTCTAAGTTACTTTGTTCCAGCAGCTAGAAAGGACTAAGACATACACATGTGCTCACACACACATCCTTTTGGTTCTGTTTCTCTGGAGAACTTCGATGAATACAAATAATAGTGTTTAAACTGTCAGGCTCCGCACAGTGGCTCACATCTGTAATCTCAGCACTTTGGGAGGCCGAGGTGGGTGGATCACTTGAGTCCAGGAGTTTAAGACCAGCCTGGGTAACATATCAAGACCCCATCTCTAAAAAAATACAAAAAATTAGCTGGGTATGGTGGCATGTGCCTGTAGTCCTAGCTATTCAGGAGGCTGAGGTGGGAGAATCACCTGAGCCCAAGAGGTTGAGGCTGCAGTGAACCATGATCACACCACTGTACTCCAGCCTGGGTGACAGAGTAAGACCCTGTCTCAAAAACAAAAACAGAAAAAAACAGTCAGTTATTCCCAAATTGCTTTATAGATTCAATGCAATCCCAATCAAAATCCTAGCAGGCTTTTGTATAGAAATTTATAAAATTTCTACAAAATTATTATTTTATGGAAATTATTCTAAAATTTATAAGAAAATACTAAAGATCTTAAATAGCTAGGAAAAAAACGAGAAGAAAATACCATTACATAATTTAGATGCCCTGATTTCAAGACTTAATAGTAGTGTTTACTTAAAATCACAAAATGTGTAAGTTTGGAAAGGATAACTTTATTTCTTATAAAGGGTTGCAACCTGAAGACTTGGAGGCGTAGCCTCTGGCAGAGACTGAAAGCAGGCATTTCGAGGGAGGGAGTGTGTTACAGGAGTCTCATGCTTGGTCAATTGGATAGACATACATATTTAACAGGTTACAGGAAGGGCTATGAATATGCATGAGGGGACTTTGCACGCATGCATAGTAAGCAAACGTGTTATGTATGTCCCATGTTCACTTTGGGGGGAAACTTAACATTAAAATGCAGTAAAATTAGGCTGTGCACATCAAAAGTTAAAACGAAGGACACCCACGTGCTCTGTGTGCAGCCTCCGTGGACACGCCAGAGCCAGTCCGTGGTCAGCAGTCTCTTATCAGGAAGGAATGCTGGTTGATTGTTCTGTTGAAACTGAAAGGGGAGGGAAGTCTGGCCAAGGTACCAGGTTGTTGAGTGAGTCTTCTGTTCTTGTTTTCCAGGGCTGGTTTCTGTTCAACTCTTAGGGAAAAAGTCTAATGGTGGTCAGCAAGGGAGAGGGTAAATGAGGCATGACCAACCTCCCATCTCATCATGGCCAGAAAACTTAGTTTTTAAGGTTCTTGGGGGTCTCTTTGGCCAAAAGGGGTCTGCTTAGTCAGTCAGGGAGCTTTGGATTTCATTTTTGTTTCACGGTAGTAATCACGACTATTGGTATTGGCATAAGGACAGAAATATAAATCAATAGAACAGAATAGAGTCCAAATATAGACCCACACTTATTTGGTCAATTGATTTTCAACAAGGTTGCCAAGGCAATTTAATGAGGAAAGGATGTTCTTTTCAAGAAGTGGTTCCAGAACAATAAGATATCATGTAGAAGAAGACAAACTTTGACCCTTACCCCACACCACATAAAAGTTTACTTGAAATGGATTATAGACCTAAATGTAAAAGCGAACACTGTAAAACAGCAAGATGAAAACACAGGAGAAAACTTCAGCCATCTCTGGATGGATAAAGATTTCTTAGATAGGACACAAAAAACACAAACTATAAAAGGAAAATTGATAAATTTGATTTCATAAAAATTAAAATTTTCTACTCTTTAACACCGTTAAGGAGATAAAAAAGCTACAGACTTGGAAAAAATATTGGTAATACATGTATCTTACAGTGGAATTGTATCTTGAACACCTAAAGAACTCTTACTAGTCAATTATTGGTAGGCAAATACCCAATTTTAAAGTGGGCTAATTATTTTAAACTAATTTAAATCCAGACTCTCATAGAAGATATACAAATGTCAAATAAGCACAAGAAGATACTCTACATTATTAATCATCAGGGAAATGCAAATTAAAACCACAACGAACTACCACTACACACTTACTGGAATTGCTAAATTTAAAAAGACTGACAATACCAAGTGTTGACAAGTAAGTGGGGCAACCTGAAGTCTCATACATTGCTGTTGGGAATATAAAATGATTAATGAACTTTGGAAAACAATTCATCAGTTTGTTATAAAATTTTTCACTCATCAAATGACTCAACAGTTCCACCTCTTCATGTTTATCCAGGAGAAATCAAAACATGCCTACACAAAGGCTTGCACACAAAGGTTCATAGAAACTTTATTCATTAACCCCCTAAACTGGAAACAACTCATATGTTCACAAATAGGCAGGAGGATAGCCTTGCAATGGAATGCTACTCAGTATTACGAAGGAACATCTACTGATACATGCAACGACATGGATGAATTTCAGAAATATGCTGAGCCAAACTTGCCAAACATGAAAGACCACTTACTACAGGATTCTATTTATGTGAATTCTAGAAAAAGCAAACCTCATCTACAGTGTTGGAAAGTAGATCAGTGATTGGCTGGAGGGAGGGAGCTGGTGACTGATGACACACACAAAAAAAAACATGAGAATGATGGCATTTGAGAATGATGGAAATGCATACAGTTGTCCTTTCATATCCACCAAAGAGGTTGTTTCTAGGAACCCAGCCAATGCCAAAATTCAGGTCCTCAAGTCCCTTATATAAAATTGTGTGCTATTTGCATATAACTCACCCACATCCTTCTGTATACTTAAACCATCTCTAGATTACTTAAAATAGCTAATACAATGTAAGTGGTATGGAAATAGTTGTTATGCTCTATTGTTCTTAAAATTTGTATTGTTGGGTTTTTTTTTATTTTTTTTTATTTTTTTGAGACAGAGTCTTACTCTGTAGCCCAGGCTGGAGTGCAGTGGCATGATCTCGGCTCACTGCAACCTCCATCTCCCAGGTTTAGGTGATTCTCCTGCCTCAGCCTCCCAAATAGCTGGGATTACAGGCGTGGTATTGTTATTTTTTATTGTGGTTTTTTTTTGCAAATATTTTCTATCTGCAGTTGGTTGAATTCATACAAGGGGAGCTGCAGGTACAGAATGTTGTCTTGTATGTTGATTGTAATGATGATTACACAGGTATATACATTTACCAAAACTCATTGAACTGTACACTTCAAATGTGTGCATTTTCTTATATATGTAAATTAAAACTAAATATAGTTGATTTAATAAGTGAGATAATATGCTGAAGCCCCCAGCACCATTCATGGTACACAATAAATGCTTAGCAAATGTTATTTCTCATCTCACCAGCACCACCTCTTTAATTTCTCTCTGTGTTCCTGCTCTTTTCACACACTCTCAGCGTAATGTGCTTCTCATACCTCTCTGCCTCTCCGAATTCCTCCCATCCTTCAATGTGCAGCTTAAATCCTTCTAGCCTGAATGTTTTCCAGGTTACTCCAGGTCACAGTGCAGAACCCTTAAAGCATCCACCACTTGCTTCTCCAAAATTAAGCATGGTTGTGTAGTAACATGTGTCATTCACAACTTGTTTGATGCATCTATGTCTTGCTTTACCATTGCTTTCGAATTCTGCAGGGATGAGTACTACTTTTTCTCCACTGAAACCTCACCACTGGCTGCTACAATACTGCCAGGAGTTGTTTCTCATTGCCTGGGATGGAGCCTCCCATCTTTGCTGGAACCCTGTAGATCTTCTGCCACTGGACAGAGAGCCCCTGGGGGAAAGAGGCTGGTCTGCAAAGACAGTGTGGTTGCCTTTGCAGCCTAGCTGTCCTGGTTTGCATCTCAGCCCTTCCTGCTGCCTACCTGTGTGGCCCTGGCCAAGTTACCTAGCCAAACTGATCCTCAGCTTCCTCATCCATTTCTTGGGTGGTATTGTTGGAGTGAAATGAGAGAACTGTGTCAGCACCTGGCTGCCATCTGCCGTCACTGAGAGTTGGGTGAATGGGTGCAAGACCAGGTTCGCAGTCTGGCAGGGGGTATGTGAAACTGGTATGCAGGTAACACCTTGACCTGTGTTTTTTTTTTTGTTTTTTTTTTTTTTTTTTTTTTTGCCAGTTTTAAACTAATTTCCCCTGAGAGGAGAGAAACAGGCTGGGTCTCTGAGCTCTGCATCCCTCATAAAAGCTTGGTGTGTTTCTTCAGCCCCGTCCACACATCTGGTTGTACTTACTGCTCCAAAAATGTATCCATCCTGCCTACCATGTTCACATTTCAGAACATGGGGCAGCCTCAGGGGGAAAAGACCTCATAAATACCAAGCATTAAAAAAAAGTAATGTCATGCATTTACATACTTCCAGAAGATGAAGGTCCAGGAACATAACTTTCTCTGCAAGAAGCAGGCACCATGAACCAAGGGCTGACCTGCCAGGGTCTCCCTGGGTAAGGAAAACCCCTCCAAAGCAGTGAACAGAACTTTCTGGCTAGGAACCCAGAAAATAAAAGATTCTTTTGTCTTCCTAGGAAATGCTCACTTTCAACCATGAGAGGAATAACAAGGAGAGGTCAACAGATGAGACACCTGGCTCTGCCTTTCAACTTCCTGGGTGACCAAAAGCATGTCACTCAGCATCCCTGGGCTCTCTTACCCATCTGTGCGTAATTGCTTCTCTCCACTGCAGCTGTGACTCTGTGAACAACTCTGAAGTGAGTGAGGCAGAGATATTTGTCGACGTGTTTGTATTCATGTATGTTCATGATGCCTAGAATAGTGCTTGGCATGTAATACATACTCCACAAATGGTTTTGGGTTTTCTTTTTTTTTTTTTTTTTTTTGAGACAGAGTCTTGCTCTGTCACCCAGGTATGACCTCTGCTCACTGCAGCCTCCACCCCCAGGGTTCAAGTGATTCTCCTGCCTCAGCCTCCTGAGTAGCTGAGATTACAGGTACACACCACCACACCTGGGTAATTTTTGTATTTTTGGTAGAGATGGGGTTTCACCATGTTGGCCAGGCTAGTCTCTACCACCATTCTGCTTGTTGGTTTTGCAGTGGCTGTAGGCATTTCCCCCTTTCTGTTGTCTCTTCTCTCTTCCACCTTCCCACTCCCAATGTGATGGTGTACATCCTGGAGTTTCTCACTCAAGGGTCTGTCTCTGAGGATCAGACCAAAGAGAACTGGCTTGTGTTGTAGTAGAAGGTTAGGTCCAGGCTACAGCTGAGCAAAGGCTGTCAAACTTTGAGAGAAGTTATGAAAATAGGTGGGGAATCTCTCCACAGAAACTCTATTGGGGAAAGATACAATAAATGTTTTCCTCAGCGTGGACTAGCTCCTGTGTTGACACATGAGGAGGGGCATGAACTCTACAGGCCCATGAACAGCTCACAGGCATTGTGATGAGGCCAGTGGGCTCAACTAGAGATGCTCTGTGTGTGACCTGCTCTGTGTGTGACCTGCTCTACACTGACTCACAGGTCTTTGAGGTTAAAGAGCTGCTGAAATGCAGTAGTGTTGCCTGAGGACAGAGTGAAAGAAGCAGAGCCCTGCCTGGTGCCCTGAACCAGCCCAATGCATGGCTTTGAAAGAGAGAATAGAGAAGGGCCCCCACCAAACCTGCTTTTCCATGAGTCCCCTACGTGTCCTTCAGAAACCTCCTTACAACCTTAGTTCACCTAGGGACACATTGGACACTTGCCTGGGTTCCAGCACAACTTCAATGGCCAGGTCAGTTGGGGCCAGGCAGGCAAGGCCATCAGCCTACAACAACCCCTTCTCTCCTTCTGTCCATTTCACTATGGTCTCAGTTTGCAATGGGAGGAGAGTCATCACACTCTCAGCTGAGCCGAGTTTCCTCCAGGGCTTTCCATCAGGGCTGGAGCCTTTGCCAACCATCCCGCAAATTCCATATTCACTAACAAAGCTGGGTCCTTGGACGTTGTTATGAGCACCTGCAATGGGAGAAGATGGAGGTAATGGGGAGTGGATGTCATGATTGCGGTTTGGACAGAGAGGAGATAGGAACCTCTGTTCATGTGTCTTACTTCACTAGCTTTGTCTGTGGCAGTTGGGGATAGGAAGTGATGGTCCATGACTGACAGGTAATATGAAGAGCCGGGTTAAACTGAGCTGAACTGAGCTAAAATGAGTTGAGTAGAGCTTAGTTGAACCAAGCTGAGCTGAGTTGAGCTGAGCTGGGTTGAGCTGAGTTGAGCCAAGCTGAGTGAAGATGAGTTGAGTTCAGCTGAGCTGAGCTGAGATGAGTTGAGTTCAGCTGAGCTGAGCTGAGTTGAGCTGAGCTGAGCCAAGCTGAGTTGAGCTGAGCTGAGCTAAGCTGATTTGAGCTGAGCTGAGCTGAGCCGAGCTGAGTTGAGTTGAGCTAAGCCAAGCTGAAATGAGCTGAGCTGAGCCAAATTGAGCTGAGTTGAACTGAGCCGAATTGAGCTGAGTTGAGCTGAGCTGAGCCAAATTGAGCTGAGTTGAACTGAGCCGAATTGAGCTGAGTTGAGCTGAGCTGAGCCGAATTGAGCTGAGTTGAGCTGAGCTGAGCTGAGTTAAGCTGAGCTGAGTTGGAAAGACAAATCCTACCCTCTTAGAATCCCTGGGGATGAGGCACCCTTTCTGATGCCAGAGATTGAGTTTGTTATTCTCAAAACTGTTTCTGGCAACTGAGAAAGAGTCATGCTTTACTTGTGATGAGACATCCCTGAAAAGCACATCTAGGTCCTCTCTGATCCTCAGAGGAGCACTCTCACGAGTGTTCCTATAAAGCCCCTCCCTCTGGCCCGCCCCTGGGCCGCCCCCTTGTCCTGTGCACCTTCCCACCCCTACTCCTCATCCCCACGTCTCCTCTCTGCTATCACTCCTCTTGTCCCATGGATGGGAATGACTTCCCAGAGCCTTCTCCATGGGCCCCTCAGGAACAACTCTGCTCCAAGAGCTTCTGCATTTACCCACCCATACATTATCTCCATTTGCTGTGTTTGTCCCTGGGTCGTTTTCCCTGAATAATTGTGAGTACTATGTAAGAGAGTCTTGTAATTCTTTTGTGTCTCCCAGAATACTGAGTTCCATATATAAAAGTATATAATAAGTGCTCAATAAAGGCTTACCTCATATCTTATAGTGTACTTTTAATTAATGTATTTATTTGGCTTGGGAAGTCTAAGATCAAATATAGTGTAGTTTTTTTTTTAAAGTTTGTGTTAAAACAGGTATGTCCTCAGCTTATATCTTAAGATGTATTACTGAGAAATGTGTTTTTTCTCTAACTCCAGGCTTGAGTGCTCTGAAGTTAATGAAGAGCAGTGAACTAAGAGTAAGGATATTAAGACCATGACCCAGCCCTGCCACCAATTTGTGTGCGATCTAACATAAATCATGTAACCTTTCTCCACATTTCCCTACCTGTGCAGCAGGTCAGCACCTAGTCTTACGGTGTTGCAAGCATACAATGGCACAAAGTTTTGGATGAGCTTGTTAAATGCTGAATACATGAAGGAGATTATTATTCTAAGTGGCACACGAAGAATTTATTCAACAAAGCTGTATTGATGATTTACTCTCTGCATCAGCTCCTGGGACTGCAAGTATAAAAGTGATTCAGACCTTGCCCTTGGGAAGCCGGGGAGAGACTCAAATAGCTAACAGCAGGGTAAGTAAGCCTTATAGTGAAGTGCCAGGAACAGAGGGGAAGGAGGCAGGAAAGTGTGGGAGAGGGGTATAGAAGGGAGCAGCATTTGAAGAGATATCAAAGAAGTCACCAGATGTCACCAGAAAGAAGGGGAATAGGCAGTAGCATATTCCTGACAGCGTGCTGAAGGCTGAAGGCGTGGCAGGGCAGTGAGTGGTGCCTTGTAGCTGCAGCAGCAATGATCAGGGTGATGAGGCTGTGTGGAGGTGACCAGAGGCCCAAAGAGATGGCAGCAGTGGCTGTGACGCTGCAAGCTCTGTTACTCGAGTGGGGTGTGGTGGGGCGGGAGTCGTGTGGGCTGGGGGAGGTGTCAGAACTCCTTGGGCCTCTGGCCAGGTGCAGGCTCTGGCATGGCCCGGAACTACTGGGTGAGCGGGCAGCCCAGGCTCTCTAGGGAGCTCTGTTGGCCATGGGCAGAGGCACAAGGCCTGGTCCTTCCCACTCTAAGGAGCTGCAAAGACAGAGAAGGCCAGGGGGACCCCGGGGCTTGCAGGTAGGAGGTAGAGAGGAGGCTCAGGGCCAGATTCTTCTCCTGCTTCCCAGGTAATGTGAAGGTCTCTCTCCTCCCGGACTGCACTCGCCTCGCCTTCCCTCTGCACGTGTTGAGTTCTTCCTGCCTCTCCCCGGCTAGGGCCTGGCTTCCACATCACTCTTCTGTGGGCCCTCCTTCCCCCGGTCCTCTTTGCTGTTCTCCATTCTCTATCACAGTTTGTTCCTTTCAGGGCACTTAACACAATTTGTCCGTGTTGGGCTTTCTAGCTCTTCTCTCCCCACAAAAGTGTCAGTTCCATGAGGGTGGGGACTTCATCTCGTCCCAAGGCATTGCCAGTGCCTGGCACACAATGTGTGGCATACAGTAGGTGCCAAATAACTGACTCAATGGTCTGGCCATGCAGCATGACTTCAAGAGCATAGCATTTGGACATACAGTATTGTCTCCGGGTTAAAGGAGGGATCCACATCCACTACAGTAGAGACCAAGAGATTGGGGTCTCACTGTTACTCTGAAAGATAAGTCACATTAAGTGTCAGCTCTCCTCCCCTTCTAGTACAGAGCACTCGATAATCCGGAGTGGATTCAGTCCTAAATCCAGCCTGGTTAAAGGACACCCAGGCTTGCACATATAAGGGTCTCTCAGCGGACCCCAGCCAGCTACAGAATATGGGAAGAACGGGCTTCAATGGGCAAAAGCTGCCGTTTCTTTACTTAGCAATACATGTGTCTTTCTAAATAACAGATTTAAATAAGTAAGGCAAACTGTGAAAATATGTGGTTAAAAATGTAAGGGGTGGGGTGGGAATAGAGAATCTAGCAGATGGTTGCTGTGCCTCCCTCTGTGACAGGTGGGATAGAATCATCTGCATGAGCACATCTCTAAAGGTCTTCTTTTTCATGGGCACATTTATTGGCATACTGTAGAATGAGCCCTGTACATTCAAATAGCAGAGTCGGCCCAGCCCAGAACAGCTCTGGAAAGGAAGACCTTGGCCTTGGCTGTGCCTCACTTATGACAACAGAGCTGTCCCTCATCAAAAAGAGGAAAAGGAGAGAAAATCAGAAATGCCTGGTCAAAAGTGAAGGTGGGGCAAGCAGACCTGAAGCTAGTCCTTGGGGTGAGTGGCTGAGTCACAGCATCCCACACACATGCCACCTCCTACAGCCCCTTGGCCTTCTGCCCATACAGGCTCCCAGCCCACGGCTCACTGGTCACTCTTCTTTCCGATGGCCAGAACCACACGCTGCAGGTGACCCTTGGGAAGACCCCGCCTGGGCCACTCATTGGTTCGTGTGAAGAGGCTTCTGTCCCCAGCCAGACGGTGCCCTGCTTGGAGGCAGAGGCCAGGCGATGTCCTCCAGTGTCCCCGTGGCCAGTCATCGGCTGCCCCTGTCCAAGGCATTTCCACAGGCATTTCCTGCCACACTTGGGCACATTTCCCAACATGCTCATCAGTTTGGGGACAGGCTCCATGGGTGGGGTCACTTCTCATTAGCATTTCTCCCCCTGTGGTTCCCACTGCCTGTCCTGAGCTCGCCCCCTCATCTGTGAGTGCAGAAGCCTGGAAGCCTGAGCTCATCTGCCTGGATGATGGCAGGGCGAGCTCTCCTAGGGACAAATCATGAGCTCAGGGATGCCTGCCATGTATCCTGCTCGTCTGGGCAGGCCCTGCTAAACCCTATGTGTGCACAGTTGTGTTAAAGCCTTACAACCACTCCAGGAGGTGGTGTCGTCATCACCATCCTCAATCTTCATTTCACTTATAAGAAAACAGAGACATAGAAAGACATTGGCCGAGGTCACAGAGTTGGTCATGGTGGGCCAGGATTCAAACTCCACCAGTCCGACCTCCTGCTTTCTGCTCTAAACTCCAACTAGTCTGCAGTGGTATTGTATACCGCACCCTGACCTCACCTGTCTCACAATGTCACAGGCACCTGTGTGAAGGCCACAGGACAAGTGCAGCCTCCAGGCAGGAGGCTGCCTCTTGGCGGTGGTGCCCTTGGTCAAGTCACTGCCCCCTGCTGAGCCTCTGGGCTCTAATATGGGGTTTATGATAGAAGCTGCCTCCTTAGGGGATTGGGAGAATTAAATACGCTCATCTGTGTGAAGGCTTAGAGCAGCGCCTGGCACTGGGAGCACTCAGTAGCACGCATCGTTATCACAGTTATTAATAATATGATTGTTCCCAAGGGAACATTCCAGGTCTGTCTGACCTCCTCTCCTCTCCAGGAGGAGGCATCTGTGCATTGACTACCAACATCTCTCTTTTTAACTAATCGCTCCATCTCATTCTTCCACCTTCTCCATTTCTCCTCCCAACCCTGACATGCCATTGAATCTGTTTAATTCAAGCAAATGCTCAGAGCCCCAGATCCCTGAATGCGACAGATTGAGAGGGTGGGGGTGGGGGTGGAGAATGGAGGAGCTTGTGTAATAGGACATAAATAAACTTGCACATGCTCTTCTTTTTAATTGCAGATTCTATCCCATCGCGGGGCAATTTTTATTTTGCCTTCTCTTGAATAAGTGGGAAGATGTTTTATTCATGTGTATCTTCCCAGCACGCAGCCCAGTAGGTGCTCAATGTGCGCTGAATGATTCGGTGCATTCGGTTCGGCTCCAGCCAACACGTATGCCAGGCGCTGTTGTAAGTGCCTCACATATACAAGCTCATTGAACACTCTGGTGCCGTTTTAAAGTCCTGGAGCTGAGCACTCTAAAGTCCGGCCAATAAAGGAAATGTGTTTGGTAGCCACCCTCTTGATGGACATACCACTGAATCTCCAGCATGAGCTGTGTGGCTCCCGGTTCCTCCCCGCTTGCTTGTGGCACTGCTCCCCTCTAATATTTAGGAAGAGAGTTTCAGCACAAACTTCCAGCTGGGTGAATGGTGGGGCCTGAGGGACGGTGACAAAGCTGAACACACACCTCGAGGGACCTCCACGTTTTCCAGTAGGGTTTGATTTGAACAGTGCCAAGAAATCCCCTCAGATTGCTGGAAACTGCAAACCATGGAGGCTTAACACACCATGCCACTGCCTGGCCAGACAGGCCTGGGTTCAAATCCCAGTCCCACCACGTGTGGAGCCAATTCCTCGCTGAGCCACAGCATCCTCCGGGGTGGAGCAGGGCACACACCCTGCCTCGTGGGGCTGTGGCAATATTACCCAGCTCACCGTGTGACATTTAGTGGGCACCTTCCTCACTCTGACAGCCAGCTGAGCACAGGCCACTAAGGAAAGAAGAATTCTGAGGGAGAGAGAAGAGGCCAAAGAAAGACAGAAAGGATGCCTCCTCCAAGAGCAGTCAGGCCGGGGTGGGACAGGGTGGTGGGCGGAGGTTGGCCGGGAGAGAGCCATTTACCGGCACAGTCAACAAACAAGGATTGGGAATATAAAGCTCGGCATTGTGCTAAGTGCTGAGGAAGTAAAAAGGAATTTTTATTTATAATTTATACCCCACCTACTTCCAAAGAGAATTTTGAAGGTGACTCACAATGAAAACCACATATGCCGCAAGATCACGAAAATAGAAATAGAAAATCAAGTCCATGGAGATGAAGAAAGGAAACCCACATTTATTTACCCCAGGTGCCGTGTCCTTGAATGCACTCCATCATTTAGTCCAGCAACCCCATTTTACAGATGAGGAAGACAAGCAAAGAGGCATGTCCAGGGCAGGCAAAGGTGCAAGCAGGGCTGACTTCTCCAATAGGCGCAGGGCCCAGGATACTCTTAGGGGCCCACTAAAATGTTTTAAAATTTCTTTTAAAATCAGAAGAAGAGAAGAGAACATTGAGGTTGAAAAAATGTTTTAATATATGATATTAATAGATTCGTCTTTATGCCAACACAATAGTAACATATATTTAATTTTTTAATGGAGGAGGGAGTCCACAACTATAAAAGTGCCTGGAGTCTACAAAAGTCACAATCCAGCCCAGGCCACAAACCCAGGCCAGCCAAACTCCAACTCTTGTGCCCCTTCCACACTTGTGCAAGAACATTTGTTGTCACTGAATGTAACATGCGAGTCAGCTCTGCAGCTGAAAAGAGGCCACAATGAGATAAATCTTAGTTTCATAAAAAGGATGTGCAGTGGGGAAACATTTACTCACACTACAATGCAATTGTGGGGAAAAAGTGTAACTTTTACAATTTTCTTTCTTTTTTTTTTTTTTTAGCGATGGGTTCTTGATGTGTTGCCCAGGTTGGACTAAAACTCCTGGGCTCAAGTGATCTGCCTGCCTCTGCCTCCCGAGTAGCTTACATGCCACTACACCTGGCTAAAATTTTCTTTATAATGAATGTCTTCTTATCAGTTTCACTGGGAAGCAGGCGGGTAAAATCCTAAATTGTATCCAATTTGGTAAATTTCAAGCTTGATTTAGTAATCAAAATTGTCTTTCATAGATAACTTGGCTCACTCACGTAAATGTCAGCCTTTTGGAGACTGCTCTCTCTGGCTGCTGAATCCCCGTGTGGCAGGTGATTCCTATCAGAGTCTTGCACAGCCCAGGAGGGAGGCCCCTGGGTTCCCGTGGCATTGCCTGGATCTTCACAGCCTGCTCCTTGAGCTCATGACTGCTATGATGGGATGGCCCCATCTTGCTTTCTGGGGCGCTGTGCCAGGAGCTGTCGCTGGAGCCCATGGTCCCTGCCAGCTTTCCTAGTGGTCACTCAGTCCTGTCACCAGGCCTCTGCCTTTCTGCTGGCACTCTCAACACCTGCTCAGGTGCTGTCTCAGGCTCCCCTACCTCCTACTTCCTGCGCTACCTCCAGGCCTTCATGTGGGTGCTTCTCCTGGACCCAGCGTACCTGGAGAAGGGTGCCTCCAGCCCAGACGCTCCCTGCGGCCTTCAGACATGCTTTAAAAGCATGTGTTTAAAAGCTCCCAACTTTCTAGGTTGTGCCCTGACACACTGGTGGGGAAGGTGGGGAAGGTAATAATGGTAGTGGCAGAGAAGAGCTCTGGTGCCTGATCTACCTGTTCTCTCCCTATCCCCCTTCCCCTTCCCATAGTCTATGAGGATAGAGAGATAAACTTTCCTTCATCATCTTCTAAAATGTAGTCAGTCAGGCCTACCTCTTGATGTGCTAAAAGAGGGTCAAAGGAATTTAGTAAACCTTGACTCTCTCGACATCTAGCTTTCTGTCTGAGACTCAGACATTACCCCAATGTACAAGAAACTCCAGAACAACAAGGTTTACAGGACATGAAAATGTATCTAAAGACAATTCCAGAAAGTATTAATCCCATTGCAGACATATGTTAGTTCAACAGGAGAGACTAACTATACTGACACTTAATTCCAACACAATATATTATATGAATCCTTATGTAGGGAACATCGAACAACACGATGAACACCATCTCAAATATTTATTTGGCAAACCTTCTTCCAATAGCTGTTTGTTCTATCAACCCTCAATAAAAGTAGGCCAGAACATTAGGCACTTCCCTGGTGAAAGGGCCTGATCTTGGTGAGTCTAGTTGTGCTGTATCTGGTGTTCTTACATCTGGATGCAACTTAGACACCCCAGAGACAATGGCGTAGCATAGCACATGTCGCTTCTTTCAGCCAGTGCTAGGATGTGGGAACAAAGGCACAGTCCATCTCTCTCACCCTGAAGAAGGGCAGAGAGAGCTTCAAAAAGGGATATGGGCACAGCCAACCTCTCAACCATCACAATTTTTTTTTTGACTATTAGTTATGATTCAAACTATGAAGCAGAAATGGCTTGGGAGTTTTGAGAGGAAATGACTCAACAAATACAAAATATTGGAGAAGAGATCAGACTCCAGGATCTTCTACATTCAGGCTAGAGATATGCAACTATCAACAGTCTGGATATAGCTGGGTGGTTCATGCCCATAATCCCAGCACTTTGGGAGGCTGAGATGGGAAGATCGCTTGAACTCATGAGTTCAAGACCAACCTGGACAACATGGTGAAACCCTGTCTCTATGAAAAATACAAAAATTAGCCAGGCATGGTGGTCTGCGCCTGTAGTTACTACTCGGGAGGCTGAGGTGGGTGGAAGCCTTGAGCCGAGGAGGTGGAGGTTGCAGTGAGCTTAGATTGTGCCAGTGCACTCCAGCCTGGGCAGTAGTGCCAGACCTTGTCTCAAGAATGTAAAGTCTGGATATAAATTATGATTCTTAGTCTCACTCTAGAAGGCTGTGGGTAGTTGCTTGAGCCAGAAAGAAGATGATTGTGAGGAAAATCAAGATCTTTGCATTGGAAAGAGATCATCTCGTCGAACGAGACTTTGAGGTGGAGAAAAAAATGCATGGTTACTATCACTACTTCTATTAATATTGTACGAGAAATCCTACCCATTTCAATAAAGAAAGAAAAGGACCAGTCATGGTGGCTCACACCTGTAATCCCAGCACTTTGGGAGGCCAAGGTGGGTGGATCACCTGAGGTCAGGAGTTCAAGACCAGCCTGGCCAACATGATGAGACCCTATCACTACTAAAAATACAAAAATTAGCCAGCTGTGGTGGCACGCACCTGTAATCCCAACTACTAAGTGGGCTGAGGCAGAAGAATCACTTGAATCCAGGAGACGGAGGTTTCAGTGAGCAAAGACCATGTCACTGCACTCCAGCCTGAGCAACAGAGTGAGACTCCGTCTCAAAAAAAGGAAGAAAGAAAGAAAAAGAAGAAAGAAAGAAAGAAAGAAAGAAAGAAAGAAAGAAAGAAAGAAAGAAAGAAGAGAGGGAGGGAGGGAGGGAAGGAAGGAAGGAAGGAAAAGAAAGAGAGAAAGAAAGAGAAGGCTGGGTACAGTGGCTCATGCTTATAATCCCAGCACTTTGGGAGGTTAAGGCAGGAGGATCACTTGAGCCTAGGAGTTTGAGATCAGCCTGGGCAACGCATAGAGGCTCTGTCTGAAAAAAAAAAAAGTAGGCAGGTGTGGTGTCACACACCTGTTGTATCAGCTACTCGGGAGGCTGAGGTGGGAGGATCATTTGAGCCTGGGCGATCAAGGCTGCACTGAGCCACAATTGTGCCACTGCACTCCAGCCTGAGCAATAGAATGACTGCCTCAAAAGAAGAAGAAAGAGGAGGAGGAGGAAAGAAAGAAAAAAATTAAGTCTTAAGTTTGGGAAAAAAAGAGAAAAAACTTTAAATATGTATAGACAATATTATTGGGAGAAGAAGGAGGAGGAGAAAAGAAGAAGGGAGGAGGGAAGGAAGGAAGGAAAGAAGGAAGGGGGGAGGGAGGGAGGGAGAAAGAAAGAGAGAGTGAGAAAGCAAGCAAGCAAGCAAGTTAAGGCTTAAGTTTGGGGAAAAAGAGACAAAATGTTAAATATGTAGAGACAACATTATTGTGTAAATAGAAAATCCAAGTTATTAGACCAAGTAAAAGAGTTTAGCACAATTGCTGGGTATAAAGTTAACATGCAAATAAACTTGAGTTTATTTCAATATGTGAACAGTAAACATTGAGAAAATAAAAAATTTTAAAGTGATCATTTATACTTGCAACACAAATGAAGTATTTATGAATAAGTCTAACAAAATGTATGCTAATTTTGTATAAAATATTAAATTTTATTGGGAGACATTAAAGAATGCATTAATAAATGCAGAGACTTACTATATTTATGGATGAATGAGTCTATATTGTAAATATGCCATTTTCTCCAAATTTATATGTAGATTCAATGCATCACAATCAAAATCCCAACACATTTTTGCATGTAGAATTTGGTAAGCTTATTATAAAACTCATATGAAAATGCAATAATTATAAGAAAAAGAAGGTGATGGAATTGCCCTGCCAGATATCATGACTTATTATAAAGGCATAGTAATTAAGAAAGTGTGACATTAGCACAGGCATAGAGAAATAGATCAATAAAACAGAAGAGAGAGCCATGAGCAGACCCACACATATATGGATACTTGATCAATATGACTGACTGCAGATTACAGGGGAGTGGGGAAAAGACTTTTTAAGAAATTATTCCGGGGAGGGAAAAAAAGAGCTATAGGGGGAAAAAAATTGAATCTCTATTTCACACCACATACTAAAATCTCTTTAATTTGGAATAAAGAGCTAAATGTGAAACGTAAAACTACAAACCTTTTAAAAAAAGAGAGAGAAGCACATACCTTTGTGCTCTCAGAACAAGAGTTCTTGAATGAGATATAAAAGTAAAGAAGTAGCTAGGTGTGGTGGCTCAAGCCTGTAATCTCAGCACTTTGGGAGGCTGAGGTGAGTGGATCACCTGAATAAAGCTAGAGGAGCAGAAGTTGAAAAGGTATAAGTGAAACGAGATTGTCCATGAAATTATAATTGTTGAAGCTGAGTGATAGGTACAAGGAGATTCATCATATTATTCTATCTACTTTTGTATATGTTTGGAATTTTATCATAAATTATTTTTGAGAGAGAGAGAGATCAAGGAGGGACTATAAAGAGATGAAAACAAACCACAAACTGGAACTACACATATAAGCAATGAAGGACTAATATCCAGAACACAGAAAGAACTAAAAATCAAGGGGAAAAAAACCAATTTTTTAAAGGTAACAGACTTGAACAGACAAGTCTGAAAAGTGGAAATCCAAATGGTGAAGAAACAAACAAAAAGCTCAACTTCATTAATAATCTGGGAGATAAAATGTAAACCACAATAAGATACCATTTTGTACCCCCCAGATTGGAAAAATTAAGTCTGTAATACCAAGAGATGACAAGGATGCAGATGCCTCTGGGAGTATAAATTGGTACAGCCAATGTGGAAAGCAACTGGACTTGATCTAGTCATGTTGAAGACCATGTCATCCAGCAATTTTATTCCTAGATAAATATCTTAGGGCAACCCATGCATGTGCGCACCAGGAGACAAGAAAGCTTTACAACAACAACATCAGTAAGGACCAAACACTGAGAACAACTCAAATGTCCATCAGCCATAAAATGCATTAACTGTGAGCTTGTATGCTATATGAAATCTCAGCAGTGAAAATATATACAATGAAACTATAGCTATGTCCACCAAATGAAGCAAATCATCAAAGAATGCATACAGTACATTTATTTCCAAGTTTAAAAATAGACGAGTAGGTTAAACTATATGAAGCTGTATGAATTTGCAGATATTCAGCATTTTTCTCTTACAAATGGCATTTGTCATTCACTGTAGTACTGTTTAGGGTGCATACATAAATGGTAAAACCATAAAGGAAAGCAAGGTTCAATCAGACTTTTTCTGATTAACAGAAAAGTCAGGATAGTGTTACCTCTAGGAGAAGGAAGGGAGATTTGACTGAGGAAGGACCTGGGGTGTTGCTGGTGGGGAACTTCACAGGTACTAGTGATGTTCTAGTCTATTTATTTATCTCACGGGTGGTTACAAAAATATTTGCTTTATTTATTTATTTATTTACTTATTTATTTATTTATTTTAGAGACAGGGTTTCACTCTGTTGCCTAGGCTGGAGTGCAGTGGCATGATCATGGTTCACTGCAGCATCCAGCTCCTGGGCTCAGGTGATCCTCCAGTCTCAACCTCCCAAGTAGCTGGTACCACTGGCATGTGCCACCATGCCCGACTAATTTTTTTATGTTTTGTAGAGATGGGATCTTGCTATGTTGCCCAGGCTGGTTGTGAACCACTGGGCTCAAGTAATCCTGCTGCCTTGGCCTCCCAAAGTACTGGGATTACAGGTGTGAGCCACCATGCGCAGCTAATATTTGCTTTAGAGTTCTGCTTTAAACTATGCATATGTTATATGCATTTTAAATGATTTTATTTTTTAAATAAAAAGAGGAAATAAAATTTTACCTGCCAGTTCTGAACTCAGGGCACACCAGCCAAGCAAGAGATCAGGGCACAGTTGAGAGTTAGAGAGAGCAGGCCACCTGCTGCTGAAGGATAGGGGACTCAAATCACAGATGACCTGTAGTGGTCACTCCACACACATGATTTGTCTTGCTTTGTCTTGTTTTTCCCAGATAACAATTGCTAATAGAATTATTATTCCACTCAGAATGCTAAATATGGTAAATTTATTTATCCATGACTTCACTTATAATGCTATATAATAAACTACTTAAGTGTGTTTCCCCAGCAGAGGATGAGCCCCCTGGGGGCAAGAAATGGGACGTTTTCATGCTTGTACTAAAGCAGAGTGCCTGACACTGTAGATCCTCAATTAAAAGGTCACTGAAAGGATGGACTCCAGATGACTGGATGGACAGGTAGATGGATGGATAGACATCTTAATGGTTGCAGGTCTTTGTTAAATAGGGGATTTTATTTTCAGAACTAGCGAAGGGATTTTTTAAGCCTCCCATGGGGAATACAGTGGTGTTATAAAAGTGCTAGTGTGGTATAAACAGAGAGTACAGCATATTTAATGATTTAGTGAATGGGACAACAGATTCTATGTTTTGAGTGCCCCATTATGTCCCTGTCCTATTATGCTGCTGGGATTTGTCAGCCACACAGGGTGTGCCACCTCCTTGCACAGCTCCAGGGCACCTGTTCTCTTTGTGTTTTAGGTAAATAGTGTTCCTGGAGTTGTGCAGTGGGCAAGTTCTGAGCCCACCTTTGCTGGGGAGGCTCTGCAGCGCCAGGCACAGCGATGGACCCAGGATGTGAGGTGAGCGTGCAGGCTGGCTCGACGCACCTCCCACCCCCTTGTCAAGGAGGGAAGCACTCAGATGACGTGTTTTGGGAAACGTTTTCCTTCCTCACTGTTTTTCCTTCTGTTTTCATTTCTTCTCGCCTACTTTTCTCCCTCCCTTTTTCCTCCTTTTTCTCCTTTCTCTCTTCCTCTTTCCCCCTTTTCCCTTCCTTCCCCTTGCCCCCCTCACTTCTCTCTTGGTCCCCTCGCCTCTCTCTGTTCCTGTCCTTGTCCTTCTTTTGTCTCCTTCTCCTTCCCAACCCCTGCACTCAGAAGTGATCTTTTGGGTCCTCTATATCTGTCTCCTACTCTCAGTCGGGCAGCCCAGCAGTAAAGACATTGAAACTTAATTCTGCAACCCTCATCTCCCCTCCCCAAGAGACCAGCTCTGACTGTGGTTTTTAAGAGGCCCAATTTCCTCTGGGACCTTCACCCTGTGCACTCCCCACCCCACTGCCACCCACAATGTGCAGACCCCTTTGGGTGGCCTGGAATCTGCTCCACTAGGTGACCACAAAGCCCCTTTGGGCTGGCTTGGGGGTCCTTTCCAAAGCTGGGGGCAGGAGAGGAACCCTCTTTTTACTTCTAAATTTATCCATCCTTAGCTCCATGAGCAAATGCCCCACTCTTCCTGGACCCCACAATAGAAACACAGACTTTGGCTGCCCTTCTTTTCACCCCTAAGGAGGGCTGCTTTTGCGCTAAGGGGCATTAGAAGATCATCCTCTGCCAGGAATGCATAGATGCTTTTTCTCTGCAGACTCTGCCCTGAGCTGATTTGACCTGATTGACTGGAGAGGCAGGGATTGTGGAGCAGAGCGGGAGGAGCATAGTGGGAGGGGGCTGGGAGAGGCAGAGGGAGAAGGAAAGCTCAAAGTCCAGAATTTTAGAACCGGAGGAGGAGAAGGAAGGACCCTGTAGGATCCAGCACCCCATCCCACCCATTTCTCTGCCAGAGTCACAAGCAGTCTGCCCCCTTCCTGTGTGGGTAATTGGCAAAGCCCGGACAAGCAGGCAAGTCTCCGATTCCATCCCAGCCCAGCACCGCCCACCGTCTTATTCAGGCAAAGAGAGTTGACTGTCTTGGCAGCAAAATGAAACCTTTTGATTTACGAGGAATTCTGAGATATCTTCCAGCTGACAGTCTTTGGAGAATTGCACAAGCCCACACTTTTGTGGGGGCAGCATTTAATGAAATGAACACATGAGTTATTCGTTTTTCATTAAGGATGACATGCAGAGAGTACATATCAGGATGAAAAATAGGTCCTGGCCTGGGGCTCCACAGCCTCATGATCTTGAGTGAGCAGGAGAGCCAGGAGCACCCACTTCCAGAGGCAGGGAACGGGAGGAAGGAGAGCTAACACCTTCGGAGCACTTACTGTCATCTTCATTGTCTCCCGTAATTCTCACTAGGTACTCTTGCTCCAGAGTTACAGATGAGAAAACTGAGGCTCAGAGAGAGCAAGTAACATGCCCAGAGTCACCCAGCTAGTGAGGGACAGAGGTAGGATTTCAATCCCAGGCTGCTTTGGCTCAGCTCCAACAAGCTGTCCATGCAGGAGCAGGAGGCCAACTGTGCAGGGCCTGGGGACCAGTGGTGCAGACGGGACCCACGCTGCAGACGTTCACTCCAGATGGATGCTGAAAGACAGAGGAGCCCTGAGGCCTGGCAAGGAGAACCGTAGGCTTTGGTGGTCAGCCAGGCCCGGCTGGAGGGTGGCTGAGCCTATGAAGTCTGGGAAGCAGTTGGGCCATGAAAGTGATGCCCAGCAGTCTCTGTTTTTGCTGTTTTCCAGCTTTCCAGCCTCCGAGCAACTTGGCATCTGTATGAGAAAACCCAGTCAGCCCTCATCTCAGATGCAGGTGCAACACATATGGCCGTCAAGCTGGGCAGACCTGAGTTTGAATCCTGAGCCTACCGCTCGTTAACTGTTAGACCCTGAAAAAGTGCCTCAACCTCTCTTGAGCCTCCACTTTCCATACCTGTCATGTTTATTTAACAATACCTACCTCTCAGCATTTTCATGAAAGTTTTAAGATGATATTATTATGAGTAGCAGCTGTATAACAGTAATAATAACTCATGTATACTGAGTGTATTTATATGCCCTGTACTATGCTGAGAACTTTACATACATTACCACATTACCTGACTTAACCTTCAAAACACCTCTCTGAAGAATTGCTGTTACATAACAGCCCCATTTTACCTGCAAGAAATGGAAGCTCAGAGTTCTTTGTTGCCCAGGTCACGTGGTTAGCAAATAGAGTCAGGGTCAGAATTTGAACCCTGGTCTGCGTGCGCCTGCAGCCCACCAATATGAGTCTTAATGAACAAAGTACCTACCATACAGTAGACCCTTAACAAATGGGAGTTCGAGTCCTTTCTTTCTCCCCTAAATGCACAGATTTTCACAGTGCCCTCTGAGATTTGCTTTAGAGCTTGCCCACATGGAGTTTTCAGAAAGTCAGGAGAAAGCGAGGTGGTGGGTGCATCCCCCGATCCAGGGACCCCTCCCTCCCCCCGCTCAGCCTTCCTTCCTTTTAGGGTTTGGCAAAGGCTGCTTCACTCGAGGCCTCTCATGGAGCTGGAAACAATGCGAGTTTATTTTGGCACGGCAAAGAGGGCCCGATTCCCCTTCTCTGGACGCCTCTGTGGGAAGAGGACTAGAGAATGTGGCCCAGGCCGCTGTCAGTTCCCGTTACTCTCCCCAGCACGTCCACGGCCGAGTCACAGCCATCACATGTAGCTCTGAGAAGGAAATGAGATAAGAGCTTTCTTTCCACTTCAGAC
Organism: Homo sapiens; assembly: GCF_000001405.40. Taxonomy (NCBI): domain Eukaryota; kingdom Metazoa; phylum Chordata; class Mammalia; order Primates; family Hominidae; genus Homo; species Homo sapiens. Next base: position 46,814,434 of record NC_000002.12, read on the forward strand.
TGATCATAAAATTTCCCCTCCTCTCTCCACGCTCCCCCACAAAAAGAAGTTGAACCAAGGACATGGTGCTGCCGTTAAACTGAATACTCTTAGCAGATCTCTTCTCAGTCCTGTGGGGACATCCTCACCTGGGTATTTGGCTACCTGTGGCAGATACGATAAGCAGGGCCCATGGCCAGTGTGGTGATGGAAGTCATAGACACTCAGAGTGGCAAGGGACTGTCACTGTCCTCTGATCCCAGCCCCTACCTGGCTTAGATTCAGATTCAGCCAGTATTTATCAGATGCCAACCCTGGGCCAAGCCAGGAGTGCTTTTGCATCTGTTATTTCATATTTCAGAATCCACACAACGTTCTTTTTGGAAAGGCCTTACTTTCCCATCTTTACAAATGTGGAAACTGTGGCTCAGAGAGGTCAAGTAGTTGGCTCAAGATCATGACGTGAGTAGGTCAGTGGTAGCGCTAGGATATGGTCTTCCAGCTCTGAGACCAAGCCCTGTCTGTCCCAGGCACAGGAGGAGTCTCTTCTACAACACTCCAGGTAGAAGATTCATCCAGACTTTGAATTCCTTGGGTATTCCTTATTTCTAAGGAAAGTCTCATCTAAAATGTTTTTAGGGGTTGAACTAAAACCTACCTCTCTCTCACTTTCATCTATGGGTCCTATAAGTCCTAAATCTAACTCCAGGCAAAGGGAAGAAAGCCAGAGCTCTGCCCTTGGCCATGTCTGTTCTTCAGAGATGAGAAGATGGCCCCAGATGACCCTTGGCTGCCCCACCCCTGTCCTAGAACCAGCCCTGCCACTTCCTAAATGTGGACTCATTTCTTAACATCTCTGAGTTGCCATCAGATGGGGGCGATGGTGTCTACGTTGCCAGATGGCTGAGGGACTCAATGAGAGGATGTCTCAAATGCACTTCCCCCAGAGCCTGCACACAATTAGCTCTCAGCCAATGGCAGCTATTGTTGTTTTATCGTCAATAGTATTTAACCTCTCCAAACCTTGGTTCCTTTTCTATGGAGTGGGAATTATAATACCTACTTTCGTTTCCCCCATCAACGCAAGTAGGCATTCCAATAATACCAACTTCACATGTCTGGGAGGAACGCACAACGATGCAGGCAGAGAGCGCTCAGAAACTATGAAAAGCAGGTCACGTGCTCTGGCACCCTGGCTGCCTTTTTGGGGAGCCTGTTTCCTGAGCCTTCTGTCCTTCACCAGAATTTTCAGGGTTGTGATGTTTTTCTCTTCAAAAGCATCTCCTCTGTAGCCCACTCCCCACCCCCAACAAACTTTTTTGAGCTAAAGAGAAAAAAAAAAACCATACAAATAGACAAGTGTTTAGTTGGCCAGGTGCAGTGGCTCACGCCTGTAATCCCAGCACTTTGGGAGGCTGAGGCAGGTGGATCTCTTGAGGTCAGGAGTTTGAGACCAGCCTGGCCAACATGGTGAAACCCTGTCTCTACTAAAAATACAAAAAAAGTAGCCGAGTGTGGTGGTGGATGCCTGTAATCCCAGCTACTTGGGAGGCTGAGGTGGGAGAATTGCTTGAACCTGGGAGGTGGAGGTTGCAGTGAGCCGAGATCATGCCACTGCACTCCAGCCTGGGTGACAGAGTGAGACTCCGTCTCCAAAAACCAAAAACCAAAACAAAACCAAAAGAAAAGTGTTTTGTCTCTTTTTTGCCTCTGCATGCACCCTGGGGTCAGCTGGAGTCTTCCCACCCTTTACAATATAACAAGGGTGATTCAAATCCCCTATCCTGGAGGTGGTAAAACTCAAAAGACAGTTGAGGGTAGAAGACGAAATGGCACGCATCTCAAAGACAGAGAGCAGAGAAGGTGTGCAGGTGCGGAAAGGACTGCTAGTGTCCACAGGGAACCCAAGGCCACTGACCTGGAGGGTGGGAGAGAAATGGGCGGGAATCGGAGGATGTTGGGAGAGGGAGGAAGGTGGCCCACACCTCAGCTGGGAGGCCCTATTGGAGTGCACAGGCCCCTTTGCTTGAAATCCAGGAGAAGGGGGCTCCTGAGGCTAGAATTTGTGTAGTTCTTAAAAGTTTTCAGAAGCACATTTTCCCCTGTAGATTCTTTCCTGGAACAATCCCACCAAGCCTGCAAGGTGAGGAAGGAAATTGAACACGCCCCTCCTGAGCTCCTCAGGTGCACCTCGTGCTGCTGTCCTGGGGCCATCTCCCAACTCCTCCCAACCCCTCATAGCCCTGCTCTGGAGCAGGTAAATATTCCTCACGCCAGCAGGTGAGGAGGCTGGGGCCAGATGACAGCTAGTGAGGGAGCAGAGACAAGACAAGGCGAGCCTGTGACAGAGCGAGACCCTGTCTCAAAAAACAAAAACAAGACATGTGAGCTTGGACTCCAGTGTGGAATCCCATGTCCGCTCAGTGCACCTTTCTGCCGCTGAAAGTACAAGAGGAGAGGGGAAACCCACAGGTGGAGCTGACCATGAGGACTGTCACAGGTGAGCTCAGGGGCTTGGGCGCCACCCCACAGGCCATGGGGGGCTGCTGACCAACTCTGGGAGTGACATCATGAGGAATGTGGCATTTTAGGACAGTTGCCTTCTTAATGAAGAGGACTCTGCTGAGTCTGGTGTAGCCAGGGGTGGCAGGAGCCAGCTGACATGGGTATGAGGGCTACTCCCTGACCCTCTCGGGAGGGTGTTACTAGCAGCAGCCACTGCAGCCCTGAGCCCCAGAAACACCATTGTGGAGGCTTACAGTGCCTTCTCGAAGCTACCCAGCTTTCCCTCACCAGGGGCTGGTCCTTGGTTCCCACCTGCTGCCATTCTTCCAGCTTTGAGAGGCAAATCCAGAAATCAGCCCTCCAGCTTCCTCTACCAAGAAGACTGGCGGTTACAACCCTGGCTCTGTGGGGCTTCTCTTGCCCTCTCTTCTGACTGCCCTACTTGGCTCCAGGTGAGGGTGAGAGGAAGCTGGAGATGGAAGATGCAGCTGGGGGAACTCACCAGGCAGGTCTCAGGTGAGAAGGGTGGGTGGGGAACCCGGCCCTGGCCCAGAGCACTGGAACTGTCCAGCAACCCTGGGGAAGGTGAAAAACCACCACTGAGTAGGCGGTGACCTGTTGGGTGTCGGTGAGGGGAGCCCATGGGCTGCAAAAGGCACATTGGGGTCTCCCTCTTCCCATTCACACTTCACCCTCCAGTCACCCCAGCTTGGCCCAGGGCCAGGCAGGGGAGGCGCTGATCAGTCATCAGTAGTGCCGCGATCACAGTTTTCAGAGCTCCTTCCCTGCCTTAGCCTTCTTGATCCCTCAACAGCTCCTTGCAGGAGGGAGGTAGGGCAAGCTTTGTCTTAGTTTACAGATATGGAAACTGAGGCTCAGAGAGCTCATATGACTTCTCAAAGCCATGCAGTTGATGAGGGACAGAGTGAGGTCTAAATGCAGGACCTCCCAAGAATGGTGGACTTTTCCTCTCTGCCTTGTCCCCCCACTTCCTCTGTCAACTCTAGGAAGATTGGTCTGGGGACCCCTGCAAAGGCACAGATGGGAATAAGCACCTTGGTCAAAGGATGATAAGGAAAATGGTGGACAGATGGGTTGAAGAAGGATCGCTTGATTGAATTATTGAGACCTTATTTCCCTGAGCCTCCATCAGGTGATCCTTATATCTGTCCTGGAACACTAGACCACCCAGAAACAGGTGCAGCAACCCGGGCCAGCCCAGGCCGCTCATTCTGCTCCTCCTCTTGCCTCTCCTCCTCCAGGGAACTCTTTGAATAAGAGGACACCAGATCATGCCTGCAGTTCCAGCCCAGGGTGAGGTTGAAACACTTATGCTTCCTATTTAAAGCCACATCTCATTCATCATTTCAGCACCAATCAACAATTAAACCTGATTCAATGGAGCCCTGACAGCTAATTTAAACCGAGCCTCACAATCGGCCTGACACTGGCTATTTAAAACTCTGTCCTGGCCTCTGGGGCCTTTCGGAACCAGGACTGTTTGTCCTGCCAAGAGCAAAGCCCCACCCGCTGTGGCCTGGATCCCCATGTATGTAGTGTGCAGGGTCTGTTCCAGCCATCACTGTCTCTGCCTGGCTCCCTGTAGGGCTGTGGGAGGGTTCTGGGAGAGGTCGGGAATGCCAGGAGGAGGAATTGGTGAAGCAAAGAAAAGGCAAAAGCCCACTGAGAGGTCTAATGAGCCCCAGGTGCACACACTTGTGTTGTGTGTGGCTTTCTTCAGGCCCTGGGCAAATGTGGCAGCCTGGGGTGTATTGGGAGCATCAGAACCCAGGTCAAGTCCTGACTCTGCAATCCATAAACCAGTTCCGTGACCTTGCCCAGGTCCTTCCTTAGTTTCCTCACCAGTGTGGTGAGAATAACAAAGATCTCTTCTCAAACCGTCTCCCTGGGAGTTAAGAGATTCCCCCATATCTGGTGATCCCAGGTAAAGCACATGGAAAACCACCAAGTCCTAAAGCAGAGAAGTTCTGAGCAGAGCAGGCCTGAGCTTGTATGGGGCCTGGTGCTGTGGGGCACCATGGCAGATTCCAGCCTGTGGTCATTATTGGGTTGCCTGGTGTCCCCATGGCTCTCTAGCGCTGATGGAAAACAGCCTTATATCACTAAGTGTGGACAATAACCCCTTCAGGCTGAGAACTTGGTTCAGACTTGTGTAGTCAGAGACATCTTCCTGGAGGCAGTGGACTTGAGCCAAGCTTTGGAGGCTGCAATAATTGAGTAAGTCGGCCAGGCTCACACCTATAATCCTAGCACTGTGGGAGGCCAAGGCAAGTGGATCACCTGAGGTCAGGAGTTCGAGACTAGCCTGGCCAACATGGTGAAACCCCATCTTTACTAAAAATAAAAATAAAAAAAATTAACTGGGCATGGTGGTGGGCGCCTATAAGCCCAGCTACTCGGGAGACTTAGGCAGGAGAATCGCTTGAACCCAGGGGGTGGAAGTTGCAGTGAGCCGAGATCGTGCCACTTCACTCCAGCCTAGGTAAAAGAGCAAAACTCTATCCAAAAAAAAAAAAAAAAATTGAGTAAGCCTAGAATGAGGGAAGCCAAACCAGGCAGAACCACTTAGAGCTAGTAGAGCTTCCACAGCCATTTCCTACTGGATCCTCAAACACTCCTTTTTGAGCACATTGAGAGTTTCAAAGATCAGATAGTTGTAGATGTGTGGTATTATTTCTGAGGGCTCTGTTCTGTTCCATTGCTCTATATCTCTGTTTTGGTACCAGTACCATGCTGTTTTGGTTACTGTAGCCTTGTAGTATAGTTTGAAGACAGGTAGCGTGATGCCTCCAGCTTTGTTCTTTTGACTTAGGATTGACTTGGCAATGCGGGCTCTTTTTTGGTTCCATATGAACTTTAAAGTAGTTTTCTCCAATTCTGTGAAGAAAGGCATTGGTAGCCTGATGGGGATAGCATTGAATCTATAAATTACCTTGGGCAGTATGGCCATTTTCACGATATTGATTCTTCCTATCCATGAGCATGGAATGTTCTTCCGTTTGTTTGTATCCCCTTTTATTTCACTGAGCAGTGGTTTATAGTCTCCTTGAAGAGGTCCTTCAGATCCCTTGTAAGTTGGATTCCTAGGTATTTTATTCTCTTTGAAGCAATTGTGAATGGGAGTTCACTCATGATTTGGTTCTCTGTTTGTCTGTTATTGGTGTGTAAGAATGCTTGTGATTTTTGTACATTGATTTTGTATCCTGAGACTTTGCTGAAGTTGCTTATCAGCTTAAGGAGATTTTGGGCTGAGACGATGGGGTTTTCTAGATATACAATCATGTCATCTGCAAACAGGGACAATTTGACTTCCTCTTTTCCTAATTGAATACCCTTTATTTCTTTCTCCTGCCCGACTGCCCTGGCCAGAACTTCCAACACTATGTTGAATAGGAGTGGTGAGAGAGGGCATCCCTGTCTTGTGCCAGTTTTCAAAGGGAATGCTTCCAGTTTTTGCCCATTCAGTATGATATTGGCTGTGGGGTTGTCATAAATAGCTCTTATTATTTTGAGATACGTCCCATCAATACCTAATTTATTGAGAGTTTTTAGCATGAAGGGCTGTTGAATTTTGTCAAAGGCCTTTTCTGCATCTATTGAGATAATCATGTGGTTTTTGTATTTGGTTCTGTTTATATGCCGGATTACGTTTATTGATTTGCATATGTTGAACCAGCCTTGCATCCCAGGGATGAAGCCCACTTGATCATGGTGGATAAGCTTTTTGATGTGCTGCTAGATTTGGTTTGCCAGAATTTTATTGAGGATTTTTGCATCAATGTTCATCAGGGATATTGGTCTAAAATTCTCTTTTTTTTTGTTGTTTCTGCCAGGCTTTGGTATCAGGATGATGCTGGCCTCATAAAATGAGTAAGGGAGGATTCCCTCTTTTTGTATTGATTGGAATAGTTTCAGAAGGAATGGTACCAGCTCCTCCTTGTACCTCTGGTAGAATTCAGCTGTGAATCCGTCTGGTCCTGGACTTTTTTTGGTTGGTAAGCTATTAATTATTGCCTCAATTTCAGAGCCTATTATTGGTCTATTCAGGGATTCAACTTCTTCCTTGTTTAGTCTTGGGAGGGTGTATGTGTTGAAGAATTTATCCATTTCTTCTAGATTTTCTAGTTTATTTGCGTAGAAGTGTTTATAGTATTCTCTGATGGTAGTTAGTATTTCTGTGGGATCGGTGGTGATATCTCCTTTATCATTTTTTATTGCGTCTATTTGATTCTTCTCTCTTTTCTTCTTTATTAATCTTGTTAGCGGTCTATCAATTTTGTTGATCTTTTCAAAAAACCAACTCCTGGATTCATTGATTTTTTTGAAGGGCTTTTTGTATCTCTATCTCCACTTGCCACTGAGAGCTTAAGACAGCAGGACACTGGCTGGGCTCTCCTGATATCACTTGCTCTGCCCCGTTCTGCCCCATCCAAAGAGCAGGGAATACCAGAAGTAGGGGGTAGGGAAACAGGAGATGGGAAAGTGGAAGGACTCCAGCAGGGGTCCTTCATCTACATTCCTAGTGCAGACCCTTCTGGAAGGAAAAATACATACAAAAGGTGCAGTTGGGAGGCTGAAGGGCACCACCCAACCCTATCACTGCCAGGAACCTGAGCTGCCCCCGACAGAGTGAGAGGGGTCTCATGGGTCCCCAAGCTCTCTGTGTGGCAGGAAACAATAGCCACTTTTCTGGGGCCTCCAAGGAGAGGAGGAGTGAGATCACACCTGGGGAGGGTGAAGGCAGAAATACAGGATATGAGCATCCTCCCAGGGGAGCATGGGGAGCCAGGAGCAAGGCCTGGGGCTGGCTGCCTCCTCCCCAGTGTCCCTCCTTCATCTAGGTTCCTGGGCCACACACTCTGGACTACCTGCCTCTGCTGGGATTCTTCAATGGTCTCACAGACCCAACTAGACTGTAAGCTGCTTGAAAGCAGGTCCACGGCATCAGACTGTGGTTCAGGGCTCGGGTCCTGGAGTAGGGCAGGCCAGAGGCTGACCTACTTACTAGCTGTGTGATTTTAAGCCAGTCCCTTAACCTCCTTGAGATTCTCCTGTGCAATGAAGATAAAAATAGGACCTATCTCATGAGATCATTGGGAAAAGTAAATGAGTTAATCAGAGTAAGTGCTTAACAAAAATATCTCCATTGCTTGTGCCCCCAGAGCAACTAGCACCAGCCTCAGCATGGAGCAGGACTTCAGTTCCAGCAGCGAGGACTGAGATCAGACACAAGAGAAAGCTCCCTGATGAGGAGGGGTGATTCTAAAACGAAGGGCGGAAATTATCTGGGGAATTTCCTTCCCGTGAAGCCTCAGGAACATGCCAGTCCCCCACTTCGGTCTGTCCTGGGGGGTCTCACGCCCCTGTCCTCCTAGAGAAATCTAGATCCTCCAAACTCTGCCTGGGTTCTTCCTGGGGAGTCTTGACCCCTGCCTTGTGGTTGATGTGGGATAGGGGACCCGGGAACAGGGCTGCCTTCCTCTGGCCAAGGCCTGGCAAGCAAGTGTGGGATGGGTGCTGTCTTCCTGAGAGGGACAATAGAAGTGACAGAGCCCCCTAATTCAAGACCCTGCAGAGGTGGTGTGAGATCTTATAATATCAGTCTCTAAGCCAGTGCCTCTCAAGCTCTCTTTGGTGAAGAATCAATTTTTAAAATATATAATCAGTCACAGATCAATGCTTTTGTAAAATGCAATAAAAGTTAATTTCCAAAAAAATCACATACTTGGGTACCATGGTAATGTCAATGTAAAATTGCTGTAAAATTGTTCTAAGTGCTTACTCTCAATGTCTGTGCTCAGCTTATCAGCAACCAGTAACAGTTTGTACCACTGGTTTGTACCACGACAACCATGCTACACTTGGAGCTGACACTTTCATAAAGGTTAATTTCCCTCTTTTCCTTCCTGAAGTTTGACCTCTTCCTTGATTAGATAGGAGGAGGGATTCCGACAGCCCCTCACCATCTGTTTAGAACCTCTCCCCCCATTGCAGGTCCTTCCTGGTCATCTAACACCATATGCCATATGGAACAGTCCTGATTATACATATTCTGTCTCATGGGCAATGTGTTCTGATTTGGGTCTTTTTTTTTTTTTTTTTTTTTTTTGAGACAGATACTCTGTCACTCAGGTTGGAGTGCAATGGCATGATCATAGCTCACACTGCAGCCTCCAACTCCTGGGCTCAAGCGATCCTCCTGCCTCAACCTCCCTTGTAGCTAGGACTACAGGTGTGAGTCATCACCATAGCTGATTTTTTTTTACTTTTGTTATTTGTAGAGATGAGGACTCACTGTGTTGCCCAGGCTGGTCTTGAACTCCTGACCTCAAGCAATCCTCCCACCTCAGCCTCCCGAAGTGCTGGGATGAGCCACCCATTCACACAGGCATGAGGCACTGCACCTAGCTTGATTTTTTTTTCTATTGACTGCCCTACAGTAGATGTGTTCGTGAAAACGTGAGCATAGATTCTGTATTTGATGCAAAAAAGAATGAGGAGAACTGGGTCCCAAGGCAGGCAAGCCCTTCCTGGGATGGTTATAGGAACCAAAAGTGTCCTGCTGAGTGGGACACAGTGCAAAGGCTTCTGCCTGGAATTATAACAACTGCAGTTACAATTTTTTTTGAGCACCTAAGATATGCCAGACCCTGAGCTTCACAAGCCGTATCTCTATCTTTCCCAGCAATTTTGCAAAATAGATATGATTTGTCTAATTTAAAATGAGCTATATCAACTCCATGTGGCTATGCAGGTGCTATGCAGCCTAGAAGGCTTTAAAACGGCATCTTCCAAATGCTGGTCTGGGAGCAGCTTCACAGCATCCTGAGGAGCTTTTTAAAAATGCAGACACCCAGCCCCACATCCTCGATTTTTATTCGAAGCCTGTGAGCCTTCCCCAGGCCCCCCAGGTGACTCCGAATCCTGGCTGGCTCTGGCACTGCGGTTCTGGGCTGCTAAGGGCTGGGGTCTTGTGGGCTGAGGGGGAACCATAGGAAAAGTCCAGGAAAAGCCACAATGGGAAGGGTGCCTGGGAGGGAACTTCAGTAAACTATAATACAGCCATATGGCAGCATACTATACAGCCCTTAAAAATGAAGAATTTGGCTGGGCAAAGTGGCTCATGGCTATAATCCCAACACTTTGGGAGGTCAAGGCAGGTGGATCACCTGAGGTCAGGAGATCAAGACCAGCCTGACTGACATGGTGAAATCCCATCTCTACTAAAAATGCAAAAATTAGCCAGGCGTGGTGGGACACACCAGTAGTCCTAGATACTCAGGAGGCTGAGGCAGGAAAATCGCTTGAACCCGGGAGGCAGAGGTTGCAGTGAGCTGAGATCCCGCCACTGCACTCCAGCCTAGGTGACAGAGCAAGACTCCGTCTCAAAAAAAAAGAATTTGTGATAACATTAGAACAGACATTAAGGGAACAAGACAGGTAATAAATTGCGTATATAGTTTTGCCACAGCTGTATAACAAATGCAAAAGTGCATGTTTTTTTAAAAAAAAGACTGGAAGGAAAAACAAAATGTTTTATTGGTTATCTCCACATGAAGATTCTATGTGATTTTACCTTCCTCTGTACACTTTTCTCCCTAGGGAGCGTGTTACCTTTCTAAATAGAAAAGCGTAAGTGTGTTTTTGAAAGAGAAAAGTCTGTCATCCTCTGTCACCCCAGCCAGCAGAAGTCAACTTTCACATTCTGGAGTTAGGCAGAAATTGCTGGGGTTTTTGTTTTCTTCTTCCCTCTGAGGGCAGGAAATAACTCTTTCCCACTGGGTTTCCTGCTGGAGTTGGAGGCCCAGAAAAATTCTGGCTGAAGACTGGAGGCAGGTATAAACATGCCAGGCTTGCAAGGTCCTCTGTGAGTGGCTCTTGGGTATCTCTGCGTCCCTCTCTCTCCAGCACCTGCTCTGGGAGCTGTTTCTGGAAAGCACCATCACCACTTTTGCAAGGCCGTCCTCTCTACCTGGAAGGCTCTTCCCTGCTCCTCTCTTGCTTAACTAACATCCTTCGGCCATTGTCTTAGGTGTCCATGTTCTAAGGCCCATCTTCCCTGACCCCCAGTACTGAGTCAGGACCCCCAAGAGCTCCCAGAACACCCTGTTCTCCCTGATTTGATTGTCATCATGGGTTACTTCTAAGGCTCCCCAAGGGTTGGGACTCTATATCCGGTGCATTATCAAAGCCTGGTACACAGCAGGCACTCAATAAATGTTTACTGAATGAATGAAGAAATCCTGCCTTGAGATCCAAGGTACCAAAGGAGCTCTGAGAGAGGCAGGTGTCATCCCAAGGAGCTCTGGTACCTGCCTCTCTCAGAGCTCCTTGGAGGAAAGGGTCCAGGTAGTTCTTTCTGCATAAAGCTGTTATGGCTGGTGCCATGTGATTCAAAAACCACCTCCACCACCTGCTCCAAGGGATTAGACCGGAGATAGGAAGGCAAGCAGACAGCGGGCAGGAGGGGGCTGGCCTCCTCTTCAATGGCTTGCTCAGAAACTCTGCCCCATGCAGGGACTCTGTCTAGGGTGGTGGCTAACTGGCCCAACAGCTAGCTTCTTGGGAGGAGGCTCACTGAGGGAAGCGGTTGTCCTAAGGGCCGCTGAGTTTCATCTGGTTGCTCTGGGAAGGATGCGCTTCTGCAAAAGCCCTGGAGGCAGAGCCCCTTCAGCCTCTCCAGGCCTCAGAGCTGAGCCCCGCCCCCCGATGCCCCCACCCATCTGACTCTTCTTGACAAACTAAAAAGGCTGCCTTGCAGGGGAGGGCAGCCACCCACGGTGTCACCCTCTGGCTGCTCACCGGCCACCCTTGGGCCTCTCCTCTGGGCCGCCCTTCCTTCTCGAGTGTTCTCCGTGTGAGGGCCCTGGCCCAGCTGGCCCCAAACGGGATTTGGGCACCCAACCCAGACCGGCAGGTTTGCAGGTGGTTGATGAACTCAGGGCCCTGCCGTTCTGTTTCCAGGATCCCCTGGCCTGGGGTCTAGGGGATGAGGTAATGGGACTGCCCCTGCCTCCCACACATCTCCTAGCGGAGCGAGGGGCTCACCTGGTGCACAGGCCCACTTTGGTGGGGTGGAACAGACCACACAGAGGGATTGCGGGTAAATAGAAACGTGTTACTGGTGCTTCAGAAATGTGCTGGGAGCGGGGGGTCCTGAGAGGGCAAGAGTGGGCTTCCAGAGCCTAGGAGGGACTGACCTTGCGCATCAGAGGGCAGTGACCTGCTAAGGCCAGCCCTTAGGATGTCTCGAGTTCTGCCAGGTTGTGCTTGCCCTCACCCTGCCATCTTCTCCGCCCTTTCAACACTCTTCTCCCTTTCCTTTCCCCTCTTCAGGAACCAGTGCCCTCTGGCCTCTGGCAGCCACATGTTCCAGTCTTGGAAGGATAACTCAGATCTAAAATATTCTCATTGCACATTAGCCCGTGCGTCACCATGCTGTGGCTCCCCCAAAGCCTCCTGCCACGGAAGGCTGGTGGCTGACACACTCACCCACACTGAGGTGCCAGGAACAGGGTGGCTTGGGGCAGACAGTGAGGAAGCAGGGGCAGATTTAAGAGTGGCTCATGGAAAGGAAGACTTCTGCCAAAGGAATGAGTCTCTCAGATGAGGAAGAACTGGTCCAGTGAGAGAGAGAGTGGGGGCTCCACTCAGAGTTGACCACCTTCTCTGCCACAACAGGGAGGTTCTGCCCGGGGCTAAGGGGTGGGGAGGGAAGCCTGGGGATATGAGCTTAGTGAGGGCCACCCGCCGTGAAGATGGGCCGCCTCATCACAGCCGAGGTGGAGAGAGCGCTGAGCTGGGAGCCCAGACCCCTGTCAGTGCTAGCCCAGCTCTGCCTCAGATGGCCCGAGTTTTTGCAGATCACCTATTGGGCCCCAGTTTTCCTACTGGTAAAATGGGAACAAACCTATCCACATCTCAGGGCTGTTGTGAGAGCCATTGAGATAAGACAGGAAAGACATGGGCAAGTCAGACGAGAGACACCATGAGGCAGTGGAAGGGTAGCCAACAGGGCATCAAGAGATGGACCTGGGCAAGTGCCTGCCCCTCTCTGTACACTGCAAGGGTCAGAGCAGCCGATCTCGGAGGACCTGTCAGCCCCAGCCTCTCTTATCTTCCCCTGCTCCAGGGAAGCTTCCTGAGGAGGTGCCAGAGCAGCTCCGGTCACTCGCCATGATGGCTCAGAGCCAGTGCCAAGGGCCTCGCTCCGACACTCACCTGAGGACACGTGGGGAAGCAGGCAGAGGGAGGAGGTGGCCCCACCCACTCCTGCAGGTGGACTTGCTTCTCCTCAGTCCTCACCCTCTGGCTTCTGGTGGGTTTTCCTGTCCTATTTGCTGTGATCCCCTGACAGCCAGCACCCCTACAAACACCACACACACACAAACACACACAGTGTATGTGTGCACAGTGCTGGTGCTAGACTGAGTCACACACACACACACATACACACGCTCATGCATACTCTTTCACATGCAAAAACATATACTCTGACACACACACACACATACACACACACATACACTCACACATGCAAACACACATACATGCACACACACACACACACACACACACATGCACACACACTAGTCCTCTGCCCTGCCTGGTGGCTTCTGGTCAAGTCCAGTCCTGGGTCCAGAACCAAGCTCCTGCAGTCTGGGGCTCCCCAGCAGAACTTGTGTCCTAGGAAAGCCACCTCCCTGCCCCCGCCAGGTCTGGACCCTGGGCACTGCAGGGACTGCTCTCAGGGAACGGCCTGGCCACTGATCTGCTTCAGGGTGAGCATGTTTCACAGCCACCTGGGTCAGGAAGCCCACATTCTCCCAAGGGAAGGCGACTCATAGCTAATGTCTGAGGGTGATCTGAGCACTCTTCACCACCCCGTCAGCCCTTAGCTTTCGTCTCATCTCCTTGCCAACAGCACATAAGTGTGAGTGACTCCTTACTGCCGTCCAGGCAGCCTGGGGGCTACGAGGGGCTTCAGAGGTCCTCATCCCCAGCCTGTAGGCCTGGCCATACTGGACCCATGAGATCAGCCACCCTGTCAGCTGGTACCTCGGGGTCCTACAGTCCTCCTCGCTCAAGCCCTGGTCCTCTAACTCGGAGGTGATGAGGTGTTGGGCTGGAAGAGACAGGCAGCCAGGTAAGAGTGTGGGGAGACACGGATGCCCAGTGGGCAGCTCTGCCCTGGGTGCTGCTGTTTCTGCCTCTCTTGGGATGGGTTGGGTTGAGGAAGGGACCTCTGAGATGGAGGAGGCCTCCATGCCCTTTGCCTCCCCTTCCCCGATGCCCCATCCTCCTCGTCCTCCTCGTCCTCCTTGTCCTGCCTCACTTGCCTCAAGTGCTCTCTGCATTGCCTTGCAGACCTCACCTCTCCATGTGTCTCTGTATCTCTGCCACCTTGTCCCTCTGTTTTCTATCTCTGGCTCCTTTCTCTGTGTCTATGCCTGTGTCCCCAGCTCTCTCTGGGTCCTCATGCCACTCTCTGCCTCCCTCTCACTCTGTGCCTCTCTGTCCTGTCTCTCTCTGACCAGTTCTCGGACCTCCTTCCCCTCCAGAGTCCTCCTCTTGACAATCCACTTTGTAGCAATCTCATGAAAAAAAGGAAAGAGAAGGCACTATGTGGTTTTATCATCACAATAAAACCTGGTGGGCTTGACATGCGGCTGCAGGGTCTGCCCACCCTCACAGCTGCCACCCTCCCTCCTCCAGGGCAGTCTCTGTGCATTCAGCAGAGGCACCAGCCTGGTGCAGCTCCCCTGCCTGACACTTCTAGAGCAGAAGCCCACCAGCCACAGGGCATGTCTTGAAGGGACAGCCAAGTATAGGGACAAAGCAGGAGCCCAGGACCAAAGCAGGTGTCCAGATGGAATTAGATGTCTGCTATGGAATGCATGTTGGAGATTAGGTGAAGCCCTAACCCCCAAGGTGATGGTATTTGAAGGTGGGGCCTTTGGGTGGTAATTAGGTTTAGATGAGGTCATGAGGGTAGGGCCCCCATGATGGGATTAGTGCCCTTATGAAAAGAGGAAGAGAAGCCAGAGTGCTCTCTGCCTTGCCATGTGAGGACACAACAAGAAGGCAGCCAACTGCAAGCCAGACAGAGCCCTCACCAGAAACTGAATTGGCCAGCACCATGATCTTGGACTTCACAGTCTCCAGAACCCTGTGAGGAATAAACCCCTATTGTTTAAAGCCACCCGGTCTACCATATTTTGTTATGGCAGCCCAAGATGACTAAGATGGTATTGCAACCTGATTGACCCCTCTGTAGGAGAGGCAGCAGCCTGGTGAGACTCCAGGCCTGACCTGGACCAAGGTCAACCCTGCCCTGCACTCTGCACCCCTCTACGCCCTCACCTATTGTGGCCTCTGGCTTCTGCCACAGAGACTCCCACAGGAATGTGAAGAAGGCACATGCCCCAGAGGGCTGGACCTGTTCCAGAGTCAGCCTAGCAACCTGCTGACTTGACTACAGTGGGCTCTGAGGTCCGAGGAGTGGCCCCTGGCTAGCACAGGTCACTGACACTTGGTGGTGCTTCCTGGCGGGGGTGGGAGGAGAACGGGCACTGGGACAATCCAGGTCTGCCCTCCCCCAGTTTTTCCCGTCACTGTCTCACGTCCTAGGAGTATCTGTGTGCCTTGTCTGTGCCCCACCAAAGGCTCCTATCTCTCTGCCTGCAAATCCTTCAATCACCACCCACATCCCATGCCCACCCAAGGGGATCCGCAAGTGATGAGCCACCTGGAGCAGGCGTGAGGAAGTGCTAACTCCAAGCCCTCCCCTTCCAAGCTTTGGCCTCTGTCGTGGTAACAGTTGCTTGTTTTTTGAACATCTAAAGTGTGTAGGAACTTGTGGTTTACAAAAGGGCTTCTCTTGCTCATTTCGTTTAATCCTCACAACAGGATTATTACCATGCACATTTTACAGAAGACGAAAGCAAAGCTCAGAGGACTAAGTGACTCCATGCTGATTACACAGCACAGGATTGACCCCCCCGCCTTCTAGGGCTGAGACCCAGCTAGTTACCATCTAAGCATCCCTTTCCTCCCAACACAAAGCCTCTGCATGGCCACTACAACCCTATTAACTGTCAGGCATACCTGTGCCTCCCTGGCCTGGGGCCTTTGGCCATTCCCCTGCCAGAAATGCCTTTACCTATCCTTTCGCTTTTTTACTCATTTTTCAAAGCCCAGCTCATGCCCCATCTCCACTTGAAAGTCTTCCATTGCCTTTATGGAACAAGCCTTCTTAGAGCCCATGTTGTGCTTGTAATCAGCACCATGAAGTTTAACAATTGTGGCAGAGCCAACTTGTCCCTGCACATCTACTCTCCCCTTCCTGAGTTTTACCTAGGCACATGGCTGCCTAGACAAAAGCCTGAATTTTCTAGACGCTATATGTTAGATGTAGTCAAGTTCTGATCAATGGGAGGTAAACAGAGTATCACTATGACTGTGAGAAAGTATTGATAAATGGTGAGGTACCATTCTTCTGCTGTCCTTTTCTACTTCCTTCCAGCTGAAATGTGAACATGATGGCTGGAGCTCAAGCAGCCATTTTGGGCCATAAGGTGGATGCCGTGTATGAGAATGGCAGAGTAATACAACTAAGGAACTTCAGATGCTAATACAGCTAAGGAACTTGAGATGCTGATGGTCATGGAGCTTCCTATACCTGGGCTGTTTACTTCTACACTTTGCTTATCTGAAGGGATAATCAACTTCTCTCTTGTTTACAACATTATATTTTGGGTCTTCTGTCACTTTAGCCAAATACTATCCTAACCGGTACAAAAACAACAACCAACCAATGAGTCTTTATTGAGCAGTTACTTTGTGCCACGCACTGTAATAGGCAAGGTTTTCAAAGCTGTTTTTCATTTAATTTTCACAGCAACCTTAAAACCAGGTGTTAAGACTAATTAAATTTGTGAGCTTCATCTCCCAAATGAATTTTTTGTTCATTTGTTGGCTCCTGCTACATACCAGACATTTGTCAAGGCATTGAGGGTACAGTAGCAAATAAGAGAAATTCCTTTTCTTCAAAACATTCACAGTCCAGTGGGAGAAACAGACAAGTAAGTGGAAATAACAATGCAATGTGAGGATGATAATAATATTATCATTTTAAGGTGCTATCAATTGTAGCATGCACTGTTATGTACTATCAAGAAAAAATATACTGCCATTAAACTGAATTATAATGCCTTAACGATAGTCTCACGTGACACATGAACCAGATACACCAACCTCTGCTTACTTTGAAATCGTTTATTAGCTATTCCAAGGGATTTCACAATTTCTCTGGCCCTTGGTTGCTTTGCTTGGTATGTGACAGGCCATCTTTTCAGACATATCTCAGTAACAAAACATAGCACAACTTCATCTGTTTATATCTTCGTTTCCTGTCCCATAAAGTACCTGATTGTGATTCTGGAAGAGGCATAGACTATGGTGGTGCCTCTGTTGGTGAATATTTGCCTCATTAATATCAAGTTTATGCCCTGCCACTTGGTTTCATGTTCTTCTTCACATTCAACAAATTTTCCTTTCTTTGTTGAGCAATAGCATTCTTGAAGGCAGTTTAGAGGCAGTTAAACTCAACACATAAAATATCTAGGAATGACAAAACTACGCATTCATTTACAACTCATAGCTCTAAAGAGCAAAGACCAAATTTATGCTTATTCAGGCAATGACAACTATGTGGCAACACCACAGGATAAACAATGATTATAAGATTTTTTGGGGCTGGGTGTGGTGGCTCATACTGTAAGCCCAACACTTTGGGAGGCTAAGGTGGGTGGATCGCCTGAGGCCAGCCTGGGCAACATGGAGAAACCCCATCTCTACAAAAAATACATGTGGTGGTACATGCCTATGGACCCAGCTACCAGGGAGGTTGACGTGGGAGGATCACTTGAGCCCAGGAAGTTGAGGCTGTAATGAGCTGCGAGTGTGCCACTGCACTCTAGCCTGGGCGACAGAGTGAGACCTTGCCCTGAAAAAAAAAAAAAAAAAAAAAAGATGTTTTTGATTGTAAGCACTGTGCAATCTCAAATGTTTGAAGAAGTGATTTTTTTTAAGTGTCTTCCAGAGGCTAGGAGAGGGAGGAGTAGGGAATGACTACTTCATAAGAATGGGGTTTCCTTTGGGGATAATGAAAATGTTCTGGAACTATACAGCAGTGATGGCTGCACAACACTGTGGGTGTACTAACTGCTGCCAAAATGTCTGTAGTGCGGGAGGCTGCGCATGTGTGAGGGCAGGGGGTATATGGGAAAGCTCTGCACCTTCCTCACAATTTTGCTGTGAACATAAACTACTCCCAAAAAGAGTCTTTAAAAAATAACTAAATCGCAAGCACTGTCCTTTGTGTTGTTGTTGTTGTTTGCTTCCCAAAGTGCTGAGATTACAGGCGTGAGCCACCACACCCAGCAACAAGCACTGTTCTAAGTGTATCACATAAATAGTCAAATGTAATGCCAACAACAACCATAAAACATAGCTAATAATAATCACTAACATCCATGGACCACCAATCTCTCAGTGACTTAGGACTTTATAAGCACTAGGTCATTTACCTCTCATAACAGCCTATCAAGTTCAGTCTGTTCTGCCATAATGCTTGTTTTGGAAATGAGAACCTATTCCAACATGATTGGTATATCAGGGAACAATATAAGCATAATGCAGATTTTGCATTTGCTCTTGTGTGATTTTGTCAGTGGGAAACACTGTCAGGGGTTGGTAAACTACAGCCCTCTGGCCAGTGGTCTGTTTTTGTAAATAAAGATTTATTGGAACACACTCATTCATTGAACAACAACAGCAGAGTTGAGTCATTGCAACAGATACGTCTGCAAAGTTGAAGGTATTTATTATCTGGACTTTTAAGAAAAAGTTGTGAAGCCCTGTGTTATGGGAAGCCAGAAAATGCACCCAGCTGAACCATATATCACAGACAAAACACACATGTACTTTAAAGAGTTAATCAGTTGTCTTTTCATTTCTTGATGTTATCATAACCACACAATATTTTTTAATTTTAGCATTTAAAAACAGCTTTATTGAGGCGTAATTCATGTACCATACATTTCATCCATTTTAAATGTGCAATAATTTTTAGTAAATTTACAGGGTTGTTCATTACCATAACAATCACCATAATCCAATTTTAGATAGAACATTTCCATCACCTCCCAATAACCCCTTGTGGCCATTTGCAGTCAATCCCTGTTACACTGCCAGCCCCCACCAATCACTGTAGATTTGTCTGTTTTGGACATGTCATGTCAGTGGAATCACATAACAATGTCATCTTTTGCATCTGGCTTCCTTCACTCAGCATAATGTATTTGAAGTTTGTTCACATGGAAGTATCTATCAGTAGTTTGTTCCTTTTTAATTGCTGATTAGTATTCCATTGTTTATCCATTCACTGTTTGACAGACATTTAGGTTATTTCTAGTTTGGGGTAATTATAAATAATGTTGTCATAATTTAATGTAATTGTCTTAGTTAGCTTGGGCTGCTATAACAAAATACCATAGACTGGGTGGCTTAAACAACAGACATTTATTTCTCACAGTTCTGGAGGCTGGGAAGTCCAAGATCAAGGTGCTAGAAATTTCAGTTCCTGGTGAGGGCTCTTGTCCTGGCTTGCAGAAGGCTGCCTTCTTGCTGTGTCATCAAATGATAGATCTCTGGTCTCTTTTCCAATTCTTATAAGGATACTAATCCCATCACATCTCCACCACTGTGACCTTATTTAAGCCTGATTACCTTCCAAAGGCCCTACCACCAAATACCATCATATTGGGAATTAGGGCTTTAACATAGAAATTTACAGTGGGGGACACAAACATTCATCCAATAACAGTAATTATTGATATTATTGGATTTATATCTATCATTTTGCTCTTTATTTTTTACATGTCTCATGTCTGTTTTGTTTCTATGTCACTCCTTTATCGCTTTCTTTTATGTTTAACATATATTCTTCTAGCAAACCATTTTAATTTCATTGTTCATTTTTACATATAATTGTTGAGTTATTTTCTTAACAGTTACCCTAGTGATTACAATATGCATCTTAATGTATCACAAAGTAGGAAGGTAAAATATTTGATTTGACAGTTTGTTAGCTTGAACTATTACTTTTTAATATTTAGGCATTTGGTGTGTGGTCTCCATTTGTACCCCACCCCAGGCCTTGCATACGTTGAGGAAGGCCTGCCTTTCACATATCTGTATGCATGTATTTTTTCACATAATTATATCCATACTATGAATTATATATTCTGAATACCGCAGTTCTATATTCTGCTTTTTAAAGTTAACATTTTGCCACAGGCATTTTTATTTGCCATACATTTTTATAAACTTTTTTAAAGGCTGTATTGTATTCCACTGAATGGATGGAGCAAACTTCAGTTAATCATTTCCCTACTTTAGGACATTTAGGTCATTTTAAATTTTTGCCTTAAAAAAAAAATAAAATGCTGCAATGAAGACTGGGCACGGTGGCTGATGCTTATAATCCCAACACTTTGGGAGGCCAAGGTGGGCAGATCTCATGAGCTCTGGAGTTTGAGACCAGCCTGGCCAACATGGCAAAACCCCATCTCTACTAAAAGTACAAAAAATTAACCAGGCGTGGTGGCATGCACCTGTAGTTCCAGCTACTTGGGAGGCAAGGGGGCTGAGGTGGGAGGATCGTTTGAACCTGGGAGACAGAGGCTGCAGTGAGCCGAGTTGGCACCTCTGCACTCCAGCCTGGGTGACAGAGGGAGACCCCATCTCAAAAAAAAAAAAAAATCGCTGCAATGAGGATTTTTGTACACATAACTCTTTTCACATTTTTGAATTTTTGGCATAAATTCCCAGTTGTAAAATTACTCTGTTGAATATAAAAATATGTTTATAGTTCTTGATATCTTTCACCGTATTATTTTCCTTGAAATTGTAACAATTTACTCAGGTCAGCAATGAGTAAATAGGTTGGCTAGCTATTTTATCACATCTTCATGAGTTCTGGGTGTCAAGTTAAACTTTCCACTTAACTTTGCATTTCTTTGGTGATTAGCAATGCTGCACATTTTTCTGTAAATCTATTTACTAGTTATAACTTGTTTTATGTAATTTGCTTCATTATGCTCCTTGCTTATTTGTATACATATAAGGCTTTTTATGTTTGTAACTATGAGTTTGTATGGACTCTTTATGTAATATATCCTCCTCAAAACATTTTAGGAAAGAGATAGAATATAAATAAAACCAGATTATTTTTAAACTTATCTACCTTAAATGCTGCAAATATTTTTCCCACTTGCCCCTTTTCAGTCTTTTTTTAATACAGAAAATTTACATTTCTCTGTAGTCAAACCTGCTAATCTTTTCTTTGTGATTTCTTCAATCATTTCTAAGTTTTAATAAAAAGACATTCTCCCTCCAGAGATTTGGTAACTGTTCAAGTCTCTCTTTTAGTTTGCCTTGGTTTTTAAAAAGTATGTATTAATAACTTTAATCCATGTAAAATTGCTCTGTAAAAATTCCCTCTGGTTGAAGAAAGAAGAGGATCTCAAAACTTAAGTTTCTCAAACTCAGTAGTTTCTCTTCCCTGGTTTCCTTGCCTGCATCGGACTGGGCCCTGAGCCTGAAATCCCAGAATTTTGAGAGGCCAAGGTGGGAGGGTCACTTGAGGGCAAGAGTTTGAGACCTGCCGTCCATCTGTCTACAAGGAGGAGATAACACAGAATCAGAGCTTGCCTCAACTCGCCAGCGCTGGACCCACATCCAAGGAGGATGGCCCAGAGTGGTGGGAAGAACATGACTTGGAACCCGAGTTTGGACCCTGGCTGTGTGTGAACGCTCAGGCTTCAGTTGTCCCTCTGCAGAATGGGGCAAAGGATGCCTGACTGACAGGGCTGCTGTGAACATAGTACAAGATGATGTATGGAATGTTCTAGAAAAGTACCTGACCCATCGTGGATCTCTCAGGGCCCTGCCTGTGCACTGACTTGGCTCCTGGGTCCCACCTCAAGATCAAAGGTGTTCCTGGGCCTCCTTCTCCTCTCCAAGGAGCATGGGCAGGCCTGCCAGAGCAGTCCAGAGTATCGGCACCTTTAGATGAGGAAACTGAGGCTGGGAAAGGCTAAGTGGTGGAGCAGCAGATGCTCTTACCTGCGCTGACATGCTGCCTCCTCCAGCATCGCTTTCCTCACGGCACCTCAGCCTCCTCATATGTCAAATTGAGCTAATGGCCCTTATTGGTCTCTACTGCTGAGGGGTTACTTGAGCAAATGAAAGGTTCTGAAAAACCCATGGAAAAATCAAGAGGCAAGGTAGAGTCCCTATGGGCTGCTCAGTGTACTCCTCCCGCAGCTCTGGACACAGACGAAGCCTCTGTGTTAGCTCTGAGAGGCTTTTTGCTCCCCACCCCCAGCTCCCCAGGAGAGCCCTGCAGAGACTCTGTGAAGGCTCCTTGTCCCCGTGGCTCACCAGGCAGGAAGCCCGTGGCTTGGCTGAGGCCCCAGGAAGCGGAGTCTGGGAGGTGAACCGTACCTCAGGCCCAGCCGTGTTCAGCTTGGAGTAGCTTCTGAAGTCTCAGAGAGGGAGGGTGAGGAGGAACCTCAGAGGTCACTGGGCCACCCCATTTCACAGATGTAGAAGTTAAGGCACCGAGTGGAGAGCCCATTAGTGGCGGTGTCAGCACTTGGGCTGGGGGATCCTGGCTCCCGGCATACTTTCCACTTGGCCTCCGCTGCTACAGTGGCCTCTTTAGAAGGCTCCCTCTGATCCTTCTAGGAAATTCTCTGCAACCTGATGACATTTGAGCAAAACTGCATGATGTTGAAGGATCAGAGCACTTCTGAGAAGCAGAACAAAGCATTAAGAACAAGGTGTTCCCAAAAGAGGCATGATGGGGTCAGGAGGGAATTTCCTGAGAATAGGACTTTTCAGGGAAGGGAAAAAAGTGTTTTGAGCAGGAGCTTGGCTTTTTCAGAGCAGCTGGGAAAATGTGGGGGCAGCGGCTAGAGGCAGGCAAAGGTGGTAGGGAAATCTGACATCACCAACCCACCCTGCCAATTTAGCATTTAAAATTAAAGTTGCCTTCTCTCTTGGCACTTTTTTTTTCTTAACAGAAGCCATACTGCTGGGGTGTGAGGGGTAACAACGGTTGTCAACCCTGGCTGCACCTTAGAATCCACTGGGCTGCTCTTCCAAACCCAAGCCAATTACGCGGGAGTCTCTGGGTCAGGACCTGGGCATCAGTGGTTCTTAAAGCTCCCCGGGTGATTCTAATGAGCAGCCGAGGCCAAGTGCTTCCAGCCCCTGGATCATTTTGCCGTCTGACTTATGAATCTAAAACGGAGCAAATGTGTAATTCTGTTCGCCACTCACACTTGTCCAGGCCTTCTTCACAGGGAGGCCACAGGAAGAGACGGTGCCCTTCTCTCTCCTCCGCCAGGCTTATCTTACTCTCCTCAGGGCCCTGCCTAAGGCCCACCTCCATTCCAAACCAGAATTATTCCCGTCCTCCAAATCCCTACAGAGGTCAGATTGGGCCACCAATGTACCTAGGGCTCCTTGGCCAGCCTATGAATCTCCCCGGTGGCTGTTAAACAATGTCGGTTGTTATTTCTGTTTTCAGTCTTGCGCAGGTCATCCACCCAACTCGATGTGAGCTCTCTAAGGACTAGACCCCCATACCTTCGCCGGCCCTGGGCTGGCCAGGAGGCTTCAACTAAGACTAAGACTTGTTATCAGGGAGCTGAATATATTCGTTGCATCCACTTGAGTCACAAGTACACATTTAATTCTGAAAATGGCTCTGGGAGATTGGGACTATTTTTTTTTTAATGTCCATTTTATGCTGAGGAAAACGAAGCTCAACCAAGTAAATGGTTTGTATAAGGTCACAGAATGAGGAAGCGGCAATCTGCTGGGTCCATTGAGGTTCCTTTCCTACCACACAGCATTCTACTGCTATAGGGGAGTCCGCAGAGCAGGCAGAGCTGGGCTTAGGGGGAGCTCCAGAGGTCTCTCTCTTCAGGGAAGGTCTGGTCTGACCACCTGGGGAGGCCATCTGTGAAGGCTGCTTGGGCTCCAGTTCCTCAGGCCTTAGGAGAGGGTGTAACATCATGTTAAAACGGAAGTTTCCGCTGAGATGATAAGTTGCTAGGTATCAGCTCCCAGAGTCACTGGAGCAAAATGCAAATTTTATAAGGAAATATTTAAAAACTAGGTTTTTACAACTCTTGCAGCCCCACTTACGGCTGAGGATCAGGTTGTTGGAGATTAAGGGGGAAAGGAATTGTTTATTGAATACCATGTGCCTCTTCTTGCAGGAAAGACAGTGGAAGGCACCTGCCTCTCACAGTAAGTCTATGAGGGGAGCTTCATCAGAACTTCTCTGAAAGAGGAGTCAGGATCCCTGTACTATGGGGCCCCAGTGGACTGGTGCCTGACTTCCGCCTGAGAAATTTAGCTGGGACTACAGGCGCGCGCCACCATGGCCTGGCTGATTTTTGTGTTTTTAGTGGAGATGGGGTTTTGTATTTTTAGTGGAGACCAGGGAAGAGAAACTACTGAGTTTGAGAAACTTATGCTGTGAGATCCTCTTCTTTCTTCAACCAGAGGGAATTTTTACAGAGAAATCCATATTGGTCAGGCTGGTCTCGAACTCCTGACCTCAGCTGATCCACCTGCCTCGGCCTCCCAAAGTGCTGGGATTACAGATGTGAGCCGCTGCACCTGGCCTCCACCTGAGAAATCTAAAGGGCTGGTGATGGCGTGGCCGACCAGCTGCTCAGGGGATGAGCAGAAGGGGAGGCAGCTATGCTGAGTTTAGCTGAAAGCTCTTGAGTCTTCTGAGAGAGAGGATGCATGGAGGTGTCCCATGGGACCGATGAGAGCCCCAGGGTAGAGAGGGTCTGTTGTGGGTTGAATTGTGTCCCTGAAAAGATGTTCAAGTCCTAATTCCCAGTACCTGTGAATGGGACCTTATCTGGAAACAGGGTCTTTACAGAGATAATCGAGTTCAGATGAAGTTATATTAGATTAGGGCGGCCCAGTATCCAATGACTAGTGTCCTTATATGAAGAGGGAGACTTGAAGACATAGAGACAAAGGGACACAAAGAGATAGGAGAGAAGGCCATGTGATGACAGAGGCAGAGACCAAGTGATATGAGAACAGGCCAGGGAAGGCCAAGGATTGCCAGCAGCCAACAGAAGCTAGGAAGAGGAAGGAAGGATCCCTGCCTAGCACAAACCCGCTGACAGCCTCGGTCTGCCCTTTTCCTCCAAAGTCCTGCCCAGGCTCCTCTTGGATTGAAGAGTCCTGAGCCCAGCCTTGAACTGATAACTGCAGCCAGGGAGTGAAATGTGCTGATTTGCTGCCCCAGGAGCCGATGGGGTCAGCCCTGTCTAAAGAACAGGAGCTCAGCACAGGGGAAAGGGCAACTCCCCAAAGGAAAACTGAGGTGCTATTACCAGAAGCAGAAGAGCTGCCACTTAAACAAGCAAAATAACCCATGTCCCCACACCCTTCAGTACCAGGCCCATCAATCACCTTCTAAGCTTACATATATAATGCAGATAGGACATGAGAGAGATGGCAAAGGTTTAGATAAAATGCTGTGATAATTTAGAAACATGGGGGTTTTCCCATATGAAGAGTCAGGGACTGCCTCATGGAGGAAGTAGCTTATGAACTGGACTTTCAAGGAGGAGTGGAATTTTGTGTGTGTATCCGTGAGAGGAGGGCACTCCAAGCTGGGAAAACTATATGACCAAAGGTGTGGAGGAGCAAACTATAAATGGGGAAAAGTCAGTGGTTCCATGTAGCCAGAACACAGGCCCGGCAAGAGAAGCAGTGGTCTATGTGGTAGAAGAATGAGGTGGGGATCAGATCTTAGAGGGCCTCAGGTGCCAGGATAAAGATCTTGGATGGCAATGTATAGAAAGCAGAAAACCACTGAAGGTCAGATTCATGTAACTTAAAAAGAAAAAATTAAATGGAGCACAACCAGGTAAGAGGTTCCTGGAATGGTGTATGCAAAAAAACAAAGATAATCTGAATGCCCTGTTGGCACCTCCAACCCAGCTTGTCCACGATGGAAGCCGGCCTCATTTTTCCCCATCCCTACCTGTCTGCCTGTTTCCCCTGTCCTAGTGAGCAGCATGGGCATCCCCAAGAGTCACCCAGGACTCTTCCCTCTCCCGTATCCCCCACTGCAAGCTCATCTCCAAATCCTGCTGATTATTCCTTCCAGATATTTCTTGAATGTACTTGTCTTGTTCCTCCACAGCACTTACTCTTCAGCCACCATCATCTGTCACTTGGATGGCTCCAACAGCCTCCTACCTGGCCTCTCGCCTCCAGCCTGGCCCCCCTTCAGTCCTCCACACAGTAGGCAGGGTCCTCTGTTTAAGTTATAGCCAGCTGGGGACTCCCTGCCACCCCCCTTCAGAATCTGGTATTTAGCCCCACATCTTCCTGCTCCTGGATTTGGAACACACCAGCCATCCTGAGCTGCTTTCAATTCACGAAAGTAGTGTGACCCATCTCCCCTTTGGCCCTTTGCATGTGCTGTCGCCTCTGCTGCCCTCTCTTTTCCTCACTCCCTGGTTTTGGGGCTGGAGGGCTGTTCCTGGTAGAAAGGTTTTTTAGGAGGCTGGAGAACAAGAGAAAGAAGTTGGGAGAAAGCAGGGAACTCCCTGTGGTGGACACTCATCTCTCATCTGCCCTGCACTTTCCTTCTCCTGGGAGCAGTCACCACCCTCTTGTGGAGCTGCTCCTACACACAGAGGTGTGGTCCAATGGGCGCCTCCATCTTTTTTTTTAAATGGAGACAGGTTCTCACTATGTTGCCCAGGCTGGTCTTGAACTCCTGGGGAGACTCCATCTTTCGTGATCCTTCCTTCCTGTCCCAGTGATGGGTTGTGAGGCTGGCAATCTGACCTGACCCAGACTAGTCACATTCTTCCCAAAAATTGTTCTAAATTGAGCTAAGGAGAGAAGGCCTCTTTCCTTTTCGGGTGTAAGGCTGAAAGGACAGACTGTAGACCTCCATGCTGCTAGACATCCTGCCTTGTGGAAAAAGGTGGTATACAGAAAGGTGGTATACTGAAAATGACAGGCCAAAAGACAGGATCCTGACAAGGCTCAAGTCACTTCTAAGTTCCAGGGTGACTTGTTACTTCACCATCCCCTAGAGCAGTGCTTTTCAGGCTATCTGGAGGAAAAGCCAGATTTTTTTGCCCAATTTGTTATAAAGTAATAGTACTTCTGTGGAATACACTTAAAAACTTAAAAAAAAAAACCCAAACACAGTTTTATTTATTTAATTATTTGTTTATTTTTTGAGACCGGGCCTCACTCTGTCACCCAGGCTGGAGTGCAGTGGCACCATCACGGCTCATTGCAGCCTCAACCTCCTGGGCTCAAGTGATCCTCCCACCTCAGCCTCTCGAGTAGCTGGGACTATAGGCATGTACCACGATGCCTGGCTAATGTTTTTGTTTTTGTTTTTTTGTAGAAATGGGGTTTCACCATGTTGCCCAGGTTAGTCTCAAACTCCTGAGCTCAAGCAATCCACCCGCCTTGGCCTCCTAAAGTGCTGGGATTACAGGTGTGAGCCACCACGCCTGGCCCAAACACAGTTTTAAAATCCCATTTTTTTTCCTACTGTTATAGTCAATAGACCTAATATTAGTTTGTCAATTTGTTATGAAAGTTTGTAAACACTTCTTCTTGATTTCTGTACTCACCTGCTCATTGACTGTGTCGAGTAGCTAGTCCGTGGACCAGACTTTGAGTAGCCCTATCATAGAGGTTGTCATAGAGCTCCACCCTTGCTGGCACCAGCTCTGCATTTCAGCCTGCAGGAAGAGGAAGTTTAGGGCAAGCAAGTTCCTTTTAAAGAAGCAACACAGACCAGAGCGAGACTCTGTCTAAATAAATAAATAAGCAACACGGATGTTGTACATATCACTTTCATTCTATTCCATTGGTAAAAATGTAGTCACACTTAGCTGAAGGAAGGCTAGAAAATGTAGTCTCTTGTTGGGTGGACTTGAGCTATTACTAAAAAGACAAAGGAGAGATGGCTCATGGCAGACTATAGCTTCTGCCACTCACCCCTGCTAGCTGCCTCTAGGGCCTGGCTTTGTACTTAGGGGTGCTGGGGTCTTGGCTAGGTGAGAACTATAGAACACATCTACCACCCTACAGCAAACCATCCCAAAATTTAGTGGATTGAAGCAACAATTTTACTGGCTTGCAGTTTTGTAGGTCTGCAATTTGGCTGGGCTCAGTTGGTGGGTCTCCTGCTGGTCTTGCCTGGGGTCATTCATGCAGCTGTAATTATCTGGTGGTTTGACTAGGGCTGCCTGGTCAAAGATGTCCTCACATGTCTGGCAGTTGACTAGCTTAAGGCCTCAGTTCTCCATGTGGTCTCTCCAACAGGCTAGCTCAGGCTCATTCACATCATGGTCTCTACATTCTAACCACAGCCAAGGAGAGGGTGAACCCCATGCACAAGTACTTTCAAACCTCTATTTGCATCACCTTTGCTAACGTTCCCTCGGCCAAAATAAGTCACCTTGCCAAGTTCGTATTCAAGGGCAGGACAAATAACTTCACTGTTAGATGGGAAGAGCAGCAAAGTCACATTGCGAAGGGGCACATTATGCAGGAGGAATTATTGAGGCTATCTTCATAAAGTGTCTTCCACGGTAACCTCAGGCTGAGGCACCTTTATATAGGATGAGGCATGTCTGTCTGCCCTTGTTCTGGTCAGAATCTAGTGGCCCCAACAAAAAGACTTTGCAAGTGTCTCAGGGAACTTTTGAAGGTACACGTGGCCCTCCCATGTACCTGAAGGGCTGCCAGCAACCAAATCCATCCCTGGGAGCAGCCTGTCTCTCTGGTGGTCTTCAAGATCTCCCTTGCGGCGTCTCTTTCCTCGCTGTGTGTCTCCTCACTCTCCTCTCTGCTCATTGGTTTCTTCTATTTACATCCAGCACCTGCTCCCTCGCAATTTCTGCTTCCACTGGACACACACGGAAAGCACCTTTCACCTTCTGGCCCTGGTGCAAACTGGCTCAGGCTCTTCATGTTTCCCAGCTCCTGTTTCAGAAAGGATGACCCTGATCAACCCAGCTCCTACGCTCAGTCTACACCACATCACAGGAGGCTGGCCAGGCTATGGATGAGCCACCCTGAGCTTAGAGGCTCACAGCCCGTCCAGTCACCTGGGGAGGTGTGTGTGTGGAAGGGAACTGCAGTAGGTTGAATAATGACCCTCCCAGAAGATATGTCAACATACAAATCCTCAAAACCTGTGAATGTGGCCTTTTTGGGGAAAAAGGTCTTTGCAGATATAATTAAGAATCTTGAAACGGCATCATCCTGGATTATTAGGGTGGACCCTAATTCTAATAGCAAGTGTCCTTATGAGAGTCATGCAGAGGAGAAGACAGACACAGAAGAAGCCCATGTCATCAGAGGCAGAGGTTGGAATGATGCAGCAGCAAGCCGAAGAATGCCTGGAGCCACGGGAGGCTGGAAGAGGCAAGGAAGGATTCTTCCCCACAGCCTTCAGAGGAGCACTGCCCAGCCAACGCTGCCATTTCAGACTTCTGGCTTCCAGAACTGTGACAGGAAACATTTATGTTTGTTTTGTTTTGCTTTAACATTTTTTGTGGTGAAAAATACGTACATAATATTAGCCATTTGTAAGTGCAAAATTCAGTAACATTAATTACATTAACAAGGCTATGTACCCATCACCACTATCTTTTTCTTTATTCTTTTTATTTTTATTACATTATTATTATTATTTTGAGACAGAGTCTTGCTCTGTCACTCAGGCTGGAGTGCAGTGGCACAGTCTCAGCTCACTGCAACCTCTGCCTCCCGGGTTCAAGATTGTCATGTCTCAGCTTCCCGAGTGGCTGGGATTACAGGCACGTGCCACCATGCCTGGCTAATTTTTGTATTTTTAGTAGAGACAGGGTTTTGCTATGTTGGCCAAGATGGTCTCGAACTCCTGGCTTCAAGTGATTTACCCGCCTCAGCCTCCTCCCAAATTGCTGGGATTACAGATGTGAACCACCGCGCCTGGCCACCATTATTTTTTTTTTATCATCCCCAACATAAATTCTAGCCATTAAACAATACTCTCCCTTCTGTCTTCTCCCTGTCTCCTGGTAAACTTTATTCTGTTCTGTGTCTCTATGAATTTGACTACTCTAGCTACCTCATGTAAGTGGAATCATACAATATTTGTTCTTCTGTGTCTGGTTTATTTCACTAAGCATAATGTTTTCAAGATCAATCCATGTTGTGGCATATATCAAAATTCCATTCTTTTTAATTGGTCAATAGAATTCCACTGTATATATATACCACATTTGGGTTATCCATTCATCTGGTGATGAGCACTTGTATTGTTTCTACCTTTTGGCTACTGTGAATAATGCTGCTATAAACATTGGTTTACAGATATCTGTTTGAGTCCCAACTCTCAGTTCTTTTGCTTATATACCTAGGAGTGGAATTGCTGGACCTTATGGTAATTGTATGTTTAACATTTTGAAGAACCGCCAAACTGTTTTCCAAGCAGCAGCACCATTTTGCATTCCCACCAGCAATGTGCAAGGGATCCAGTTTCTGCACATTCTTGCTGACACCTGTTATTTCTCAGTTTTTTGCTTTGCATTGTTTTTGTTTTTATGGCCATCCTAGGAGGTAGAAGGTGGTATCTCATTGTGCCTCTGATTTTCATTTCCCTGATGACTGATGATATTGAGCCTATTTTCATGTGCTTATTGGCCATTTATATATCTTCCTTGGAGAAATGTCTATTCAAGTTCCTTTGCCCATTTTTGAATTAGGTTGTTTGTTTTCTTGGTTGTTAACTTCTGTTGCTTTAAGCCAACAAGTTTGTGGTAATCTGTGACACCAGCCCTAGAAAACAAATGCGTTGCCCAAAATCCAGCCTCCTGGGCAGCAGGACCCCACGGTCAGGCAATTTCTTCCAGAAGGCTGATTAGTCATACAGGTGGCATCAGCACCGACTTTATTCACCTGCCAGTGGATGAATTCTTCAGCTCTTCCCTTCCAAGGCCTGAGACCTGCAAGCCAAGAGGGCTTGAACACCAGTCTCCTCTTCAGTGTGCGCATGCACAACTCTTTCGAGAGGTTTGGAAGTAAAAAGAAGGAGTGGGATGGAGCAGCAGTTGAAGAGAGGGTTATAAGATCCCCTCTGTCTTATAAGGAGGTGTTGCTTTGTTTGATTGTTTGTCTTGAAAGGATGCGAAGACCTGAGTACTTGTAGAGGCTGAGAGAAGAAGCCAGGGGAGAGGGAGAGGGGACATGAAACATCACATCTGGATGCCAAGCACGTCTTCTTTCTGTCTCACTAATCGGAGTCATAGGAGCTTAGCCCTGAAAGGGACCTTAGAGTTTAGCTCCTTCATTTTGCAGATAGAGAGAGAGCAGGCACAGAAGAGGACCTGCCCGGGGTACTTCCGCAGCCAGCTGCTTGCTCCTGACATCCCCTATGTCTAGGACTTCATAGTGTGCCCTCTGGAAAGACAACTATTTTTTAACTGCCTTTTTCCATGTCTCCACAAGTTGTAAAATAGCTCTTCTATTTCTTCTCTGTTCCTATGCCCTTACCCGTCTTCCCAGGACACAATGGCATATGAACCCTTTGTTCCTGCCAAATGCAGCCGAGGAAGTGGGAAGGGCCTTTGGGTTGAGCGGACCAGGAGACTATACCCTGCCGATGGGGATGCTGCCAGGCTCGGCAGGCCTCCACTTCCCCTCTGCCTGTTCCTCTGTCTCCCGGGGTAGGGAAATCCTGGGATCTTTACTCCCCAGCATTCCTTTCCATCATGGTTCTAAGTTAGATTTTGGCAGTAAGATGCACTTGCACAAGCATCAGAAGCTGAAGGCGAGAGAAAGCCCTTCTCTGAATTGGCCTGGGCAGATGCGTGGTAGACGGTGGCTTTCAAACAAGCTCCTGCACGCTGTCTGCTTTCTGCTCTGGTGCTGCAGGCAATTGAAATGATCTCCATGCCTTCTCTGCAATCCTGGCACTTCCTGATTCTGTGGGGTCTGACAGTGACTTCCCTGATCTTCCCTAATGCAGCCCTTCCGTCCATTATGAATGCCTCTAAATCCCTTGTATTAAAACCCCGTGTATTTGGAATATCTAGAGCAGCTTCCAGTATTATAACCAAACCCTGACCGACACGCTGGCATAGATAAAGAAGCTACGTAAAATGATGTGTGGGGAAACATCCTGTTCAATCTTCCCGGCAGTGCTGAGGTTAGGCTGTCATTTTCCCAGTTTCATAGATTAGAAGCCTGAGGCTAAAGAGGTCAAGGTTGCCTGACTCCCAAGTCATTCTCTTTCTACTAGATCATTCTACTCTGCTTCTCTTGATAGATAGGGAGAAGCAGGCATAAGAGGGAAAGAGAAAAGCAGCAGGGGAGGACATGACAGAGATGGACAAAGGAAGAGGCAAGGAGAGACTCATTTGAAGTAGAAAGGGAGAGAGAGAAACCCCAAGGGTTCTGGAAAGTTGGAGAAACTTCTCATCACCTCTACTCAGACGGTGCTTTACAAGGTTACCCTTGCTCTTGGGCAATAGCAATTAGCCAAGTAACCACCGTTCACAGCCCTTTGCCTGTTCTTTATTCTCAGGCTTTTGAGACTGCAGTGTGAACAGAAGACACAACAACCCACGGAGTGAAGAATTCTCTGGGCTGCCCCAGCAATGCAGAGCAGTGTTCCCCTGGAGGGTGGATGAACTCAGGCAGAGGGGCAGCCCCAGCCCTGGGCTCAGGGGGAATGGGAATCAGGTTTGCCCTTGCACCCCAGGGTAGCTGGTGAAGGCTGTCTTGGATAATCTTCGGCCTCTCCCTTCCAGACTCTTCTTTAAGCATCCCCATCCCACCTTGGTATCCTAGTCCCTCTGCTACTCCCGTGCTTGCCTTCCTGGGACAGTGATAGTTGCAGTTCCTGCTGACTTGGAGTGCCCCTCCGCTCTGTGTCCTGTGAGAAAGCGGGTAGGTTGATGAGGGAGGGCAGGGGTGGGAAGCTGGAACCCTCCTACGTGACACCCTGTTCACGGTCCCTCTATGTGGACAGGAAAGGCCAGGCCAGAGTTGGGGGGATTAAAGGCAGTACATGAGATCTGGTCCATATCCCACAATAGCCTGGACAGGGGCCTCAGATTTCCTATAAGCCAATCCCTTTATTTTATTAACAAGGAAATCACGGCTCACAGAGGTGAGGGCAGGAGTCCAAGGCCATACCGTCTGCACACTGGCTCAGGTCCTGGCGCCCAGCCCAGCGCCCTTCCCTCACCTTCTCACTGCCTGGCAGCCCTGCACCTCCCCCAGCCCTGGCGCCCAGTGAGCCAGCACCTCGCATATGATTACAATTACCGTGAGTTTGGCCTGAGCCCAGCCGTACTGCGAGCACAACCAGGCCTGGTCACTGGCCAAGTTTCCATCTCAGTAGAAAAATGAAAAAGTTCAAGGGATGAATGTTAATCCCAAACACACGAGTAGGAAGGAGTGGGGTGAGGGGGAGAGGCCCAGCCAGGATCTCTTAGGGCAACATCAGTCCAGCAAGAGCTCCAGAGACCCACCCCAGGGGCAGAAGGCCTCTGGCTGGCCAAATTTAGGCTGCTTTGTGGTTGTAAATGCTGCCGCCTCCAGGGCCCGAGATGGAATTCAGCTGGTGAGACTTGGCTGGTGGTCCCAGCCCTCCTCGGTTGGCTCCTGCCTTGTGTATTGTTCATGACCTTCTTGTTTCTGTCATTTACTTGAGCATCTCCATCTCCTGCCATGGGTAAGGAAACAGGCACAGAGACCAAGGGACTCGCCTGAGGTCAGATAGCCACTGAGGAGTGGAATGGGCTGAAACATAGGCCTCTGGGCAGCCAGGCTGTCAGACAGCCCCTCTCCGTCAGAGCTCTCCAGAGCAGCCTGGGCCTTCCTAGGATGTTCCTGCTCCCTTCTGCCTGCCACTCTGCTCAGCGTCCGAGGAGCTACCTGGCTCTATCTGCCCCACACCTTGCTGCATGGCCTTGGTGAGGCTCTGAATTCCACCCTGGCTGCTGACTTGTGCCCTTCTAATGCTGACATCTCACATCTTTGAGGCTTCCAGGCTGATGTTTTTCCAGATCTTTCTCTCTAAGACTAAGATTCCTTTTTTTTCTCCCAGACTTGAAACATTTCTGAGTAATACAACTCTCCCAGATTGCTCAACTCCCAGGAACTCCTATCTGCAAACTGTGCTTGGTTCTAGTTTCAAGAAGGGCAGCAGCATATTGGAATTTTTGATCAATGATATATGGGCAGTTACCCTAATATGTATTTCCCCCAGGTTAGATAGATATGAGGACAGCCACTGCTCCTCTGCCTTGGGGACAAAGGAGTTATCATTTTGCTGGAACTCTAAGAACACCGTGTAATATTCTTATGGAGAAAAGCAGCCATCAATTAAATATCAGCTGTCAAATGGGGAAGAGCTGTGGCCCCATAGGGAACAACGGACTTTTTGATTGCTGGTATCCCCAGGGGAATCCACTTCCTCAGAAAATGAGTTCTGTCTGAGATAAATGTGCTTATTTACACCAGCTTCTAGACTGGCTGAGGTCGGCCCAGGGCCTGCAGCCAGGTATCTGAGCAATGGAGAGAGCTCCAGAGTGCAGCTTCTTGCCGACTTGGGGATTTATAGGCTTCCTGACAGGCAGAGCAGCCTCAGTTTCGAGGCTAGAAGCGGGGAGCCAGGGGGTTGGCCAAGGTTTTCTCAGAGGCTTTGCAAGAAGCTGAGCCCTTGTTGGAAATGCCTTTGAAGCCCAGGGGTGTCATCTTCCATCTCCTCTGGAGTCAGAGCCACAGCAGCAGGGCATTTTCGGGGGGAGTTGGGGAGAGTGGGAGAAGGGCATGTAGGCAGCGGGTAGGGGAGCAGAACGTGGAAAGAAAGCATTATTTCCAAACGGTCATCTCTCTCTTTTTTCTGCTTTCCAGTGGCCCAAATGATCACTCTGTGTTTAAGACAATCTGGTCTTTTAAAAAAAAATGAAGAAAGGAAAAGATGTTTTTCCAGGTCTAATTATAAGAGTCATAAGGCTGGAAAGATTTGGAGAAAACATCTGTCTCTCGGCTCTGCCTCCACTAGGTACACACCTAAGCCAAGGGGGAGGTGTTTTTCTATGACTAACCGGCTGGCGGACTCCTTGGGTCTCAGGGCACTCCCACCCTCAATCCATCCACAGTCCCATCGCTGGAGTTAAAGTCCACTTCTTCCTTTTAATCCTCATGGGAACTGGAAAGTGGCCAAGAGCCTGGAAGAGCCAGTGATTTGGGTCCTCCTGGAATGTTAGGGAAAGCAGGTTGGGGGTCTCTGTCTGTCACCCCAGGGCACCTAGTCTTTAAAACCTGTGCTGCCCCAAGAAAGGGCAAGTCTCAGAGCCAGGGCTGCCCAAAGGTCTTCTGTCCCCAGCAGGAGTGGACTGAATAGCGTGCCCCTGGGAGGTTTGTCTTCCTAAGCAGATCCAATCGGTCTTCTTGTTCTGATGAAGTAAAACAGAGTGGATATCCCTTGAGTTAGTGCTGGTGGGAGGAAGTTTGGGGATGGAGAAAGAGTCTCATTCTCTCCCCCACCTGTCAAAACTACAAATCTCCAATTCTCTAAGGTGAGGTGGGGGTCGGGGAGGGAACAGGCAGGTGTCTGGCAGGAGTGGCTGGCCTCCAAGGGTCCCTCCAGCTCTGACTAGCTTTGTGCTCTAAGCCAGGCCCTGGTAGGACCCCTGTTCCCTTGCTGCAAGCCTCTCCTTGCTCCCACGGCTGTTCACGGCCCTGACTGCTGAAGATGACATTTTCTAAACACTGGAGACAGAGATAAGAAGCAGACGGGGAGGGAGAAAGCCCGAGAACTGGAGCTGAGCCCAGAGAGGAAAGTGGGCTCCTTGCTGAGAGCAGGCGGAGGCATGCAGACCCTGCCGCCAATGAACACGCAGGCAGGGACCTCTCGCCATTGCTTTGACACAGTGCTGAGTCAGGGTCCAACGCCACCACTAGAGCCTGACCCCTTGGTCCAGCCGGTTGTTCACTGGTCAAAACACATGCTCCCTGAGCAGCCTCCTTGCAGGCACCACCCCACCCTCTGAGGACTCCTTCATTTATACCCAGAAAGGCAGAATGGGATGGAGCTTCATGAAGTGCTGTTCACTGCTATGCCCTGGTCCCTAGATGAGGTCTGACACGTGGCTTTGTGGCACTAGGTAAATATCTATAGAAAAAATAACTTGCTGTATTAGTCTTCCTGGAATGAGCTGGCATTTGAGCTGGGACCAGTTTCCTGGAGAAGGGATTTCAGGAAAAGCAACCAGGTATCCCTCAAAGCAAACACAGAGAGGCTTGATTAGGTACAGATGGCTTGCATGGGGGAATTTGGGTGAGCTGTGCTCTTAAACCTGTCTGGGTGTTTTCGGGGAAGCCATATAACAGTAACAACAACAATAAAACCAGCGCTACCTTTATGCAGAGAGGGAGGGGCTCTTCTGACAGGGCCTCCTGAGAGTGGTCTCAAGGTCACTTCCGGGCTTCCTTGGATCCCTGAAAAAGAACCAGACCAGCCTGGCCTGCTTCTCTGCATCCCAGGGTCCCCAGAAAAGTGAGGGCTGTTTGGGGGTCCTGGGTCAGATCCTCATCCAACTCCTACCCCCTTGAACTCCCACCTCCAAAGGCAATCTAATAGCTCCTGCTGGGATCTCAAGCTCCAAGGGAGACCTTCATACCACGCACATTCTGGGACAATCTTTGGTTCTCCTCTCAGCCTGGACAAGCAGTGAAATACAGCATCCAGCCACTGCCTGGCTCAGTCAGCCATGCTATCTTGGGACAGAAACCTTGACAGGAATCCCAGCTCTAGCCAAGGAAAACATGAGTCAGGCCTGGCTAAGCCAGGTGGCTTCCCTCTCTCCACCTTCCATCCCCACACCCCCAACTCCACAGCCAATGAGCTGTTTGGGTAACCCCAAGACCCCACTCCCACACAGCCTACGGCCAGCAAAGGCATGCAGGCAGGATTCTAGAACCTTGGCCCGGCTTTGGGTTGCTGCCTTTGAAAGTGTAGCAGGTGTGGGGCTCTAGCTCCGGCCCTCCTCAAAGGAGACAGGAGCATTCCCTGTGTCTTTCCGGCCTTCCACCTACCCTGGCCTTCTCTGCACAGGGTTCCCTTTTGGGGCACTGTGATTGTTCTCAAAGGCAGAGCCCACCCTGGCCAGGAGTGGCACAAGATTCTTATCCCACTTGTAGTAGAAGACTTTTCCTGATTCCTCTTCCCAGCCTATCCAGGGGCTTCCGTTCTCCTGCCGGTCTCACCTCAGGCTGAAATGTTGATATTTCCTCGTGTCTGGGGACACTGCTGCTGGACTTTGTGGAAAAACCTTTCCTGCCTTTGTGTGGCTTCTGTTTTGTTTGTTTGTTTATGTATTTATGTATTTATTTATTTTGAAACATAGTCTCACTCTGTCACCCAGGCTGGAGTGCAGTGGCGTGATCTCAGCTCACTGTAGCCTCCGCCTTTGGGTTGAAGCCGTTCTCCTGCCTCAGCCTCCCGAGTAGCTTGGGTTACAGGTACCCGCCACCACGCCCAGCTAATTTTTGTATTTATAGTAGAAATGGGGTTTCACCATGTTGGCCAGGCTGGTCTTGAACTCCTGACCTCAAGTGATCCACCCACCTCGGCCTGGGTGCTGGGATTACAGGCGTGAGCCACCGTGCCTGGCCAGGGCTTCTGTTTTAAAAGCTTCTCCACTCTCTCTTCTCCAGAGGAAGAGGTGCAGGGTCTCACACACAGGGACCTCAGAGTCCCTTGTTTTGTACACTGTAGAACAGCGTTGTCTAATAGAAATATACAGCAAGCCATAAATAAGTCACCCATGCAACCTAGTGTTTTCTAATCACCATATTTTGTAAGAAGTAAAAAAAAAAAAGTGAGATTCATTTTAATACTATATTTTATTTAATCCAATATATTTGTATTAACCCAAATGAATATTATCAAATCAATCATTTAATTCACATAAAAAATTACTAATGAGAAATTTCACATTGTTTTTCCATACTAAGTATATTGCTTCCTAGGGCTGCTGTAATTATCACAAACTGGGTGGCTTTAAACAACAGACATGTATTGTCCCGCAGTTCTGGAGGCCAAAAGTCAGAAATCACGGTGTCAACAGAGCCATGCTCCCTCTGAAGACTCCAGGGAACGTGAAAGCAAAGTAAAAACTTGGGAGCCCAGGCCGGGCATGGTGTCTCACGCCTGTAATCCCAACACTCTGGGAGGCCAAGGCAGGGGGATTGCTTGAGTTCAGGAGTTCACGACCAGCCTGGGGAACATAGCAAAACCCCGTCTCTACGAAAAATACAAAAATTAGCCAGGTGTGGTAGTATGCACCTGTGGTCCCAGTTACTCAGGAGGCTGAGGTGGGAGGATCACTCGAGCCCAGAAGGTTGACACTGCAGTGAGTTGAGATTGCACCACTGCACTCTAGCCAGGGTGACAGAGTGAGACCCTGAAAAAAAAAAAAAAAAAAGCAAGAAAGCAAGTAAGCAAGCAAGCAAGAAAGAATGAACAAACTTGGGACCCCAATTCACTCTGCCAAAGAAAAGAAAAACTTGGGACCCCAATTCACCCTGCTAAAAGAAAAACATATTAAGCTGAAAGCTGAGTCATAGAAGAAGCTGCCTTCTTTTTTTTTTTCCTGAGCAGATAGCTACAGATAAAAAGTAAAATATCTCCACAGTAGCTACTCTGTGTTCACCTTATCTAATGGTGAGCTTGAGAGGAATACATAATTGACCATTCCCCTACCTACTCCTTTTCTCTTGCAACACATGGATTCAGTTATGTGACCTCTTTTCCCTTGAGCCTGCTTTTCTCCTTTAAATATTGAGGCCCTCAGAATCATCCTTGGAGAAAGGCACCGACCTGTCTCCTAGGCATGTGTCCTTAACCTTGGCAAAATAAACCTCTGCATTGATTGATACCTGACTCAGGCACTTTTTGGTTTACGGGAAGCACCCCTCCGTGCCTCCTCCCAGCTTGGGTTGGTGCTGGCAATCCCTGGCTTTCCTTGGCTTGTAGCTGCATCATTCCCACCTCTGCCTTCATCACCACATGGCCTTCCTCCTCCCGCGTGTGTGTCTGTGTCTTTACATGGACTTAGAGAACGGTCATTGGATTTATAACCAGCCAAACCCAGTAAAATCTTATCTAATTACATCTGCAAAGACCCTATTTCCAAATAAAGTCACATGCTGAAGTTCCAGGTGGACAAGAGTTTTAGAGGGGCACTATTCGCCCAGTACAATGTTGGGGGCAGTGACCACTCACCCACCTGATATTTGGCTCCCAAGATCCTGTTCCTGTCGGCTGTTTTCTTTGTTGTCTTTGTTCTTTATTTTCATTCTGGCAGGCCTTGGGGTAGGATCAAAGGTAAAAAGAAGCAGGTGAGATTAATTTTAATAATATTGTTTATTTGACCCAATATATCCACAATATTATTTCAATGTGCAATCAGTACAGAGAATTATTAATGAGATATTCTTCATTTTTTTTCACATCAAGTCTTCAGAATTTTATATGTATTTCACATGTACACCACATGCCAGTTTAGACTGACCACATTTCAAGTGCTCGACAACCACATGGGGCCAGTGGCCACCATATTGGACAGCACAGCTCAGGAAGTTAAAAGAAAGGGGTGAGGCTTCTGACAAAGCCAAGGACCCCTCTGGGGAGGCCGGTGGATCCCAAGGAATGGTATTCACCTGATGGCCTCACCCCCTCTAGGTTCTCTCCTGATTATATTTCATCCGTGAGAGGTGGTCTCACGGTGATGAAGGGAGGAATTCATGCAACATTAGCTCACACTGTATCAAACCAGAAGGATGATACGGTTTGGCTGTGTCCCCACCCAAATCTCATCTTTAATTGTAACTTCCACAATTCCCGTGTGTTGCGGGAGGAACCTGGTAGGAGGTGATTGAATTATGGGGGCCGTTCTTTCCTGCCCTGTTCTCATGATAGTGAATGAATCTCACAAGATCTGATGGTTTTTAAAATGGGAGTTTCCCTGCACAAGCTCTCTTTGCCTGCTGCAATCCACATAAGATGTGACTTGCTCCTCCTTGCCTTCCACCATGATTGTGAGGCTTCCCCAGCTACGTGGAACTGTAAGTCCATTAAACCTCTTTCCTTTGTGAATTTCCTTTGTGAATACCCATTCTTGGGTATTTCTTTATCAGCAGTGTGAAAACGGACTAATACAGTGGCTTTGTTCATTCACAGGAAAAGTGGTGAGCAGCTGGCTGCTCTCTCGTCCCTACATGCAGTCCCTCCCTTTCCTGTAGGCACAATGCTTAAGGAGCCAGGCCTGGGCTTCTGGGCTCAGAACCAGAGCCTTTCCTTACTGAGTGCAAATGATTGAAAATCTCAGGCTACAAAAGTGGGAGGCATGCACCTCCCCAACAGAGACATGCCATTGCCAGTGGGGACACTGGAATCCCTTTCCCCAGGCAGTGTGGGATGGGTGTGGCCGTGTGCCTAGGACTGGCTCTTTTCTACTTCTCTGCTGCAGACCTGACCCCTTCTGACTGGCATCTTTTCCTTTAGATACGCAGGTCTCACTGGCCTGGGCCCCATTCTGTCTCTTTTTAGCATGGCTTGGCCTTTGTCTGCTTTGATTTCTATGTGTCAATTTTATGGTCAAACTCCCAAAAAGCAACCTCATTCCTCTAGGGAATGGGCTCCCTCAGTTTGCTCCCTTGAAATACCTGCGATTCTTTATTCTCCTGAACCCTGCTCTACAACCTCTGTATTTTTCTGAGAAAAATCAGAAATAACCAGAACCCAGACCTGGAAGCTAGACCCCAGACATAGGTCATCCACCTCTCGGGCTCTGGGGCCTGCTCAGGATGTGCATGCTGGGGAGTGGAGCACCCTCTCCATGGGCTGGCCTGTCCTCAGGCCCCACAACAGACAGTGGTCCTGAGCCGGGACAGCAGGATGACAAAGGCTCACATTTGCACTCTGGAGCAAAAACATCACCGGATGGAAATTGAAGTAGAGAGAAAAAGAATGAGTATAGGGGATGAGGAATCTCTGATGTTAACTCAGGGGTACCATCAGTCCCCTAAAGCTGCAAATAATGTGAATCAATCCCTCTCTCTCTCTCTGTCTCTCACTCACACACACACACACACACACACACACACACACACACACACACACACACACTTATCTTGAGAGCCTTCCAATTTTTTTCTGCAATGCACGGACCTCACAAAAAAATGACTCAGCCTTACATAAGAGACGGGAATTTGAGGGGGACCAGGAGTGTGA
Source organism: Homo sapiens (assembly GCF_000001405.40). NCBI lineage: Eukaryota > Metazoa > Chordata > Mammalia > Primates > Hominidae > Homo > Homo sapiens. The sequence continues at coordinate 46,855,400 of NC_000002.12, forward strand.
TGACTCATTGCCTTGAAATTTCCAGTGGGATACACATGTTTTCTTAGATGATTTTTTAAACATTTATCTTTAATGATTGTCCAAAATAAATGGTTGGGGAGGCAGAATGGAGTGAGAATCCCACGTCAGGGCAGGAAAGAATAGTCATGATGAAGAGGAGGGGGCAGGAGGCTGAGGACAGGGCCCTTTCAGGTCAGGTCTCAGAATGTTCTGGTGAGAATCCAGAACTCTCCTCCCAGGACCTCAGGGCATTTCAGGAACTGTAATAATACAATCACTTCGTATAGCAAGAATCAGCCCCTGAGGTCTCCAGGAAGTACCTTGATTTGAAAGAGCTGTGACCAACCTCAGTGGCATGTCCAACTACCACGCTGCAGAAGTCTGTGAGGCCGTGGTCCTCAGCCCTTTGCACAGATTAAAACCCCAATCCCAGCCGCACCCCAGACCAATCAATCAGGATCTCTGGAGATGGGGCCCAGGCATCTATATATATGTATATATATATATTTTTTTAATTCCTCAGATGATTCCAATGTACAGCCAATGATGAGCAGCTGCTGGGCTGAAGGGACTGGGGCCATTTTATACCAGGTGAGTAATTCAAGGTGTTGATGTCACCCTGCTCCTTAGAGGACTATTAGCCAATCCCTTGAGTTTCAGATACAACCAGTTATCCCTCTCCAGGGAGCTTGAAATTTTTTTCTCCCTTTTCTGTTATTGGCAAAAAGCAAATCCCTGCATGGAAGCCTGGTGTCTACATAGAGCTGACAAGGGGGCAGCTTGGGGAAGGTGGGCTAGGCTTTGGGAGCGAGTGGGCCCCTCCAAGGAGAAGGCCCTTGGATTCATCTACAGGAAGCCCAGAGTTCTCTGACACCAACCCAACTCTCCCACACCATGCCCTGCCTAGAGGCCCAAGGACTCCAGCAGGATCGTACCAGTGATCCACTGTCAGGGCAGTCCAGCCTATGCCATCCATGGCTCCGCTGGCAACAGGATAAAGTCAAGGGCTTCATGCTGGCACTTAAGGTTATACCCAATCTTCCTTCAACTTTCCTCTCTCCCCAATGCACATGGACCCTGCCCCACCAGGCTGCCCCCCTCCCTGCCCCAAATGCCCAGCAGGTTCCTACTTTCAGACTTTAGTCACACCCAACATTCTCTGGTTTACCAATGTACAAAGGTCTTCATGCATCTCCTGTGGAATGCAAATCCCCCTGGCAAGAAAACCCTCGTGTCAGCCCATACCTCGGGGGGATCTACTGGAGACTGGGTGGAGGTGCAGAGAACAGGTCCTGGGCCCCAAGGGGAGGTGAGAGAAGGAGGCTGAAAGCATCCTGGACACAATTCATCCCCGCGGCCTCAGCCTCACCCCCAGACTCCTGGAGCCTGGGCCTGACTTCTGTGTGTGGCCGCTTGATGCCTGGCACTACCTGTCCCATTACCTGCTGACCTCCACAGGCACGTTCTGCCCTCCTCACCTTTGTGTGAGAACTTAGCCTCCCCTCCAAGAGCTGCCGAAAGGGGGCTGGTAACTGGGCCATATCTGTCCACACTGTCACATACTGACTTTATGTCTGAAGGAAGGGGGTTTCATCTCCCTGAGCCTCCACTTCTTCCAC